>NC_000021.9:35194570-35504525 GCF_000001405.40 Homo sapiens | reverse complement strand
CCATTTCTCTTTGGAAGGAGACTTTCCAAGATACTAAACCACTCTTTTGTACCAAAGCTCCCACGAAATCATACAAAGAGCTGGAAGCTATATCCCGTTTGCACAAAGGTTTTGCAATATCTCCATGGAGGAACTTTATGGATTCGTGGGAGTAAAATAAAAGGAATGGAGGATGTGTGGGAAGTTTGTGTTGGAAGACATTTGTCTAGCCCAGTAGTGATTAAAATATTATAAATTGTGTTTTGTCTGGGTGGCTCCTTTGGTTTCCGATGTTATTCCTGTTTAATGTTGGCGGCTGAGGGTGGAGGTGGGAGGCAGGGAAGTTTCTAAGATTATGGCCCCATATCTGAGAGTATAGCCCACTCCTCCTCTCTCACCAAGGGACACATGCTTTGGGTTTAGCCCCAGACTGTTTAGGAAAGGAACTCTCAGGAGCTGCTTTTTGGAACTTCAGGTTTTTGGCATTGACAATCATAGCATGTTCCATGTGTTATGGGGATGAACAGATGTGGGTTCAGATTCACCGGTTAAATGCATGTCAACCACGATGCAGAGAAGACGCTTGTTGCTGGTTTATGTGCTGTGCCCCAAGAGCTGAACAGCTCACACATTCCCTCCAAACAGGCCCTGGAGGAGTCGAATTTGTCAAAAGGTGTCTCTGCAACTGAGAAGCTGCCTGCTGGGTTTAGGACTTCCCAGCAGTGCTGGCAGCTGCTTTAATTTGTCTGTGATGATGAGACCAGCAACGTTTGGTCTGTAACACAGAGGAGAAAAACAGGAAACCCTCCCCCTTGACAAACTGGCTGAAAATCCTGAGAAGCTTATGTTCTCACATGCACTTTCTTCCTTTCTCTTTCCCCTGCCCTTCCTTCTACCCTGAAGCCTTTATTTTTGTGGGTATAACACGACCAGTTGGGTTGGATTAACTCTCAAACATCATTATTCCAAAAAAAGGAGACAAAATGATAATGGCAATCAAAACCACGTTTTGCAGTTTGACAGTTTCTTACAGAACTAAACATAGTTTTACCAGGAGACTCACCAAGGATACTCCTTGGTGTTTACCCAAATGAGCTCAAAACCTGTGTCCATACAAAACCCTGCACACAAACGTCTATAGCATCCTTATGTGTAGCAACCAAGATGTCTTTCAGTAGGTGATGAAATATATTGGAATAATCCATAGGATTGAATGTTATTCATCAATAAAAAGATAAGAGCTATCAAGCCACAAAAGACATGGAGGAATCTTAAATGCTTCTTGCCAAGTGAAAACAGCCAATCTGAAAAGGCTACACACTGTATGATTCCAACTGTATGACACTCTGGAAAAGGCAAAACTATAGAGACAGTGAAAAGATCACTTATGATAAATCTCCAATACTTTGGATTTCCCGGGGAAAAGTCAATATTAAATTAGAAGGTAGTTACATAGTATTTTGCATAAAGCCTGCATTTTTATAGTTGCATAAATGCATACTTGGTTGCCAGGGATTTGGAGGGAGACACGGAGGCGTGAGTAAATGCAGCACAGGGGAATTTTAGGGCAGTGACACTATTCCATCACGGGGGATGCATGACATCATGCATATGTCAAAACCCGTAGAATACAGGACACAAAGAGGCTTCCCAATGTAAACTCTGGAATTTAGTTAATAGTAGTGTATCAATATCAGTATCAAATGTACCACACTGATAAAAGATGTTAATAAAAAGAAACTTGGGGCAAGGGGGGAGTCTTTGGGAACTGTCTGCAGTTTCTGCTCAATTTTTCTGTAAACCTAAAACTGTTTTTTAAAAATTAGAGTCTATTAATTTAAAAGACAAACTTTTTGGAGGTAGGAGGTAGTCTGTAATTACTGGCCTTTTGCTGGGTGGAGTGGGGACAAAGTGTCTGAAGGTGTCAGATGTAAGTAGTGAGCACTGCACAGACCTGGAATAATCTGGATTATCTGCAGTCACATTTGACAGGCTTTGATTTTAGTTAAAGTGCCATTTGAATGTCTGGAAGAAATTCCACTCAAATCAAGAAGTAAGTGGCCACCATTTCATTTTGGAGTCCCGTTCTTTCTCCCCTTCTTTTTTTTATTTTTGCTCACATCTATTTGTAATAACAAAATGGGTGAGAAAATAGACAAAAAATATTGCAATCCATATCTTCAAATACTTTTTGTTTATAGTCTGTTGAGCATCTACTATGCATATTGGATGACATGAGGTACTGGGAGAGATACCAAAAAATTTAACCTGAGATCCTCTTTCCTCGTTTTTAAAGTTCTAATGGAAAGTTCAGAAACTCATTTATGGAAAAGCCATTATTATGCTACAATGTGATACAGGCCATCTGTCAAATATGCAGTTTTGCCCGATGCTGTAAAGATCAAGCTTATTCATTCATTTAATGATTATTTCTTGCATTCAAGAAATATCAATGCCCCCTTTGGTAAAATAATCACACTTGGTTCTTGCCCTTGTAGAGCTTAACCTTTACTAGAAAAAGTAAACATTAAATTACAGGTAATCCCACACAAGTCGACACGATGTTAAGTTTTGTTGCTCACTGACTCCATCTCACTCACTGGGGTGCCTGAAACGTTGGACACTTGGGAGAAACAGAGAGACAAGGCTGAGTGTCTTGGGAAGGGAAGGGAATTTGGGAGGTGCCTAAGGATTTCGGAGACTCTGTACAGTACCAGAAACAGAATGTAAAATATCTGACTAATAGTTGTTGTATAGACTACATGTTAAAATGATAATATATTGGCTATATTGGGCCAATAATATGTTGCTAAAATTAATTCCAATTGTTTCTTTTTCCTTTTTAAAATATGGCTTATTAGTTTGCTAGGGCTGTCATAAACATAATAAAATACCAAAGACTGGGTGATTTAAACAATAGAAATTTATTTTCTTACCGTTCTGCAGGCTAGAAGCCTCTGGGGGACGGTCCTTTCTGGCATCTTCCCTTGCTTGTAGCTGCGTTAGTCCAATCTCTCCCTCTGCCATCACACAACCTTCTTCCCTGGGTCTCCTTCATATCTCTGCCTCCAAATCAGCCTCCCTTTCTCTTATAAAGATACCAGTCATTGGATTTAGGCCCCACCTCAGGTATGACCTCATTTTAACTTTATTTCATCTGCAAAGACCCTATTTCCAAATAAGGTCACATGGTACCTGGTGGGGTAGGACTTGAACATATCGTTTCTGGGGACCCAAATCAATCCACTACAATATGTAAGGCAAGGATGGCAGATTAAGTAAAAAGGAATTTAGAGAGATTCTGGTGCCAGGTTAATGAATTTGGATGTTGCTTTGTATACAGTAGGTATGGGGAGCAGGGGATCTATGGAAAAGCTTGAGATTATACCATTCTTAGAATCCTAACACTTGCAGCAGAATGGAAGTTGAGGAGATTGAGGAGGACTCCAGGCTAGCTAGCCATTGGGAGGTTACTGCACTAGCCTAGCAGACAGGGGCATGGCCTGCCAGTGGGAATAAAAATGGTAGATCCATTAGGGAGATATCATGTATTTGGAACTAACCATTTAGCCATTGATAGAATGTTGGATGGGAGGTGGGGGTAAAGAAGACCAGAGAGAGATGGGGTAGAAAGGGAGGGAGAGAGAGGAGAGGGGAGAGAGGGAGAGAGAGCAAGAGAGCACTGGTTATACAACTGAAACAGAGGTAGGAGTGAAAAAGGAAAATCAGTTAGTTTTTCAGCACTTGGGCTATCAGGCACTGGCAGCTGATCCACAAATGCAGATTAATCAGAAAGCTGGAAATGTGCATATAGAATTAGAGCAGGAAGCCTAAATTGTAAGATAGTTTTCGATAATAAAAAAGAACAGAGTTTGTTCTAGCTGGCTGTTTCCTGGGGTTTTTTTTTTCATTTTAGATGGGGAGGTGAAAGGGATGTGGGTCAGGAAAGGGTTAAATACTTCATATTACTTTAAAAAAAATCTAGGGAATAGAAATGCATGAGATAAATTGGGACTAGAAAGCTCCAAGCTATGAAAATCTCAGCAGCAATGAAGAGCATTGAAATATTTCGTTGGAAATCACTACAGTCACACAAAATGGTGGTCCTGGTTCCATATTAAATTTATTCATTTCTGCTTCCATTTGACATTAAGAAGGAATGATCCTACTGAGGCCCAGTTACCCATATGTTTAGCTCAATGTGAACAAGTCAAAAAACGGAATGTGGTGGAGAAGACAGAGAGAAGAGAGTTCTTTTATATGTTTTTTAAAATAGGAAATTCCAATGGAGCACTATTCATTGGTATTAATATACATTCTGATGGATTCAGTGTATTTGTGGGGAGGTAGCTCTGCAGTAGTTTGGAGACCATTTCTAGGCACACTGGAAATCTGGGAGTAGAAATAAAAGGTGAACAAATAAGGAGACTGGGTTGACTGAAAAACTCAGATGTGAATAGTTTTCCCTCCGTTTTTATATTGGGCATCTTTCTTGTCAATGCCATGCAGAGGTCAAGTGCATTCAAATTTATTGTGAAATTAATTATAAAGGAGTATATTCAGCATTTTCTACAGTGGGAACAATAAAAGTAGGCAGCAGTGGTGGTTAAGATTGAGGAAAATAAAGGAACAACAAAGGTGACTCTAAATATGTTGTATTTGTATTCAGTGAGGAGGCCCATTATATCTTCTTCATTATTCCAAAGGGTGACCTCCATTTTGAATTTTTAGTTTTCATAAAAATATTAATGGAGGGGGGGAGGAGCCAAGATGGCCGAATAGGAACAGCTCCGGTCTACAGCTCCCAGCGTGAGCGACACAGAAGACGGGTGATTTCTGCATTGCCATCTGAGGTACCGGGTTCATCTCACTAGGGAGTGCCAGACAGTGGGCGCAGGCCAGTGGGTGCGCGCACCGTGCGCGAGCCGAAGCAGGGCGAGGCATTGCCTCACCTGGGAAGCGCCAGGGGTCAGGGAGTTCCCTTTCCGAGTCAAAGAAAGGGGTGAGGGACGCACCTGGAAAATCGGGTCACTCCCACCCGAATATTGCGCTTTTCAGACCGGCTTAAAAAACGGCGCACCACGAGACTATATCCCACACCTGGCTCGGAGGGTCCTACGCCCACGGAGTCTCGCTGATTGCTAGCACAGCAGTCTGAGATCAAACTGCAAGGCGGCAGCGAGGCTGGGGGAGGGGAGCCCGCCATTGCCCAGGCTTGATTAGGTAAACAAAGCAGCCGGGAAGCTGGAACTGGGTGGAGCCCACCACAGCTCAAGGAGGCCTGCCTGCCTCTGTAGGCTCCACCTCTGGGGGCAGGGCACAGACAAACAAAAAGACAGCAGTAACCTCTGCAGACTTAAATGTCCCTGTCTGACAGCTTTGAAGAGAGCAGTGGTTCTCCCAGCACGCAGCTGGAGATCTGAGAACGGGCAGACTGCCTCCTCAAGTGGGTCCCTGACCCCTGACCCCCGAGCAGCCTAACTGGGAGGCACCCCCCAGCAGGGGCACACTGACACCTCACACGGCAGGGTATTCCAACAGACCTGCAGCTGAGGGTCCTGTCTGTTAGAAGGAAAACTAACAAACAGAAAGGACATCCACACCGAAAACCCATCTGTACATCACCATCATCAAAGACCAAAAGTAGATAAAACCACAAAGATGGGGAAAAAACAGAACAGAAAAACTGGAAACTCTAAGACGCAGAGCGCCTCTCCTCCTCCAAAGGAACGCAGTTCCTCACCAGCAACGGAACAAAGCTGGATGGAGAATGATTTTGACGAGCTGAGAGAAGAAGGCTTCAGACGATCAAATTACTCTGAGCTACGGGAGGACATTCAAACCAAAGGCAAAGAAGTCGAAAACTTTGAAAAAAATTTAGAAGAATGTATAACTAGAATAACCAATACAGAGAAGTGCTTAAAGGAGCTGATGGAGCTGAAAACCAAGGCTCGAGAACTACGTGAAGAATGCAGAAGCCTCAGGAGCCGATGCGATCAACTGGAAGAAAGGGTATCAGCAATGGAAGATGAAATGAATGAAATGAAGCGAGAAGGGAAGTTTAGAGAAAAAAGAATAAAAAGAAATGAGCAAAGCCTCCAAGAAATATGGGACTATGTGAAAAGACCAAATCTACATCTGATTGGTGTACCTGAAAGTGATGCGGAGAATGGAACCAAGTTGGAAAACACTCTGCAGGATATTATCCAGGAGAACTTCCCCAATCTAGCAAGGCAGGCCAACGTTCAGATTCAGGAAATACAGAGAACGCCACAAAGATACTCCTCGAGAGGAGCAACTCCAAGACACATAATTGTCAGATTCACCGAAGTTGAAATGAAGGAAAAAATGTTAAGGGCAGCCAGAGAGAAAGGTCGGGTTACCCTCAAAGGGAAGCCCATCAGACTGACAGCGGATCTCTCGGCAGAAACCCTACAAGCCAGAAGAGAGTGGGGGCCAATATTCAACATTCTTAAAGAAAAGAATTTTCAACCCAGAATTTCATATCCAGCCAAACTAAGCTTCATAAGTGAAGGAGAAATAAAATACTTTACAGACAAGCAAATGCTGACCGATTTTGTCACCACCAGGCCTGCCCTAAAAGAGCTCCTGAAGGAAGCGCTAAACATGGAAAGGAACAACCGGTACCAGCCGCTGCAAAATCATGCCAAAATGTAAAGACCATCGCGACTAGGAAGAAACTGCATCAACTAACGAGCAAAATCACCAGCTAACATCATAATGACAGGATCAAATTCACGCATAACAATATTAACTTTAAATGTAAATGGACTAAATTCTGCAATTAAAAGACACAGACTGGCAAGTTGGATAAAGAGTCAAGACCCATCAGTGTGCTATCTTCAGGAAACCCATCTCATGTGCAGAGACACACATAGGCTCAAAATAAAAGGATGGAGGAAGATCTACCAAGCAAATGGAAAACAAAAAAAAGCAGGGGTTGCAATCCTAGTCTCTGATAAAACAGACTTTAAACCAACAAAGATCAAAAGAGACGAAGGCCATTACATAATGGTAAAGGGATCAATTCAACAAGAGGAGCTAACTATCCTAAATATATATGCACCCAATACAGGAGCACCCAGATTCATAAAGCAAGTCCTCAGTGACCTACAAAGAGACTTAGACTCCCACACATTAATAATGGGAGACTTTAACACCCCACTGTCAACATTAGACAGATCAACGAGACAGAAAGTCAACAAGGATACCCAGGAATTGAACTCAGCTCTGCACCAAGCAGACCTAATAGACATCTACAGAACTCTCCACCCCAAATCAACAGAATATACATTTTTTTCAGCACCACACCACACCTATTCCAAAATTGACCACATAGTTGGAAGTAAAGCTCTCCTCAGCAAATGTAAAAGAACAGAAATTATAACAAACTATCTCTCAGACCACAGTGCAATCAAACTAGAACTCAGGATTAAGAAACTCACTCAAAACCACTCAACTACATGGAAACTGAACAACCTGCTCCTGAATGACTACTGGGTACATAACGAAATGAAGGCAGAAATAAAGATGTTCTTTGAAAGCAACGAGAACAAAGACACAACATACCAGAATCTCTGGGACGCATTCAAAGCAGTGTGTAGAGGGAAATTTATAGCACTAAATGCCCACAAGAGAAAGCAGGAAAGATCCAAAATTGACACCCTAACATCACAATTAAAAGAACTAGAAAAGCAAGAGCAAACACATTCAAAAGCTAGCAGAAGGCAAGAAATAACTAAAATCAGAGCAGAACTGAAGGAAATAGAGACACAAAAAACCCTTCAAAAAATCAATGAATCCAGGAGCTGGTTTTTTTGAAAGGATCAACAAAATTGATAGACCGCTAGCAAGACTAAGAAAGAAAAAAAGAGAGAAGAATCAAATAGACACAGTAAAAAATGATAAAGGGGTTATCACCACCGATCCCACAGAAATACAAACTACCATCAAAGAATACTACAAACACCTCTACGCAAATAAACTAGAAAATCTAGAAGAAATGGATACATTCCTCGACACATACACTCTTCCAAGACTAAACCAGGAAGAAGTTGAATCTCTGAATAGACCAATAACAGGAGCTGAAATTGTGGCAATAATCAATAGTTTACCAACCAAAAAGAGTCCAGGACCAGATGGATTCACAGCCGAATTCTACCAGAGTTACAAGGAGGAACTGCTACCATTCCTTCTGAAACTATTCCAATCAATAGAAAAAGAGGGAATCCTCCCTAACTCATTTTATGAGGCCAGCATCATTCTGATACCAAAGCCGGGCAGAGACACAACCAAAAAAGAGAATTTTAGACCAATATCCTTGATGAACATTGATGCAAAAATCCTCAATAAAATACTGGCAAACCGAATCCAGCAGCACATCAAAAAGCTTATTCACCATGATCAAGTGGGCTTCATCCCTGGGATGCAAGGCTGGTTCAATATACGCAAATCAATAAATGTAATCCAGCATATAAACACAGCCAAAGACAAAAACCACATGATTATCTCAATAGATGCAGAAAAAGCCTTTGACAAAATTCAACAACCCTTCATGCTAAAAACTCTCAATAAATTAGGTATTGATGGGACGTATTTCAAAATAATAAGAGCTATCTATGACAAACCCACAGCCAATATCATACTGAATGGGCAAAAACTGGAAGCTTTCCCTTTGAAAACTGGCACAAGACAGGGATGCCCTCTCTCACCGCTCCTATTCAACATAGTGTTGGAAGTTCTGGCCAGGGCAATCAGGCAGGAGAAGGAAATAAAGGGTATTCAATTAGGAAAAGAGGAAGTCAAATTGTCCCTGTTTACAGACGACATGATTGTTTATCTAGAAAACCCCATCATCTCAGCCCAAAATCTCCTTAAGCTGATAAGCAACTTCAGCAAAGTCTCAGGATACAAAATCAATGTACAAAAATCACAAGCATTCCTATACACCAACAACAGACAAACAGAGAGCCAAATCATGAGTGAACTCCCATTCACAATTGCTTCAAAGAGAGTAAAATACCTAGGAATCCAACTTACAAGGGATGTGAAGGACCTCTTCAAGGAGAACTACAAACCACTGCTCAAGGAAATAAAAGAGGATACAAACAAATGGAAGAACATTCCATGCTCATGGGTAGGAAGAATCAATATCGTGAAAATGGCCATACTGCCCAAGGTAATTTACAGATTCAATGCCATCCCCATCAAGCTACCAATGACTTTCTTCACAGAATTGGAAAAAACTACTTTAAAGTTCATACGGAACCAAAAAAGAGCCCGCATTGCCAAGTCAATCCTAAGCCAAAAGAACAAAGCTGGAGGCATCACACTACCTGACTTCAAACTATACTACAAGGCTACAGTAACCAAAACAGCATGGTACTGGTACCAAAACAGAGATATAGATCAATGGAACAGAACAGAGCCCTCAGAAATAACGCCGCTTACCTACAACTATCTGATCTTTGACAAACCTGAGAAAAACAAGCAATGGGGAAAGGATTCCCTATTTAATAAATGGTGCTGGGAAAACTGGCTAGCCATATGTAGAAAGCTGAAACTGGATCCCTTCCTTACACCTTATACAAAAATCAATTCAAGATGGATTAAAGATTTAAACGTTAGACCTAAAACCATAAAAACCCTAGAAGAAGACCTAGGCATTACCATTCAGGACATAGGCGTGGGCAAGGACTTCATGTCCAAAACACCAAAAGCAATGGCAACAAAAGCCAAAATTGACAAATGGGATCTAATTAAACTAAAGAGCTTCTGCACAGCAAAAGAAACTACCATCAGAGTGAACAGGCAACCTACAAAATGGGAGAAAATTTTTGCAACCTACTCATCTGACAAAGGGCTAATATCCAGAATCTACAATGAACTCAAACAAATTTACAAGAAAAAAACAAACAACCCCATCAAAAAGTGGGCAAAGGACATGAACAGACACTTCGCAAAAGAAGACATTTATGCAGCCAAAAAACACATGAAAAAATGCTCATCATCACTGGCCATCAGAGAAATGAAAATCAAAACCACTATGAGATATCATCTCACACCAGTTAGAATGGCAATCATTAAAAAGTCAGGAAACAACAGGTGCTGGAGAGGATGTGGAGAAATAGGAACACTTTTACACTGTTGGTGGGACTGTAAACTAGTTCAACCATTGTGGAAGTCAGTGTGGCGATTCCTCAGGGATCTAGAACTAGAAATACCATTTGACCCAGCCATTCCATTACTGGGTATATACCCAAATGACTATAAATCATGCTGCTATAAAGACACATGCACACGTATGTTTATTGCGGCATTATTCACAATAGCAAAGACTTGGAACCAACCCAAATGTCCAACAATGATAGACTGGATTAAGAAAATGTGGCACATATACACCATGGAATACTATGCAGCCATAAAAAATGATGAGTTCATGTCCTTTGTAGGGACATGGATGAAATTGGAAACCATCATTCTCAGTACACTATCGCAAGAACAAAAAACCAAACACCGCATATTCTCACTCATAGGTGGGAATTGAACAATGAGATCACATGGACACAGGAAGGGGAATATCACACTCTGGGGACTGTGGTGGGGAGGGGGGAGGGGGGAGGGATAGCATTGGGAGATATACCTAATGCTAGATGACGAGTTAGTGGGTGCAGTGCACCAGCATGGCACATGTATACATATGTAACTAACCTGCACAATGTGCACATGTACCCTAAAACTTAAAGTATAATTAAAAAAATATATATATATTAATGGAGACTCCATGTTCATGCTTCAAACACTCTTGCATTTAGTGGAATACAAGGTGACTTCCCTCTTGAAAGTAGTATTTGCTCTGAATATTTGAAAAAAAAATTGTCATTTGATGTTTCTTTTGGTGCACTGCTTTTGAGCTATGAATGGCACTCAGTTATCAGGGTGATTAAAATTAATGTTTACAAATAAAAATTTATAATAAATCAGACATCCTCTGCTTTCAGGAACTCAAAATCTAAAACAAAAAAGAGAGAATTCAACATTTATACAAATAATTATAATCAGCAGGGCTGGCTACCTATTTGTGGAGCCCCTTGCTCAAAAACTTAGAATTTCAAGATGATGACATAACATCATTGAGTCAACTCAGGGACCATTGTGAACAAAGGTCCCTGTGTAACTCCAAGATTGCCTGTCTATAAAACCAGCCCTACTTATAGTATTAGCCATACTGCAATAGAAGATGGCATTGGGGAAATGTGTGTATAAACTGGGCCATAGCCACTTCTCTGATTTCATTTCCAGCCATTCCTTCTCTTCACCACTGACTTTCTTGCTGTACATTTAAGATGCAAAACATGGCACCTCAGGAGGTTTGCCCTTATTGTTTCCTCTGCCTAGAACATATTTCTCAGGTCTTCATCTGCTTTACACCTTTGCACAAGTCTCTATTCAAATATCACTTCTTAAGAAAGGCCTTTCCTGGCCACCCTAAATACCATTTTCTATCAGTGTTTTCTTACCCTGTGTTACTTGTCTTAGTACTTTCTCCATAGCTGACCAAGTGTCTATGTGATAAGTGTTTCTTGATGGTCTCCTTCAGACAGAGTGGAAAGTGTATGTGGGCAGGGGCTTTGTTTTGTTCACAACTGTATCCTCAGAACTTAGAAGAAGACTTGGCACGAATAAGGGACTCAAGAAATAATAAAATAAATGAATAAATGAATGAATAAAAAATGAATGAAGACATGTTGCTGTAGGAGCTACTATTTCTGTGAGGGAAGCAGAGCAGCTCTTCGTTGGTTCCAGCCTTTGGTGAGTGAATTGGTCTTTGATGACGGGTGATGTGTAAAGGGCATCCCACAGTTATGGAAGGACAGGCATGAAAGAGCACAGCTGGTATAGAAACGCTCCTGCATACACACTGTGCTCTCCTAGGACCAGTATTTAGCAAATCCTAATTGTGTCTCTTATTACGTGTTTCATGAGCTCTGCCCAGTTCACACACATTATTCACATTCAAGGTCTTAATGATTCACACCTGATGGCATGCTTTAGCGCATGTGCTAGACTCCTGGACCTGTTTTCTAAGGACTTGTTCTCATAATCCCTGCTGAGGAGGTTGGCCCAGGTGGCCATGCTTGGCTCCTTTACCTCACCAGGTTTGCCATAAACGACTGGAGCAGAAGTGGACACCTGACCCAATGCCAACCCATCAGCTTGTTGGCCAGTGACCAATCAGTATCTCTCTTACAAATTTAAACAGAGACAGAGAGTCTCTCCAATTGGTGATGGCTATTGCACCTAATAGACGCAGGACTGGTGTCTACATTGACTTCATTGAAGAGACAGAAGAGGCAGACAGGAAAAATCCCAAGAGACAGTGAGAAATAGAGGAAGAAGGAAGACCACAGGGCTATTGAGTAATGAGGAGGCTTTTTTTTTCCTGAGAGTTTCCCGGTTGTGTGGACCAGCTGTGCTTTTGGTTCCTCTCTCTACCTATGAGATCATTTTTTATTCTTATAATAACCCACTTTGGGCACCCAATACCCTCACTCTCTGAAATAGAGAGAAATTAATTAGAGTTAACCAGAAAAACACAACTACTGGGCCATACATCTTTCTGGTTTCCTGAATACACATTTTAACAGTATTTAATGTGATGTAATGTGTAACTATGCAATGACATAGATATTGTAGGAGATAAAGGAGGAGTAAGAAAATTCATTTTCTTGAGAAGGTATATACATTTTATTGGGATAACAGACAATACACATCACACAGTGTGGTTAAGTTCCCAGGGAGTGGAGAGGTATATAGGGACAGTGTTGGGAAGATTTGAGCTAGTTCTGGAAGGATAGGTAAGATGTAGGAGTTTCTTTCAGGTGAGAGGAATTGAATGAAGATGTGAGGAAAGTGTCTAGGGGGACATGAGACTGTGCTTCTTAGAGCAGAGTTTGTGTGTGAATACGAGAACTAGGCTAATTTGGATGAAAATTTATCTGGAATGTTGAAGCCTTTGATAACTGGGCTGAAGAATTTGTTCTTTATGCAGGAGACAGCAAAGAACCACTGAAGGGTAGTCACATTTAACAATAATTGCATTGAGAGATGAATCTGTTGGGTCAACAGATCAGAGGTGTAGCAAATGCTTTGGTGCCATGCAGCACAAGTGCTGATCCCCTTTGATTTCAGCTGTGAGGGGAATGGACAGCTCCCAGGCAGGCTGATAGAATCCCACCTCAAGGGCAACCCTCAATATCCCTGGACTTCCTTCTTTCAGGGCTTTCTATGAAGGCAGGAGTGCCAAGATCCATCACAGAGCAGCCCGTAAATGTGGAGGAGATACACTTTCCAAGGTACTTTTTAATCACTGGAGAATGGGAGCCAGAGGTAGATGCCTGTTTCCCATCCTTCAGAGGACATGCGAGGCACTTTCTAAAAGATTTCTTAGTGGATTTCCATTGCTGTCCAGCTCAGTAACATCCATTCACTGGCTTTTCCTCCTTCCCTGTTTCATTCTCCCATTTCTGCACCTTCCAAATAAACTACTTGCACTCAACAAAGCCGTAGAATAGCTCCCATAAGGCTTCCCAATTTTCAAAGGATTGGAATTCACTTCAATTGAACATGATTCAGGTACAAATACTCTGTAGTGTCCACAAATAATTTGTTTCTTAATATGGTATATCACTTGTATACTTTTTTTTTTCAAGTGTAATGTAGGAACAATTCGTTACATGCATTTTCTTCTTGCTGGTGTAACAGAAAAGTAGGAATCTATTCTGCTTGGATTTGATTTTGCTTTGCTCAAAGCTTGCACTCCATATACAGTGCATGCCAGTGAAATGCCTCTATCATGTGTTAGTCAAGGTGAAGTGTGGATGGTGGGTGGGGTCAAGGTTACCCACCATTGTGGTGAGACCATGCTGGATTCCTGTGGTGTGTGTGAACTTGATCTAGATATGAGTCTTAGGTCAAGTTGCCATAACAAAAATATCATAGACTGGATGGCTTAAACAGCAGAAATTTATTTCTTACAGTTCTGGAGGCTGGAAGTCCAAGGTCAGAGTGCTGGCATGGTCAGATTCTGTTAAGGGTTCTCTTTCTAGCTTGCAGACGGCCACTGTGTTCTTACATGATATGAGCAGAGGATTGAGAAATCTATCTTCTTCTTCTTATAATGCCACTAATCCTATCATGGGGGTCCCATCTCCATGACTTATGTAACCCTAATTTTCTCCAAAATACTCTATTTCCAAATCCCATCACATGGGGGTTAGGGCTTCAACATGTGAATCCTGGGGCCATAACAGGTGCCACATACAAAATGAAAATGTGGGACTCCTAATCCAAAAATTATTGAGCATTTCAAGACAGTGACTGCAGAGAATCGAACAAAGCACAGGCTCTTCTGAGGGCAGGGCCTTGTCAGGTCCCATGTTTGTGGGGACCCTGTCCTCTGGTACCCACTTCCAAGATAAAGGGACTTGGACTCCCGTGGAATGGAATCCTTGGCCCGTGTCTTACGAGCTGTGTGCCCCTGGTCATGTTTCTTTACCTTTCTGAGCTTCAGTTGTTCATCTACAAAATGAGCAGACCCTACGTCATTAGGGTATTCTTGGGACTAAGTGAAATGATACGTGAAGCACTCACCCAGGCTGCACTTGGAGTAAGCACATGCTCACCCACGGCTGTCGAGATCCCTTTTCCTGGGGTTTTCCACCTGCTGAGTAAGACACAGGGAAAAGCTCCATGTGCGTGCAATGCATAGTTTTACATACATCCCTGGCAACATGCCTGTGGTATGTGGTAGTGTCTCAACTTAGAGTGTGTTGGGAGAATAATCCATTAAAGAGGGAGAAAAATCAATAGCACAATTAGAAACCATTTCTTCCTATAATGACGCCAGCTGCCGGAAAGGCCACTGCTACCGAGAGCTGCCTCTAATGGCGTGTGCTGCCTGCTGCTCCAGCCAGCCTCTCTTTTTTCCCAGGGTGCGGTGTCCTCTTAGGAAATCAAGGATATCAAAAATGCAGCAAATACAAGGCATTCATGTCCTGCCTTAATCAACAATACAAGATAACAATTTATTAAAGGACTAAACACACCCTACCCTCTCAGCTAAACTCCATCAACAGTGCAGTTTTGCTTCTGTGCATGTGTTATGTTTGGTTTTCTTCTTTTCCTATTCTCCTTTCCTATAGAAAGGATTTAAAATGTCAGGACTGAGCTGATTTTAATCTACAGGAAAAGCTGAAAGAACCACATGAAAATTCCTTAGGAAATTTTGCATTAGGAATGATTTGCATAAACTGTCCATCATTTTCATGTCTAGACAATGGTTTGGGTTTCCACCTTTTTCTTTAATAATCATCATCCTTCATGATCATTTGTTCACTGACTCATTCAACAAACATGCATTCAGTTGCTACACTGTGTGTCCACTTGTGTGGGGAGTTGTAAAGTTCATTTAAAATAAAGGTTCTTGACATAAATAAGGTTATTTTCCCAAATTAAAGGTCAATCTCCAGATCAACCATGAGCACAGTTTTTAAGGTCACTTGAAATGTAAGAAGTTATTTTAGTTTTGTTTGGAGGTAAAATAATTAGACTAGAAAATAATGGAAACTTAGCAGTAGAAATGTTATCTACTAATTTTAGTGTAATTAAAATGTTAGCCAGGCGTGGTGGTGGGCACCTATAATCCCAGCTACTTGGGAGGCTGAGGCAGGAGAATTGCTTGAACCCGGGAGGCGGAGGTTGCAGTGAGCCCAAGATTGTGCCACTGCCCTTCAGTCTGGGCGATAAAGCAAGACTCTGTCTCAAAAAACAAATGAACGAACAAATAAATAAAGAGCAAAAAATGTGTGTATTTTATAGTTGAATAAGAAAAAAAATCCAGCAGGACAAAGTGGATACAGAAAAGCAATTTGAGAATCCTACTTTGATTCTTTAATTAAGCATCCCCAAAGCCTCCCTCCGACAGATGAGAAGGCCCCACATGGAGGCCTCGCTTGGGGTTGAGTGTTCCATTTGCCCTTGAGCCTTTCTTCTTGTTTCCCTAACATCATCAGATACCCAGAGACAAGCAATCATTTTTCAAATAGCTCCTGCCTCCAACACAAGCTCACTTTTCTCTTCCTCTCCATCGCACGTTCTCCAGGGGAAAAAGCACTTAAAAGTCGATCTTTCAGGGGTTCGACCCACATGCCCCTTTCTCATTTTCGAATGCTCAAGAGGAACAAGAAAACACTTGCATAGAATATGATGTTGGTGCTCCCTGCCTGCTGCCTCGGTCCCTTATTCCTGCCAGGCTTCTTTTTGCCCTCGAGGCACTTGGGCAGTGGAGTCTCCATTCCCCCCAGCTCTCTGATAACAGATTTAGGAACCATAGAAACCCACCTGTCCACTGTGTGTTCCAGCGACTTTCTTTTCCTGACCTCCATAGAGGCAGCCAAACAGTGGGGTACATTTTGAAAGGGAGAGCTACCCTGCCCTCGGAACAGCAGGTCATCAGCTGTAGATGATGTTGTCAAACTAGAGACATACATCTCCAAATTGGGTTTTCAGTTGTATTTCCCAATGACTGGTCATTCTGCTTTTGCTATGTGTTGAGAAGGGACCATCATGTCCAGGAAGCCTGGATAAGCACATAAATAAGGGTAATTAAATCTAATGCTTGACAAATGACAAATGCTCATCATTGAGGTCAAGGAAGCCTATGAGTTCTCACATCAGAATTACATTATTGTAAGTGATATGGTTTAGGTTTTTCCCCCTCATAGTCTGCATGCATTAACTATCACTGGAGACAGGATGCGGGATGCACTGACTATCCATTACTGTGGCGGTCCCTGAATTGCATTTAGTCTAAGAGTTTTGCTTGCATTTTCATAGAAGCTTTATTCAACTTGTTGCTTTGAATTAGGCTTTCTTTTCAGAAGAGATCTTGAAAGAAGAGAAGCATTTATGTCTATTGTTCATTGGCAGGAAGAGAGCACAAAATGTTATCATCTTCCAGGCCATTTGCTAGTTAACTTATTTTCACAGTAGAGATGGTTTAACTCTGCTTCAGTATAAATTACTTATCATTTTAGGACTTATAATAGCTCAAATTTTAAAAGTAGTATAATTTGTACCTATACCTTGTGTAATTCTTTTAACTACTTTCAGATCTTTTTATTCTTTAACTCAGGTTCCAATAATCAATTTGATTTGATAACCAATATCAATAAATGTTTTATAAAAGGGACAACCTTCTGCCCTCCCTACCCACTCTCTTTTACCCTGCCTTCCTGAAATTAGCAAAAGCTCCAAGAATTCTCCATTTCTGGACATACCTGTTGTGTTGAATGCTTCTGGTGTGGCTAAAGCCCAGTGTTCCTGCCACTGTGATGACGGAGTGGGCTGTGCTTTTGACAGAACCACCCAGAACAACCAGTCGCCAATGGGAGCCACTTTCAACCACCTCCACAACCCTGGCCTGGACACAAAACATCCTATCTTTCTACATGTTAAGGTTTACAGAGGGCTCTGATGAGTTTCTTTACATGATTTTTGCCTTGACATTCCTTGTCATGAATGCATGAATGAACCTTGGTTTATTCATTCTAAGTTTGTTTTACCCTCAGTCCAGATGAGGAACACTTAACAGCTGAGGAGGAGGAGGTGCTCTGTTTTGCAGGGCTCAGGGAGATGAGTTGTTAAAAAGAATGTTTTATTATTTATTTGTAGGCATGCTTGAAGAGAAAAAGGAAAAAAATAGACATACAAATAGGAACATTTGTTTCTGGCTACCAAAAATATACATGTTCAGAGTATAAAACAGAAAAGTTTAAAAATGAAAAAAAGCACAGGGAAGAAATAAAAATCATTTCATGCCATATAGTGCCTCTGTCAAACATTTTTGTTTGTGTCCTATATTCCCATATGTTCACACATACACAAATACTACTGACACATGCACCTTCTTTCACCAGAATAAAATTTTATTCTACAAACTATTTTACCCCCGGTACTTTGCACTTTACAATATATTGTAAACATTTTTTCCCAAAGCAAGTATAGTAACTGCCTCATGTCTCTTCTTACAGATGTTTCAAAGTTTACCAATGTCCTCCTGTTGGAAATTTGTGCTGCTTTCCTTCATTAGGCATTATACACATTTCTATCTCATTATAGTCTTTGCAATGAACTGCCTCTATTTCCTTAAGATGCATTCCCAGAAATGGAATTGCAGGATCAAATTTTTAAAGCTATTATACCCATTGTCCAATTGCCCAGAGAAAAATGACAACGTTTTATACTCACTTAAACAACAAACCCCCGCATTTCTGTACTGTCACAATAAGCATTAATAGTACAACATAAAATGTGCCAGGCACTATGTTAAGGGTTTTCTATGCATTATTTTCACTTTTAATTCAATAATCATTCTTCGAAGCAGTATTGCTGTCATTTGCATTTAGCAGATGTGTAAAATGAAGCTTAGAGAGCTTGAGTTCATTTGATCATAATCCCGTGACTCTGGTTTCAACTCTGAAACCTGGCTCTTAGCTGCCATGGCATATCATACATCAACATTTATTGAGCATCTACTAAGTGCAAGGTACTGTGCTAGGGCACTGTAAAGAGGTGCACAGAGGAGAAGCAAGCATGATCTCTGTTTCCAGGACCTTCTAATCAAGTACGGAGGAGAAAATAGACACATTCATGGTATTGTAGTATGCATCTATGCATCTATTTTCTTCCCCCTACTGGATGCAGTTGGGCCAAATTATGTAATATTGACAGCAGGAAAATAATTTGGGCTGCAAAGGATGGGAAGATTACCATCAGCTGAAAGGATTAGGAAACGCTTTGCAGAAAAAGAAATTATTCAACCTTACCTTTAAAGGCACCACAGATCCTTTAAATCTCCACATGTGGAGATGGAGAGTGAACATTTCTAGCAGAAGGACTATAGATAAGTCATGGTTACAGGGGAACACAGGGTGGCCACAGATAAGAGTTTCATGGTAGCGAAGGGGGTTATAGGAAATAGGATTTCAAGATTCAGTTAGAAGTCAAGTCCCAAAGGTCTTTGCTAAATTGAGGAGATAAAGTTTACTCTTATAAACAGTTAGGTGTCATTGAACATTTTAGTGAAGAGACATGATTCATGCATCCAAATATTAGTTTTAGAGTAATTTTAAATGTGATTAGAACGGAAGAGACTAGAGATGGTGACATAGGTAATGTGGCAAGAAGAGGATACACACCACTTAGGTAGAATCAAGATCTGATATCTGATTGAATATAGGAAGCAAAAGGGGAGGGGTTAAAAAATTCTCCACGGTTTGAGGCCAGGCTAATTGGCCAGCCAGGTTGCCATTAGCAAAAGTAGGATGGACATTAGAAGGAGGAGCTGATTAAGGGAAGGAGAGAATCAAGTTTGAAAGGAAGGAAGCCTCTGAAGTGCTAGTGAACACTGGAGACGACAGCTGAAAATGTGCCCTGCCCTCCATTGAAGTGATCAAGGCTTCAGAAATAAGCCTCAGCATTATCCACAGGGCAGCAACAGCTGAAACCAAAAACTTGTATATCACTTGTGGGGGAGGGAGAAGAGAGAAAAGAAGAGGGTGGGCAGGGTCTTTGAACACTTTGAAAATGGAAATAAGAGAAACAAGCAAAAGAAAATCAGGAGCAGTGGTCAAAGGGAAAGGAGGACAGGCTGGATGATTCTGAGCTTAGGAAAGATGCTTTCAAGAGCAGGAGCTAATGAGTGGTGGGAAGACGACGGCTTTGCATTGCTGGGGAGAAAATGTCTCAGAGAGTTCCAGGCAAATGATGATTGAAAATAGGCCTGGAGATTTGGTAGGGTTCATGCTACAGGTGGCCTTTTAGAGAGTTTCTTCAATAGGATGCTAAGGAAGGCAAGAAGGAATTTTCGCTTGTTTGGAAAATATGGAAGCAACAACAAGAAGAAAAAAGATAATTTTAGGGTTTGAATATAGACAAACACATGCAGAAACACACACATATAAGACATCTAAAATACACATGTAATATGGACAAGACAATTGGTGCTTATAATTCAAAGACAAGGAACCAGTAGAGCCATTAGACATAGAATAGAGATACAGGATAAAAGGCAGTAATTGCTGGGAAAAGGTCCAAAAGAGATGGGAGGGTTAAAATCAAGGGCCCAGATGGAGGGGTTATCTACTAAAATAATATGTCTTATGGAGGAGTAGTAGGGAGGGAAGGGTGATTAAGATCAGTTTAGAGGTGGAGGGAAAGTGAACAAGGGAATTGTCTTTGATACCCCCTAGTTTTGGGTAAAGAGGGAGATGAGGTCATCTGAGGAGCATAGGGCCATGGAGGGAGTGGGATGGGGCCTGAAGAGGGTGGTGTGGGGCAGATATAGCAATGAATGCATCATAGTCTGCCTTTTATTTATTCCTGAACAAATCAGCAATAGGGAACACCCTTCGCTTAAGAATCCTCGCTCCCCTTTTTTCTGCAAAGAATATTCTGTTGTGGGAATTAAGGATGGTAGAGGGGAAGAGGCAGAGTAAAAAATGAGACATAGGTGTTTTTCCACATGTAGAATTTGTCAAAGTGTTTGAAATGAATTAAAGATCCCCCCACTCTGGTTCCCTTGCAGAGAGAAAGTGATGGGACATCGTTATGCTTCCTAAAATGGCATGACAGGATGTGTCAAAGCTTTTATGTATTGTACATTCTAAACTTACTATGACTAGATTTGCACATGAACTTAAGAAAAGGTACAATGTGAAAAATAATTATATGGGAATGATTATTATTTAGAAAAAATATTTTCTGTAGTTACACACCATATAATGCTACTGGCTCTATAGTTTTTAAACATCAGAAATGCTTTGAAAACTTCTTTTACTTATAACATTTTCTGTCTCTTTCTGAACACTCGAAGTCTAGTTTTGACATGTACATTCAGATATTTGTGAGTCTCGTGGCAGCATAGTGACCCTTTTCTATTAGTGCTGAGCCAATTCTATAGAAGGTTTTGACTCAACTACTCATGACCTATTCCAGGAAATGCATTACCAAGGGGCTAGCAGATAACAAATCTCCAGCTTAGGAAGAATTGCTTCTGGAAACTGCAGGGCACAAGATAAGGCTTATTCTATGGGAGCTGACTTTATCCAACCCCACACTTGGGTGATGTAGTGGGCTCTGAGTAAGCTTTGTACACAGAACTGATAAACTCTGCACTAAATTAATTAAGAATTCTATTGCTTTAATAGCTTGTCCTAAAAGACCAATGACTAACACCACGATTTATTATGTGTACAAAAAAATGGGAATGTGTAAAAAATGGCTATGTAAATTTTATAATGGGAGCTCTAGGGTTGTATTAAATCATCTCCAGATTTGTTGCTATTTCTGACATCCAAGCTACACTGTGTGGAATTACTGGATCACAGAAATCCAAGTTTTCTCTCACAAGCAGAATAGTCAATCTTGCCATTGAGGTTAGAGCTTATAAGGTGTTTTAACAAACACCTGAGTCTCATAATGTCCTTGGAAGGAGATATGACTAGTCCCAATTCACAGATGTAGTTGCTGGCTTATTAAGATTGTGTGTCCTGTTCCAGGAAACTCAACTCCTAAATGGCACTGATGGGATTTGAACTCAAGACTTTCACTTACACTCACAGAGGCCATGCAACTGCACTGCTAGTTACTGATGAAAGCTGAATTGGACTGACCACCCTGGCCGAGGCTGCCCCACCATGTCTCTTAGAGTAGAGGAACAGGATTGAAGTTGGAGCTTCTAAGTGCTACTCCATGATGATTCACACTTGTGATTTATTCATCTTTCTGTACCAATATAAAAAACACAGAAAGGCTAAGGTGGGATGGGAAAGACCCACAGGACAGAAACGATTGTCCTATACCATCAATCCTGTCCTGAACTGGCTCATCAGCTTTGCCTTCTACACTGGGTCTTGGGGGTTCCCTTACCATCAACCTCATGCTCCTCCTCCTGAGTGTAAGAGATGTTTCTACTCCAAATGTTTGGATGGCAGACAATGTTTCATACTGTTCCCACGCTATTCTTCCATGTATCAGACAGCCTTCAGCCCCAGGAATGAAATGGTATCCTTAGTGTTGGAGGCTCCTTTGCCTAGAAACCGAGCTAATGCCCATTACTACACTTTTTCTAGTCACTCTGAGTACTTTCAGGTTGTTTCCAGAATTTGCAATTAGAAAGTGAGGTCACAGTGAAGATCCTTGCCTGTGTCTGACTGTGCATGTCCTAGCAGTTCTCTATGCCACATTTCTACAAGTGGAATGGTTCAGTTGAAGGGTATTGACATCTTCACCTCAACAAGAGAATTGAAAAATTGCTCTCTAAATCTTGGTTATACCACTTGATAGTCCAGTCCTACCAAAACTGCCCAAGACTTCTAGGTTTTCCTCATTGTTGTCATCATTATTGTCATCATAAACACTTATTCATTGCTTCCTCTGCCAGGCACAGTCTAAGCACTCTATACATATTAACTCATTTAACTCTCACAACAATCCTAGGCAGAAACCCATTTTGCAGATGAGGAGATTGAAGTATACAAAGCTTATATTATTTGCTCAAGGCCACAAAGTTTGTGAGTGGAACTAGAATTAGATGCCTGGCAGCCTGGCCCCTGAGCCTGCCCTCTTAACCATGACTGTAGCTTGCATCTCTCAATATTTGCTATTAAGAGTTTTAAGTTCTTGACAAAAAGGTAAGTGTACAATGGTCTTAGGCTGTTGCTTTCATTTGTATCTACCTGATTTCTGGTATATATAAATGAGGTTGAGTCTTTTTTTTGTGTCTTTGTCATCTAACCATGTTTCCTCTTTTGTGAATTATTTGTTCATATTTTTTTCACCATGTTATTTATTGAGTTATTGTTTTCTTTTTGATTTTGAATAGTGTGTCAGTTATGCATTGCTATACAATAAATTATCCCAAACTAGGTAGCTTCAAACAATACCAGTAACTTTATTATTATCTCTCATGGTCCTGTGGGTTGACTGGACCCAACCAGGAGGCTCACGTGGGGTTTTTCATGCAGCTGAGTCAGGTAGTGGCTGGGGCTTGGGTTAATGGAATGCTCATTCACTCACTCATGCACCTGGTAGCTATTGCTGGCGGTTGACTCGACCTCAGATGAGGCTATCAGTTGGAAGATTTACACATGGCCCCTCCACTGTGCCCTGGGCTCCCTTGCAGTGTGGTGGTGGGTTCCGAGAGCAAGTCTCACAGGAGACAAAGCAGAAGTGCATGATGTTTTTTGTGGCTCAGCCTCAGAACTGACTTAGCCTTGCTCTCCATGTACTCTGTCGATCAAGGCAGACTGGAAGTTTCAGCTAGGGTCAAAGGTATGGGACGTGAACTTTGCCACTCTGTGGGAAGAGTGTCAACATCACACTTAAGAAAGACATATGGGATGCGATGGAATATATCACAGCAGCCATCTTTGAAACATTTTCTCAGCCACAGAAAGTAATAATAATTCCTCCAAGTCTTTGCTTGTTTCAAGTTTTTAATGGTCCCTCTTGATACACAGACATTTTAATTACAATAGAGTCAGTTGTATCAATCATTTTCCTTTTGGTTTGTGCTTCTTTTGTTGGTTTTCTAAGACATCATTACCCTATCCTGCAATTTTAGCTATATATATATATAATATATGATTTACATACATAGAGATGTATGTGTTTATAAAAATATGCTATGTGTGTGTATATATACTGTATATTATACTTATATCTTTTTATTTTTAGGATTTTAATTTATATGGGACATATATCTCCACATAATGCAAGATGAGGGTTAATTTTCTCTCTTTTTATATGTTCAGTTGGTTGTTAAAACTGAGGCATTTGTTATACTTTTACTTTCTTTTTTAAAAATTTAATTTTCATACTCATATTTGATTGAGTTTTCTTTATGTGCTGACCCCTACCCTACCTTTTCCCTGCTTTGGGAAGCATGCATTTTATTTCCATTTTCAGTATCCACCCTTATGTTAACAAGTAAACTTAACCTTTTAAAAAAAAACCACTAAATTTTATCTCTACCCTTTTCTATTCTTCTTTTCCACAATATAAATACCTTAGAAGGTATTTATAACTGTAAAAAACCCCAAATAGTCTATCATGTTGTGGTCTAATATTTATTTTTTCCTTGCTTTTATATAAATAAAAATCATCATTACTGTTATATTTATAGCTCATGTTTATGAGATAGAACTATGTTTATAAATGCCTTTGCTCACTACTCACTATTGTTTTTGTTTTTTTCTAATCTCACCACGTCTTTCTGAGTTCAATTTCCTTCTTTACAGAGATCATATTTTAATAATTATTTCAGTGCAGGTCAAAGAGTACAAACGCTTTCATTTTTTTCTTAATTTACTAATATTCCTTAGCCATTTGAAGATATTACTTCATTCTCTTCTTGACTCTACTGTTGCTGATCAGTTCTTCACAATCTAACGGCTGTTAGATTGTAAATTTTTTAAACTAGCTTTTACAGACATATTCTCTTTGTCTTAGATGTTCTGAAGTTCCACTTATTTAGTCTAAGTGTGAATTTATTTTTCATTCAGCTAAGAATTTACTAATTAAATTAATCTAAGGACTTACAACTTTCATCAATTTTTACAAAATTCTTCACCATTGTCTCTTCAAGTATTACTTCTCTCACATTCTATTTGCTCCTTCTGGAATTCCTATTAGCTTCATGCTAGCTATTCTCATTCTATCTACCATATCTTAACTTATCCATTTTTAAAATCTCTGTCTTTCTGTTCATTCTGTATAATTTCCTCAGAACTGACTTTCAGTTCACTATTTCTTTCTTCGGCTTTGTCTAATTTGTTGACTAACTCATCTACTGAGTTTTAATTTTAGTATCTTATTTTATAATTTCTAGAAGTTTTATTTCATTCTTATAAAATTTATACTTTTTTGTAAATGTAGTCTTATTTTTACCTACTGAGCTTTATTCTTTCTTTCCTATCTTTAACATCTTGAATTGATAGTTTTTTTCAGATTTTTTTCCCTGATGTCTTTAGATTTCAAATATTTCTGTTTTTTGAGTTTATTGATAATGGAGTATTTGTTGGTGTATTTTAGTATTTTTTACTATGCACTTATTTTCAGTGAGAAATACATTTTGTGGCCTGAGTTAAGGAGAGTCTCTCTGAAGTGGTTTTGCATTTGCTAATGTGAGTCCTCCAGCATCTCACCAGGCTGGGCAAACTTTATGTTAAATTCTCATTCTGAGGATTTGAATACCAGAGAGATAGTAGAATGGCAGTCTCTCAACCTATGCATCATGCTGGTATAGGGTTTTTATTTTTCATGGGGATCTTTCCTTCTCCATGAAGATCTCTGGGCATAGAAAATCTTTGCAATGTTGACTAGCTGGATAGAGAATAATTGGGGTGGGGTCATTTGAAAATTCTGAGTTTATGAAAATGTCTCAGTGTCAACATCCCACCTTGAGTGAGCCAAAAACCTGGTCTCCAATCTCTGGGATTCTCACTTCCCAAGCCATTAGAATCTCCTTCCTCCCAAACCCTTTCTTTTCTTCCCTCCCTAGGCTCACCAGTTTCAGTTCCAGTGCTTACAAACACTGCTTTCAGTTCCCTCTTTATTTCTGGAATCTGTGATTTTACTTTCTTTCTTGTGTACACAGTTATATTTTTAACTTATTTTTATTTTATTCAACATTGTTATTGCTTTACAGTATTAAGATTTCCATAATAACTTAGTCTACTATGTAGCCAGAGCCAGCAGTATCTGGAAAGATTCTAAAGCTAACTTTGTATAAAGCTTGGGACCGAGGTTCATCCATGTTCTCGGGAACTCACTGGGGCAGCCAAAAAGTTATTCTCTGGGTTTGCGTCACAGGATTACTCATAGGTGATAATACCTCTCAACTGTCAACTTTCAATGGTATCCAAGAGGTTCCCGACTTTTGCTCATTTTGTACTCTAATGCAGTGTTTCCCAGATCATGTTTGTGGAACATTAATACTTAAACATTTTGTGTTTACATAAGTTTGGAAAATGATGGGTTAAACTAATTTTAACAAGTTTCTGTACTGCAAGATTTCTCAGAAAAGAAGAGGAAGGCACTTGCTTTAGCATCACTTCTGTGTATAAAAGGAAGTAAGAAAGGCTCATCATGTCTAAGCATGAGCAGTGGATGTGGACATGGATCAAGAACGAGGAGGTCAGAGTATCTCAGAACCCAACACCAGAAAGCAGCAGAGATTGATTTTCAGGACTGCCTCATCTGTTTGGTTCCAAGCATGTGCTTATCCTTCTAGCACAGACTCTCTTTAATTTAGTTATAATTTAAAGAAAACACTCCTATAATCTACATGATAGTGACTTATTAACTTACTGCCATAATTAATCCACCTTTTAAAGTTTGGATTCACCTCAGGCCAGATATCCTGTGAAAGAAGAGATGGAAAATAAGTTTCCTATTGCAGTTGTCTGGACGATCTCATTTATGGTAATAGCCAAGCTTTATTGAACACTGTCTACCATCCTGAGGCCATCGTCAGCAACTTTACAGGGTCTTTACAATCTCACAACAACTCTGTGCATTTGGTTCTATAGTTAGACCCATTTTACAGATGAGAAAACTGAGACACAGAGATACTAAGCACGACTTCCCTCTCTACTCTTTCCTTTCCATTAGCTTTTTAACATGGAAAAATAAAGTTTTAACAGATGAATGCTTACTTGCTAGGCTCTGAATCTAATTTTTGATATCTGTCTTGAATAGAGGGCAAATGGTAGCTGTCATCTAACCACAGTTGGTAGTAAGACTCCCACTCCTTTGAGGTTTAGATGTCCTAGGCTCTAGACCTGGCTAACACATGATGGTGGGCAACCCACTTCACCTTCTCAGATTCATTTTTCTCGTCTATTAAACAGGCATTCATAGTACTAGCATGTCTACCTCACAGGATTGTCCTGGTCTTTAAGTGAAATAATATACATAGAAGCTCATTGTAAATGGCAAGGTACTATGCAAAATGTAAGATACTACTACTGTTTATAGAACACAGCTTTGTTTTTCTTCTGCTTCTGATGCATATCTGAAGTTAAGATCATGGTCCTGACGGGGACAGTGAACTTGGTGTCTGGGTTAAAGATGAGAGTGGCAGCTGGCTCCCAGGTGGTCCAGGGTGTCAGTGAGGTGATGGAACATTCCACACCCCTTTTAACCCCAGCATCAGTGTAGGGAGTTATCTTCAGGGAAGCTGCTCTCTCCTGGATTTGCTGATTATATTTTTAAACTAAATACTAATGTCTTTTACCCCAAAATGTTTTCATGAGGATTCGTGAGTAATCAGAAAGGTATGTTTCAAGGAATGTTGCTGTGGTTATTATTTTTTTCTCTACCAGACAATCCCAAGAGTCTTTACAATTAAAAAATATATTTTTGAAAAAGCATATTGTACTTAACTCTATTTATAAAAGGAGATCTAAACAAGTCTGCTTGTTCTAAATCTGCCTAACGACTCGGGTAATAAATATTTCTGTATTTGTTTTTGGAGCCCATCTGAGTCGTCAAACGTGTTTGATTTAGGCTTAGTTCCCTTGGAACAAATGATGGCTGCATTTCCTTTTCCTTCAACCACTATCGTGTTTTTCCAAGAACACCAGCATTCTCCGTGAAGGCCCCCCAGACCTCAGTACTAGCTTGTTCACTTCTCTGGGAAGTGTTGTGTCTCAAGTTAACAAAACAGATGGGAAAGTCTGGGGTTATGAGAAAAGACAAATTCTGCCCTGAGTTGTGTTGGTCCGTTCATTCCCTCACTCAGTGATCCAGACATACAGCAAATGCATATTCAGTACTTGCCATGGGTCAGCTAAGAATGAGAGACAGGGTCTCTGATGTTATGAACCCTATATTCTAGTGAGGAGGAAGACGTTAAGCAGATGATCACTCATATGGTTTATTTTTTAATTAGGAAACTTTCGTATGCCATTTGCAGTTTCTGTTGCAGGCAACTCCCTGGGAAGAAGTGGAAAACATAATTGAATATTTATCAGAGGCCTGATCATAGGAGTATGTGTGTGAGAGTTATTCCATTGGTAGAGGTCAAAAAGTTGTAAGCTATTTCATGGGGAGAAGAGTAAGTAAGTTACATTATGTTTCAGTTTAGAGAAGGGAATTGGAAATAGAAAGTACCTGAATTTTTCTCTTGAGAGTCAGGTTAAAAAAAGAATTGAATTTAAATTTCAGAAAGGATTGACTTAGACCTCTGGTTAGAATATCTAGAAGCTGAGATTAGACTTCCATCAAGGGAGGTGTTGAGAATAAGACTGCCCAGACAGATCATGGGGTTTGATGGGGAGAATCACTGAGGGTAAAGAGTCAGGGGCTGAGCCCTGGGTTTCTGAGACTGTCTTAGGCCATTATTCTTAGCTGTTCTTCTCACTGTTCCACCATTAGAACATGTTTAAATATATGTCTTGAGCTTCATCTAGTTGCGACACTCATTTCCTTTAACACTCACCACAGCTGAGTCTTGCGTTTTGTCTTTCTTAGAAGTATTTGATTTTTTCACAACATTTTCCATTTTTATCTATTATGATCTATCTCTTCCTGTCATAGCCGGAAACATGATACCAGGATTAGGCAATTCTCCAATCGCTTTCTCTTGGGTAAAGTCTGAAACAGAATAACCCCAACACATCTGTTATCTTTTCAACATTTTCTCATTTTCTCTACTATCACTTTCTAATTTTATGGGGGAAAAGGAATTCATTTCTTTTTAAAATTGATGTACTTATTTGAAGTTTTATTTGCATTGCACCAATTCATCTAGATTTTTACAGGGTGATAAACTGTACACACAATCACATGGCACTTTTGGCTTTTAATTTTTGTCTATTTAATTTTCGTTTGACTTGCTATTTTAATTTTGTGTTTTGTTTTGTAGGGGGTGGGTGGGATACAGTTACTGGCTTGATTTCTAAAGTTCTGTTTATTTCAGTAACATTAATTTTCTGTTTAAAGTCATAAATTTAAAAAAAAAGTAATGAATTTAGATTTTACTCTTAGGAGCCTGAAGAGTATAATTAATTGTCTGAAGAGTGGGAAATCAAACCAAAGGGAGATGTTTACTGAAGCTGCATATAATGGAGCTTTTTTTTTCCTAAAGAAGAAAGGCATGCATTGGACACTTCCTTTCCAGAAAGCAGCAAGCAAGGCCAATCTTTGGAAAGTATGCATTTAGGACAGTACAGCTATTATCACATCCCTGATGCTGATGTGGTGACTAAGATGGAGAACTTGGGTGTTCATCACATGTCTCTTCAATCATCAAGCAGCCCAGCTTCCTCAAACAGCTTTGGAAATGCTCTTCATTTCAGAAATAAAACAATGGAAAATGAGCCCTGCCTGGATAGGAAAAGTCCATACATTGCATTTTCAT
This sequence comes from Homo sapiens, assembly GCF_000001405.40. NCBI lineage: Eukaryota > Metazoa > Chordata > Mammalia > Primates > Hominidae > Homo > Homo sapiens. Next base: position 35,475,037 of record NC_000021.9, on the reverse strand, counting down.
TGACCTCCTGGGCTCACTTGTTGTAGGGCTTTGTAATACATAGAAGAGGTTTTTGAGCTACTAATACCTAAGACGGCTTTTGTTAACCAGCTGTTAATTTGAGAGTAACTAAGGAAAGCAGAGATCTCATTCCACTTTACCGTTTTCAGTGCAATGCATCCTGGCAATACAAGTTAAGAAACAAGAAGATACTTTTGCATAGCCATTCAACTTCTAGAAGTTTCTAGAAGGAAACTGTCTTAGGGAAATAATATACAAATAAATCTCTCTTTACATCATATTTCTTTCTTTCAGTTACATCCTTCATTTTAACTCAGATTGGTACTAGACTAAATATATCGCATCACGTTTCCACTGTGTCCCATTCTTTACAGGTATTAACAAACACCTAAAGAGAAAAAAATCCTAATTTGCCTTTGTTAAGCAACTTGAGTTTATAGATATGAATATGGTTGTGATTTACTAGGTAGACCATCACATTTGGGTTGTTCCCTTTTTGAAACCCTGGTCAGAAAAATAAGAAAGTATTTTATATATGCTGGATTTTTTTGTTTGTTTGTTTTTGAGACAGAGTCTTGCTCTGTTGTCCAGGCTGGAGTGCAGTGGCACAATCACAGCTCACACTGAAGCCTTGAAATTCTGGGCTCAAGCAATCCTCCGTAGCTTCCAAGTAGTTAGGACTACAAGCATGTGCCACCACAGCTGGCTATTTTTTAATTTTTTGTGGGGACAAGGTCTTAATATGTTGCCCAGGCTGGTCTCAAACTCCTGGCCTCAAGTGATCCTCCCACCTCAGCCTCCCTTAGTGTTGGGATTACAGGCATGAGCCACTATGCCTAGCCTGGAACTCTTATAACAAAGTCAGAGAATATGCTTTCAGAAAGTACAAACTACTATAGTTCATTTCTTCTGCATGAATTCAAAATTTCAGGGTTTTTTTCCTCTGTAATTCTAGGAATTAACCTTGTAAAATAGTATATTTTAGGGAAATTTTGGTGAAAAAAAAAAGTGTACCATGCATTTTGAGATGTTTTAAGTTTCCAGAAAGCTTAGCTATTGTGTAGTTCTCATGAGAAAATGGTACCATGGACTTCTGGTATTATTAATTATAATAATTAGTAATTATAATAATAATTATTAATTATTCTATCACAAAGCAGCAGCAGGCCTGAGCCCTCTTGCAAATGCAATGCCAGGTAGATTTTTTTTTTTAAGAAATAAAAAGTCAGTTTTAGCCACCTGCACATCTTCGGAAGTTGTGAAATGCTAGAACCTGTAAAAACTGACTTCCCATTCTGGTTTCTAGGAAATGTTTTAGTTCTCATCAGAATAAGACTTCATGATCTCAGACCCTCTGTCTTCCACTTTCTCTTCCCCAATTGCATTCTCCCTTTGAAAAAAGTCCACTGGATTCTGAAGCTGTACAACTCCTCATGGCATATTTAGATGACTTCTTCTGCAACATTTCTCACTATTCCATTGTATGAGCCTTTGAGGCTTCATTTAGAAGTGTAATGCTTGCAGGTACAGTCCCAATTAAAGAATTTGGGGCTTTCCAACTTTTCTTCCCTGTTGGCAGTTTAAGGGCAAATAATTAAAGGAGTTAGGATGAAGGGTGGTTATTAGCTCATCTTACCAAATGTTGGCTCTGAAGTATTTAATAACAATTGAGTTGCAGAGAAAACATGACTTCTCTGTGGGTAAATCTATGTATTCACTTATTTGCCAGGATGCCAGCCTCACAGGCGAATGGTACGTAGCTAAGGAAGAGAAAGGGTAGGGAAGGAATGAAAGGATTTAAAGATTGGCTGTTACAAGCTCATTTCTAGTCATTCGATTTTCCAGGGTAGTATAGTTTCTCAATTCTGTTCACACGGGTAGTTGGGGGAACCATAGGAAATAAAATGAAAATGTTTATGTTAGGAAATTAGGCAGTTACTTATTTTCTTCTTAATACTATACTTCTATTTTAGGAGAGTGTGTGAGAGAGAGAGAGAAAGAAAGAGAGAGAGGGAGAGGGAGATGGAGGAAGAGGGAGAGACTGAGACAGAGACAGGATGGAAGAAAGAATGAGAAAGATGAAAGATAGAATCAGAGAAGGGCAGACAGAGAGAATGAATCCTTGTTTTATTTTGGGGACAAACATTGCTCTCAAGGTTGTAGTTATACACACATACACATACACACACACACACACACACATCTATAATTGACGGAGGTTTGAAAAGTATAGGGATAACAGAGTCTCAGAGACTGCATATATGTTCATGCTCTAGGTAAGAAAGGGGAGATGAATGTACTTAACGTGGCCAATGGAACGATGCAACTAACCAGTGGCAATAATAGTTTCTTATTGAGTAGGTCACAGAAAGACAGGAACGATGATGATTGTCCATGGAGCCGATGGGGGCATCAGTGCTCTGAACATTCTCTTCTAGTGATGATGAGAGCTCATATTTACTGAGCATACTGGATTCTACGCACTTGATATCAACTGACATCTAAACTTCAAAGCATTCCTCGCCAGATCGTTGCTGGAGTTTTCTTTGATTTAAAGATGAGCTTTTTCCTCTTCTGGGGATGATGTCTAGAGGCACTCAGAATGGTCCAGTGTTTGACAAATCGTCATAGGCTTTCCTGCAATACAGCTTCTTACTAAACTCAGCTGCCACAGAACCCATAGTAGTAAAATTGTTTACCTTTATACCAAGAAGCTTCGGAAAGCACCAAAATCTGTATTCAGCGTGTTCAAGCGTTTCATGCTGTGAGACCTAAAATCTTATGAGCTTGTCCAAAACACTGAAACATGTCAGCAGGGCCTATGGTGATTGCATGTGTGCTAAATGTGCCTGTGAAGGGATCAAGCATGCTGTCCTTATTGAGGAGCAGAAAATTGTTGTCAAAAGTGTTGAAGGAACAAGCACAGAGGCAGAAAGCTAAATTAAAAATAAAGCTTTTTATGAGTCATAAAAATTAAGAGACATAAAAAAACAATAAATATGAGGACACAGAGGCACAGAGAGGTTCATTAACTTATGCAAGGGTAGTCGGATGGTGGAGATGGAGCTGTGAAACCTAAGTGGTCAGGCACTCAGCTGAGTCCTGTCCACTCAGCTATGTTGCGTGAACTTTGCTTTCTTATCTCAATTTTGCTATTTGTAGGAAGCCAAGCCTTTTATTGTCCCTGACAACAGTGTTTTTTATTTGCATCAAAAACACGACCTGTGTCCCAGAAGAAATAATTTTCACAGGACACCAAGTGACCATATCAAGACATTGTTGCCATTGAATGATAAAAGCAGATCATGCCTGTAGTGTGTAACAAAGGGAAAACTGTACTTACTAGTTTAGGTCAGAAGAGAGCAGTGGTAGAAAAATAGTGGCCATGGAGGGTATCTGAGAAAGAAAGACTACGTTCAAATGCAGAGGGGAATTTTGTGGCATGACATGTCATGCCCGATCCAGGCTGGGTTACTAGGTGCTGCAGGACCAGGAGTGCAGGGGCCACAGGAATGGCATGGCCTTCCAGGTCCTGCTCCACATGTGTACCCTCCTCGGCCCCAGATAGGCAGCTGTTAAAAGGTTCTGCATTTAACTTTAAAGCTTGACCTTTCCCAGGTCAATATCAAGCTCAGGAATTGGGGAAGATTGAGGAACCCTGGAAAGCTCATTTGACTGAGGTATCCTTCTGATGTTTAACTTTTAGTTTTGCTTTTCTCTTTAACCCTGGATTGAAGTTCTTTTGAGATCTTAAACCTATAAGCCTTCTCTGTCACTTTGCTGGCATCTTCGTAGATCTGTGAGCAGTTTATAGAGGGGACAGCATTATTCTTCGAAGTGTGTTCAGAGAACCAGCATCACTTGGGTCAGATTGGGGTAGTGGTTAAAACGCAGACCCAACGAGAACACATGGACACAGGAAGGGGAACATCACACACCGGGGCCTGTTGTGGGGTGGGGGGAGGGGGGAGGGATAGCATTAGGAGATATACCTAATGTTAAATGACGAGTTAATGGGTGCAGCACACCAACATGGCACATGTATACATACGTAACTAACCTGCACGTCGTGCACATGTACCCTAGAACTTAAAGGATAATAATAAAAAATACAAACAAACAAACAAAACAAACAAACAAAAAAACAATGCGGGATCCTGGGCCCTCCTTGAGAGCCAGCCACCCCCGCCCCACTGAATCAGCACTGCAGGAAAGAGGCCCTGGAAGGGACTGCTGTCAGTCACCAGAGGGTTATTTGCATGAGAAATGTTTACAAACCACCTTGTGACAAGTTCAGTGGTTTGCAAGGATACATTTCTTGCATAACAATAATTAAATGTGTTTCTGCCCAAGGAATGGTGTGAAAGATCACTGTTAGGGCCATGAGCATGGATAAGGAACTGCTCCTGCCATGAGGGTGACCCATGCTTATCAGATGACCTCCACATATGGGTAGAATAGAGACATGAAACCAGACTCAAAACTGCGACAGTCTCTCACTGCCCTTCGCGAGTTGTACCTCGGTAAAGTTGGAGATAGGATCTTTGAAATACAGATAAATTGTCATTTTCCCCCTCACAGATGTTTTGACTCATACATACTTACCTAAAATGTTTCAAAGTAGTTTTTTAAATACACATTTGGGGTATTCAGACGTTTAAAGAAGTCACATCAAAATCGTAAATATTTGTATTAGGTTGGTGCAAAAGTCACTGCTGTTTTTGCCATTGAAAGTAATGGCTTAAATCACAGTGACTTTTGCACCAACCCGATAATTCCTTGTAGGCCATAAGGGTAACTTTTGATAGTGCAAAGCAAGACAACACTGACTTTGTGGGAAATTTCAACCACGATTAATAGTGATCTCGTATGGGGATGGGGTGATTAAAAACAGAAATCGAAGTGTTGTTTATTTATTTAGAAAAAAGAGCTGGGCGCAGTGTAATTCCAACATTTTGGGAGGCTGAGGTAGGTGGATTGCTTGAGTTCAGGAGTTTGAGGCCAGCCTGGGCAACATAGCGAGAGCCGGTCTGTACAAAAAATTTAAAAAGTAGCTGAGCATTGTGGCACATGCTTATTTATAGTCCAGCTACCAGGGAAGAGGCTGAGTTGGGAGGACTGCTTGAGCCCAGAAAGTCAAGGCTGCAGAGAGCTATGATTGTACCACTACACTCCTGCCTGAACCACAGACGGAGACTCTGTCTTAATGTGAGTGTCTGGTATTTTAATGAGAAGAATATGAATTTGGAAAATTAAAAGGAAACAATGTACAGTGGAGAGACACTTCACATGTGCAGAATGTGGGATTTTCATTGCCACTACAGAGAGAGTTAAGAATAGCAATAGCAATAGCAATGCTGTTTTGGGATAGTGGTTAAGATGTAGAATACTTGTGGGTTCCTGGGCCTTTCCTTGATTCAGAGTTCTAAGAGCCATCCCTTATCAACCATTCCTATGACATCTGGGAACCAATGTTTTCCAACACAGTCACATCTGTGATGGTTAAACTAGAGAAAGGATACCTAGAAATCAACATTGCTCAGAGCTAGGCTTACCAAATACTCCATGAGAAATACAATAAAAACTCACTCACTGCTTATCTAAAGTTCAAATGTAACTAGCTGTACCGCATTTTTATTTGCTAAATTTGGTGACTCTACTCACTAGAAAAATGAAATATGGTAGTTGCATTTTAAGAGAACCAGGATTTTGAGAACAATTATTTTCCACGATTAATAACAACCTGCCCTTCAGTGGAAGATGGTGCCTGCTCCCCGAGTTCTCCTGAAGTGCTCTGGATCTCTGTCCCCTATCACATGCTGGTGTTCTTCCAGCTGTTCCTGGCAGCCAGACGATCTTAGGCATTCCAGCTTGTCAGTGGCTGGGAAAGACATGGGAATATGCACTTGTAGTTAAGCCCACATCTCCAGGGTCAGAACAGCTCAGGACTTCTATCTTGTTATATCTTAAGGTTCTGCACACGGGACCAACACCAGGGCCTCCAGATACTCAGCCCTGCCGATGCACACACTGGTGCCCCTCTGGTGTTTCCTAGATAATATATTTACACATCACTTATCCTTTAGACTCGGGGGCAAATATACATTTTATATATTATTTAATCTTATATCAGCTTTTTTTTTTTTTTTTTTTTTTTTTTTTGATGGAGTCTCGCTCTGTTGCCCAGGCTGGAGTGTGGTGGCGTGATCTTGGCTCACTGCAAGCTCTGCCTCCCGGGTTCAGGCCATTCTCCCGCCTCAGCCTCCCGAATAGCTGGGACTACAGGTGTCCGCCACTACGTCTGGCTAATTTTTTGTATTTTTTAGTAGAGACGGGGTTTCACTGTGTTAGCCAGGATAGTCTCGATCTCCTGACCTCGTGATCCACCTGCCTCGGCCTCCCAGAGTGCTGGGATTACAGGCGTGAGCCACCATGTCCGGCCATATATCGGTTTTATCAGGAAAATATTATTCTCTCTTTACTTTTTGAAAGACAGATTTGCAAAGCTTTTAAGAGAATTGTGAAGCTTGGAATGGTTACATCACTTGTCCATAGTTCATAAAGATTCAAACACGAAGTCTACTCCAAAGCCCAAGCTCTTACCTCCTCTATACTGCCTGCCTATCTCCCATTCTCTCTACACTCTCTCCCCATTCTGCATTTCATGTAAGTCCCAAAGGGATTATAGTGACTTACAATGATGTAAAAAGATGAACTGGACTTTGGGACAGGCTGTCTCTGAGCTCTATTAGGGGGCAAGTGAATTCATCTTTCTGAGACCCAGTTGCCTTAATCTTTATAACTGGGATACAAATATTGGCTGCATAAATTTATTGGGATGATTAAATAAATTAACTTTGTAACATATAAGGCACTTGGCACATGCTTGGTTCCAAAATCTAGGATACTCGCTGTGTATATAACCAAATACCTAACAGTGAGAAGTGCCATGGATGTTATAAAAGAACTAGGCACAAGGAACAATCAAAACACAAATGAAGAGCCAAATGAGAGAATAGGAAGAAGAAAAAGAGGAGGAGGAGGAGGAGGAGGAGGAAGAAGGAGAAGGAGATGATGGGGGCCTTGGGGGAAGGAAGTGACTTGTCTCAGGGACTCAGGATAAGAGGTATTAGAATTGGAGCCTGCTTTTTCAGTGAGGTTTTGGAAGCTGAGGCAAAGCAACTTATTATAAGCGGCAGTGATATCTTTGAGCCAACAGGGTTCTCAGATTTGCATCTATAGAAGCTCCGTGTGCAGCAGACTTTGTGGCTCTGAGTTCACCATGGGAAGAGGAAGGTCAGGACTCAGAATTCCTTGAGAATTCCTGAGAATTACTTGAAAATGTCTGGCTCATGACTGAAACATACTTATGTTCTTCATAGAATATACAGTCACTTTTCTGGGCTTCCCTTGGGGAAAAAACAGTCTGCATCAGTTATTTATAGTTTTTTCTGAAAGACAAAACAAAACAAAGTAAATTAAATCTGAGCCAATGCTTGAGGGCAAAGGATTCTGGGCTCAAATGAAATGTTCAGTCATTAGTATTTGCTGAGTGACCTTGGCTGGGTCGTATCACCTCTCTGAGCCTTTCTTCCTCATCTGTACAGAAAACAGATCAACTAAGAAATTGCATGAACCTCTGTCCAGTGTCCACCTCATGCCTTGCCCTGTGGTAGATGCCTGGTCCAGAGGACAGCCCAGCCCTTCCCATGGTGGTGATCACAATACAGTGAGTGTGGGCAGGGGATGAATACAGGGTTAAGACTCACATAACCTAGCAAACATCGATAGTGTTACATCAGAAGCGAACACATGCTGTGAAGAAAATGATGCTGGCTTATGGAATAGAGTGAGGCCGGGGCTGAACAGCCAGGAGGCAGGGCCAGGCACTGTTCATACAATAGTCAAACATGGCTTCTCTGAGGAGGTGACTGTATTAGTCCATTCTCACACTGCTATAAGGAAATAACTGCGACTGGGTAATTTGTAAGAAAAGAAGTGTATCAGTCTGTTTTCATGCCACTGATAAAGACATACCCAAGACTGGGCAATTTACAAAAAAAGAGGTTTAATGGACTGACAGTTCCCCGTGGCTGGAGAGGCCTCACAATCATGATGGAAGGTGAAAGGCACATCTCATATGGTGGCAGACAAGAGAAGAGTGAGAGCCAAGCGAAAGGAGTTTCCCCTTATCAAACAATCCGATCTCATGAGACTTATTCACTGCAATGAGAACAGTATAGGGGAACCACCGCCATGATTCAATGATCTCTCACTGGGTCCCTCCCACAACATGTGGGAATTATGGGAGATATAATTCAAGATGAGATTTGGGTGGGGACACAGCCAAACCATATCAAGAGGTTTAATTGACTCATGGTTCTGCAGACTGTACAGGAAGCAAAGTGGCTTCTGCTTCTGTGGGGGGGGCCTCAGGATACTTACAATCATGGCAGAAGGTAATGGGGAAGCAGGTGTCTTACATGGTTGGAACAGGAGGAAGAGAGACAGTAGGGAGGTGCCACACACTTGTATAACAACCAGGTCTTGTGATAACTCATTCACTCACTATCACAAGAATAGCACCAAGGGGATGGTGATAAACCATTCATGGAAACTCCGCCTCCATATTCCAACCACCTTCCACCAGGCCCTTCCTCCAACATTGAGGATTACAATTCCACGTGAGATTTAGTGGGGACACAGATTCAAACTGTATCATTCTGGCCCTGGCCCCTTCAAATCTCATGTCCCTCTCATTACAAAATACAATCATGCCTTCCTAACAGTCCCTCAAAGTCTTAACTCATTCCAGCATTAACTCAAAAGTCTAAAGTCCAAAATCTCATCTGAGACAAGGCAAATCCCTTCTGTCTGCTTTGTTCTAGCCATGTTGGCAGCCAATTGGGTGGTGCCAACCCACATTGAGGGTGGGTCTTCCTCTCCCATTCCACCTACTCAAATGTCGGTCTCCTCTGGCAACACTCACACAGACACATCCAAAAACAATACTAGCCATCTAGGCATCCTTCAAATCCAATCAAGTTGACACTAATATTAACCATCACAGTGACCTTTGAGCAGACACTTGCGTACAGTGAAGGAACCAGTCATGAGAGCTGGCAAGAAGCATGTTCTGGGTGGCTCTTCAAAGAGTTGCCCAACAGAAGGCTAGGGAGGAAGTTTATGTCAGGAAGGAATTTGGACTTTACTGGAAAATATGGAAGAAACAAGAAGAAATCTCTGCTGGTATCTTGTCTACAGCTTACAAACACCTTTGGTCTTTTCCACATTGGAGACACACACAGGTAGTTTGTGTGCATGTCTATGTATATATCCACACTCTTAAATGCACTTCAGGTACATAGAACAGGCACATATACCCTAGATTTTCCCTGTCATCAAAAGGTCCCTTATGACTGGTTTTGGGACAATAAACAGATGCTGGCCATGTCCACTGCCACTACCCACTTCTACCGATGCCAACACTGCCGATGCATCATGGTGGCCTCCGCCACGGGGCATTCCTCTGGACACTGCAAAAACACACTTTCCAATGAATGGCATTAGCAGGGGAATTGAAACCTATTGGCTACTGTGGGCCAGTGCTCCCAGCTGTACTCTGATAGTCTTATAATCTGTGTTTTGTGACATAACAAAGAAAGTTAAAATAGACCTTGAGAATCAGAACAGAGTAGGCATCAAAGGGTTGTGGTGTCATCTCATCAGAGGGGTAATCAGAAAACAAGCACTTAGTGCACACAAATGAGTATGGATATGTAGGCCGGACTAGTGACAGTATCTTCATGAGATTGGAAGTGCAATCAGACAATAGCTTGAGGATAGATATTTGGGTAAGGAGACTTCAGGTGGAAAAATACTTTATGCTGAGAATCACAAAACATTACAGGCCAGTAAGGAAATGTTCCACAGTAAAATAAAATTATGGGGAAGGAGTGAGAAAAGAACCAATGGGAGCAAAAAATGAGAGAAGGAGAATTTATCACCCCAGTGAGAGCAGGGTGAATGGAATCAAGGGGCAAGGGCCTGGGAAGAGTTAGAAATAGGAGTACAAAAAAAATGTTCTTTTCCTCTGATGAACAGTGAGGATCGGTTTGGCCTCCCATATCACCCTCTGCATTCCTGGCATTTTATGTGTATGCAGGAACCTGACATGTGGCATTTAGTGAGAATAGGTACTTTTTCTTGGTGGTGCTGATGTCTGACAGTAATGCCATATAGCCATATACAAGCCTCACAAGGGCTTACATCAAAGAGGGGTTTACTCAGAATACAATGAAGCTCTGTGACTTTGCTAAGATCTACACAAAACACCTGAAGACTAACAGTTTAGGAAAGATGACAAAAAGTACTACTTCTTAATTCAGAAATGGCATTGACTAGGTGTGGTTCACGTCTGACATAAGGGAGAATACTCATTTTGAAGTGTATCTTGTGGATTTGCTAGCAGGAAAAGTGGAACAACCACACCAGCCATACTCACATCTATGCAAAGTTAATGAGTGACTTTTCATATTTTTGGTGCTCTGCTCTATTTAAAATTAAATTCCCTATTGTGTAATAAAAATACCACACTACTTATATGAACAGTGGAAGAGGGTGAGGCCAGTTCAAATTAATTGAAATCAACAAGATTATTTAGGAGAATCGAAGCAATATTGTACAAAGATTGGCCAAAGGCCAGGCTGGCTGTTATCATTTCTCTCCCTTTGATGGCCTTTAAGTTGGGGTTTCCTTCCAAGTTGGGTTTATTTTTCTTTTATCTGGGAAGAGTGTGGTTTAGTGAAATTTTAAAGTTATGCCTTTACTTTGCTGCATCTAAGGAACAAAAAGAAACATGACAGTAATAATTTCAAGGTAATTTGATACAGGTATGTATTAGTCTGTTTTCACACTGCTGATAAAGACATACCCGAGACTGGGCAATTTACAAAAGAAAGAGGTTTAATTGGACTTACAGTTTCATTTATGGGGAGGCCTCACAATGATGGCGGGAGGCAAGGAGGAGCAAGTCGCATCTTACGTGGATGACGGCAGGCAAAGAGAGGGCTTGTGCAGGGAAACTTCCCTTTTTAAAACCATCAGATTTCATGAAACGCATTCACTATCACAAGAACAGCATGGGAAAGACCCACCCCCATGATTCAATCATCTCCCACTGGGTCCCTCCCACAGTGCGTGAGAATTATGAGAGCTACAAGATGAGAGTTGGGTGGGGACACAGAGCCGAAGCATAACAAGATATAAGAGATAAGATTGTATTATAAAGCTGACCCTACCCTGGGCACCTCCGTCTACTACTACTTCCTCTCCACTAGCATCTCAGCCTTCATCCCCGCCTCCATCTCTTGCTAGATGAGCTACGTGGACAACCTGGTGTGTGAGCTTCCACACATTTTCTATACTTATGTAATTTAATTATAAAATCATATCACATCCACATACAGGAATGTCTCAGCCTCAGTGCTATTGACACATGGGCCAGATAAGTCTTTGTGGTGGCTGTCCTGTGCACTGAGGCATGTTCAGCAGCATCCCTGGCCTCCACCCACCAGATGCTAAGAGCATGCTCCCCACAGCTTTGATGTCTCCAGACATCACGAAATGTCCCTAGCAGGTAATATCACTCTTGATTGGGAATAACTGATATGAAGGCTTAGTTTTACAATTTGTTTATATGTGTGTGTGTGTGTGTGTGTGTGTGTGTATATATATATGTATGTATGTATATATATAGTAACCATTTTGTTCTCTTTCTACCTACTGCTTTTCTACCTGCTGCTTGTCTGAATCAAAATCGTTGACAAGGTTCTTTAACATATAATTAATGCTATTTAATTACTTTTCATGAATGCTTCATAGTCTGTCCAGTGGATATAACATTGCTCCATGGGTTTATCCCACCATTCTTTCATCTATGGGCATTAACATGATGTCTAGTTCTTGACCTCCAAATAGCAATGCTGTAATGAGTATCATGGTACATGTGCCTTTACAGATCCCCAGAAATGGAATTGTAGCATAAGAATTTCATTTTATTTTATTTTTCGGGACAGGGTTTTGCTCTGTCACTCAGGCTGGAGTGCAGTGGCATAATCACCACTCACTTCAGCCTCAACTTTGTGAACTGAATCTTCCTGCCTCAGCCTCACAAGTAGTTGGAACTACAGGCTTGCACACCCATGCCTGGTTAATTTTTAAATTTTTTTGTAGAGTCTAGGTCTCTCTCTATGTTGCCTAGGCTTGTCTTGAACTCCTAGGCTCAAGCAATGCCCCCACCTTGGCCTTCCAAAGGGCTGGGATTACAGGCATGAGCCATGGTGCCTGGCCTTATGTATTTTTAATTTTATTAGACAGTGCCAGATCACCTAATGATAGCCTTTGAAAGAAACTTTTAAAACTATAAATTTTATGTATAAGACTGATACGAGTGATTATTTAAGTGATTTCTCAAACATGAAAAGAAATACAAATATATTCAAAGTTTGCCTTTTGGTTTTAGTCCTAAAAATTACAATTTTTCCTACAGGAGGAAGTTTGGATTAACTGTTTAATTATCAGATCTTTCAAATTTCTTGTTTGTCAAAGGTTTTGAGTGTAGACACCAATTAAAATGAATAAACTGCAAAAATTAAATTCTATGCCAAGAGTGTTACTTTTTTCTATAATCAATTTACCCTGTATTAAGTATTTCAAGACTAGAAATGAAAATGGAATGGGGGACTGGATTAAAGTTGTCTTAAGTGATGGAATAATACAAATATGCCTTGTGAGTTACCTTAGGATTGATGGGTGGCTGAAACCCTGCAACTTAACCTCACCCTGCAAGTCGGCACAGTCTGAGTAATGTGTCACTATCCAATGATGGATGAAAATAGTTCTGTTTGATATTTTGGATCATTTTAATGTACTATTTTATTCCCCCCTCAACAGCTCAGGATAGCTTTTAAGCAACATGATTTCAGTTGTTTTACTATTTCTTCCCTTTTAGAGGTCTCCAGGTGAAAGAAGAAAGCTTAACCTGGCTTCTGAATTCCAAGAGCACACGGCAAAGTGGTAAGAAAACTAAGGTCTATTTTTTCTTTCTTTTTGAGTACTTGAGTGACTCAGCAAATATGATATTGGGAGATGTCATTTCTGATTGGTATTGTGCTGTACATGTAGCTGTCTTCTGGAAGTAGAGGCTGCTGGGATCTTTCCTGGACTTGTATATCAGGGAGAAAGAACTAATTTAAAATAAAGCAAAATATGCATCTACTCTTTACTAGGTGTACTTTAAAAAATAGACAAGTAATTGCAAAGTTTGCAATACGTATGCATTACTTGTGTATTTTGCAACTATTTACTTGCAAAAATAGACAAGTAATGCATGTGTCTGTAGTTGCACCTGAGTTCCAGTGCAACAGGAGTGTTGCTCTCCAAGCTGTTGGGAATGGAAGTGTTAGCTTCAAGTCTCACAGAGGTTTCGGGCTTTGTTTGAAGCCTTTTAATATTACAGGAAGATTTTGTTCTGTCAGTTTCTCTCATGCAATGTAATTGGACTTCTCTAATTCCTCTTTTCTCCTTGGTTATTTCTCCTAATAAGAGAAATTAGCTTTATGCCCCTTCAATATTGTGGTTATATGCCAACTTGCAATGGAATAATCTCATTTGCTGCATTTTGGTTTGATATTGTGCATGAAATTTATAAATCATTTCCATTTAAAATTATAAGTTATGTCACAACATTATGAAATGTTTAGGGAAACAGACATTGAAAAAACTATTCCACCAATAATTTAGCATACCAACAGTTACTGGTTTGTTACCAACTTCATATGTATTTTTTCCTTTTACACATACAATTTAAAATTCTGACTTTAAATAACTTACTTTTTAATATGTAATATCTGCCTATGGGGCAAAATGTTATGAACTCCAAAATTGTGTGTATGAAATGTATTGGTCTCTCCTTCCCTCCTTTGCCCCATGCCAGCTAGTTCCCTTTCCAGGACACATGTGGTGTTTCTGTTTTTCTAATTTACTGGTCCTTCGAGATTATTTACATTGTTTGCAACCTGTTGCTATGTTAAACAATGCTTTGAAAAAGAGTAGAACATCTTTATGCATATGCTGTCTCTCCTATGTTCTAGTTCTTGGATGGAAGGAAAAGGCTACCACTCAATATCTAAAGCAAAAACCTGACTTTATTGTTTGCTAAACAAGAGACAACAGTGCTTGTAGGACACGGTTCTGTCAAAACAAAGCAAATGTTGATCATATATAGGGTTTGGGAAGTATTAAGTTCAGGAATTAAAACACTGCGAGAAGTGTGTTTAGAAATTAGTTGACCTTTAGCCGTGAAAGCTTGGCATTTGGAGTGTGCCTGTTGCTAATAGCTGGATTTCAGAAGTATGGCTGGGATTGTTTGGCTAGCCTGCAGAAGTATGTTACGAAAGTGGATTGTCACGGATCAATTTTGATGTCTTTTTTTTTTTTTTTTTTTTTTTGTGAGACGGAGTCTTGTTCCGTCACCAGGCTGGAGTGCAATGGCACGATCTCGGCTCACTGCAACCTCTGCCTTCCTGGTTCAAGTGGTCCTCCTGCCTCAGCATCCCGAGTAGCTGGGACTACAGGCGTGCACCACCACGCCCAGCTAATTTTGTATGTTTAGTAGAGACGGGCTTTCACCATGTTGGCCAGGATGGTCTCCATCTCTTGACCTCATGATCTGCCTGCCTCAGCCACCCAAAGTGCTGGGATTACAGGCATGAGCCACTGTGCCCGGCCAATTTTGATGTCTTTATAACATCAAACAAGTGACTTGTTTATAACAACAAGTGACTTGTTGATACCTTAGGACTATGACCAAGAAAGAGTTATCATTTTCCTTTAAAATTTAAATTCTCAACTGCATGAGAAATTCATGGGAAATGGAAGTGCTGGGTCAAATGGTGTGTGCGTTTTATATTTTAATTGACTAGAGATTTACCAGTTTACACGCCCACCAGCAATGAATGGCAGTGCTCATTTCTCCACAACATAGTGTGTCATCAAGCTTTTGATCTTTCTTAACCTGAAAAGTGAAATATAGTATCTTCCTGAAGTTTTGTTGTCTATTTCTGAGAATAAGTAAGGTTGAGAAACTTTGTATATGATGAAAAGCTATCATATTTTATTTTCTATATTTTTTTTGTCATTTACCCATTTTTAATGGAATTTTAAAAATATTGACCTTTAATGACTCATGTATTAATTAGCCCTGTACATTAAGAGTTGTAAATATTTTCTCCAGTATGTTCTTTGTCCTTTTGTTTATGGTGTTTATTTGGGGAGAAAGAGCATATAAAAACAGGCCTTGACACTGTTGGATCGATCAGTATTTTTTATTGTCTTTTGGGTTTTATATTAGTGTTGGAAAACTCTCTTATTTTGAGATTGTAATATTTTCTATGCTCTCCTTTATTGCTTTTATGGCTTTACTTTCATTCATTCTGGAATTTGTGCTGGTGTAAGTGTAAAGGGGGATACAATTTTTTAGGTAGCTACTTAGATGCCTCACCACTATTTCTTAGATAATACATTATTTCCCTACTGATTTGAATGATCATCTTTGCTCAAAACTAAAGCTTCCCAAGTATGTTGATTTACTGCTGACCTTTTTCTCTGATCCATCAATTATTATGTTGGCTTTTTATTTATCATAATACCACATGCATTTTTCTGTTTAATAAGCTTCTTGCTAATCACTGTGGGGTTCCCATTAAATGAATATTGTGTAATTTACTCAACAACTCTCCCTTTTGTTGCCCTCCATGTAACATTGGGGAGATTTTGGCTATAAATCAACAAATACATTTTTTAAAAACTTTATCTCTGTTCCATAAACCACCTGTAATTCTGGGGCGAGGTATGATTGTCTCTATTTTAACAAGTACACCAGGTGATTCCAGGGAAGGCTAATGTTTCATTGCATGCTGCTCTTTGGAGTTGAACCCGATCACACATGGATCATATCGTCACACGACTGACCCAATCAGTGATGATAAGCGATTGATTTTTCTGGTGACGGTTTGAGTTTTACCACGTCCGCACATTATAGATTTATATACGTATTCACTTCTATTTGTATATAAATACATGCAAGTATATAACAAATAGATACTGCTGTGAAGGTGGAATGTATTTGATGTGATATTTTTACAAATACATGAAATTGTTGAGATTTGATGAGAGTCCATTTATGATTCTTAGTTTTCGTAGAGAAATAGGAAGGGGCTACTGAATGGTCCACCTTAAGACCAAAAAGGGCAAGAGTACAGAATGAAAGGCCAAACAATGATTTCATTATACAAATGAAATGGGCAAATGCAGTGAAATTCCATCCATCCCTGAGGACTGATTCCATTTAGAGGTTAGAAGAGCAGCCTGGAGTGATCTCACACTTACGGGCTCTATAACCGTCACTCCGGAGCAACAGTAGAAGGGTTGTGACTAAGGATGAATGGATCAGCACATAAAGTTTTTCGCTTTAACTACTCTTCTGTGGGGTACATAAGAAATAAAACAGATAATGGATCCAGATGGCCCATCCCCTGGTGAATAGTGAACAAGGGGTATCTAAATGGGTGAGCGCAATCCGCAGCAAAAACCCAAAACAAGAACATCGGTCGTGAGTCTCAGTTCAGTTTTAGAGGCAGACTATTAAGTACATTAGGTGATGTCATAGACTATTTGTGATGAAGAAGATATTGGAAGGAACTGGCTCAGGGATGTTCTAAATGCAAAAAATCATGTTTTATTCCACTTTCATGGGCCATTGTAATTTACAGAGACTTTTCCCATTAAAACTGGCTTCATGATACCCAGATTACTGACAAGAAAACTGAGTTGCATGAAGTGTTCTCACCTCAGAGACCACTAGCTCAGCATCTTATTCACACACTGCAACTCCACTCACATTTATGAAAGACCTAGCCTACTTATGCAAACAAAATATCCGGGGTATCAAGGCATGTGAATTACCTCTGACAGTAAGAATATGAAGCCTGATAGGGTCAAATAGGGAGAGGGAGCTTTGTTATGCTTTTATGTGCCTTAATTGTCCTGGAGTCTTCAGCAAGTCTGTGGTGAATGCGGTGGAAAAAGAGCAGACTTCAAAATTAACTTAAAATTTTAATCATTAAAATTAAATCACAGAGATAAATTAGACAGATACCTGTGAAAGCAAACATTTTTTAAAGCTGGGAACTCCCTGCTGTGTTGATTCACTTTACAGGATGGGCACATGGAACTGATGTAATAGCCAACAAACCATTGTCAGATGCATAATAGATTGCTAATTACTCATGGAAACAGACTTTTTGAACTAGAATGGTGCATTTTAATTGCCTTTTAGTAAGGTGCTTTGTCTTTTTCTTCCTCCACCTAGGTCCCATCAGCACTTACCCCAGTGCTGGCCTGAGTTGTAATAGATGCGTAATAGACACGTTTATGTTTTAATAATAATAAAGATAAATTATGTTTGCAAGTGCTTCCCCCTACATTTTATCTCCATAACAACTCTGGGGGATATGCAGGGCAAGTGTTATTATCGCTACTTTATTGATGATGAAACCAAGGCATGGTAAAGTCAGGAGGTTTTTCAAAATTTCACGGGCAAATCAGGATTCAAGGTCTGGTTTTGTTATTTGACAATATCCTGTTCCGTGTATAATAAACCACCCTGTGCTACGACATGAAACTCACAGTGGTAAGGCAACAGGACGTGGCCACTGGTGTGAATTCTGTCCCTGTCAACTGTGTGTTCTTTACCTCTCTGAGGCATCGTTTATTCATTCTTAAATTGGCAAAAGTAGTAGCTATTCCTGTCTACAAAGTTTTGATGAGACTCCATTGAGATAATGCCTAAGGAATTTCTTTGAACTTTTCCACAGTCTGTTTCTCACCTGGAACGCTTGAATGGGCTTCAGTGGGTCTATAAAATCTGTAAAGTTATATAAAATTTGATGCTTACTTGTATATAATGCGTTTCTTTTTTCTGGAGAAAGTGCTAACAATTTTATAAGATTTTCAAAGATTTCTTTGATTAAAAAATTAGAATTATGCAAAACATTATGCACAATACTAGTACGGTGTTATTCATACAAAATATCTTTTCTGATATTATAACACATTCCTTTCAGAAAATATGAAAAATACAGAAAAGCACAAAAAGAAAATAATAGTCATCCAAAAACATGTCATTTAGAGAGAATCAACATAGCAATGCCACATCGTTGATGTGGATTGTTATGGCTGGTATCACACTGCAGCATTTTTTTTATAAGTAAAAAATGTTTTGGGGACAGCACAAATATATTTTATGTATTACATATATAGTTTATGTGCATATATATTTGTAGGATTGGGATCATTTTAAATATGTGAACATGGACTTACTGGTATAATATTTTTCTGCATGATGTTTAACATCTGCCTTGAAATCTCTATATAGTTATTCCATAATTTCTATACCTAGTATTCTAGGTTTAGAGTATTGTATTGCACCTTCAAATTTGTTTTCATTTTTGTCATTTTAACTAATATTTATAATATATATGCTTCTACATATAATTATACTACATATTCATAAATTTCATATATTTTCTGAAATCAACTGCTCTGTCTCTTGCTTTTCTAACTGAATGGTCAATTATTAAGTATTCCATTCTCCCAGATGTACTTTAGCGTTTAATTACCATGTTTCCAAAAATCTTACTGGATTTAAACAAAATTAATTATGCCTATTAATTATTTGGGGGAAGAATTTTAATATTTATATTTCTTTTCTAAAATATAATTTGTCACTTCTTTCATGCGGTTCTTTTTCATCCCTCAGTTAAGTTTTGTAATTTTCTTTTTCTAATAACTTGCCTCTTTTTCCACCATATTTATGGACTGTGACTCGCCACTAAAGCGTATTTTTGCAATGCCAGAACATTTAGAACAATTTTTAAAAATAGTGATTATAGAAGGTATCATGTATTTTTCAGATATTAATATGGATATCTCTGGTGTTTTAGCATTAAAGACCACTGGCTAATAGTGAACAATAGTGGTCTTTATCATCTTAAGACATATAGATGTCTATCTTTATTAAAAGACTGAGAAAATCAGTATCAGATGCTATATACATGTCAAATACATTTTGGTCTCTAATAAATTAATACCCTTGAGCATCTTCTCTTTTGACCTAATGCAGTGAATTCTTTTGAAATTTCCATAGTAAATAATTTTTTCATTCTTAGAGGAAATTATTCTTGAACATGATATAATATTTTTAGACTCATTTCCAAATTAAATTGTCAATATTTGATTTAGAATTTTTTCATTCATAATTATGAGGAAGATTGGTCCATAGATTTATATTTCTGGAGTTTTTCACTTTTTCAAATATCCATGTAGAGATTGGCATAAAAAAATGGAAAATTCTTCCATCTTTCTCTACGAGAAATTTTAGAAAATTGTGAAATTTTCTTCCCTAGTTATTTATTCATTAAGCTTTTTGGCATCTTTTATGTTTTCTTTACCAATCATCTGCTTAATTTAAAATTTTAATTTGTCAGAATACGATATTACACAATTTTTACTTATGTCTGTGGTCATATTCATTGTTATTCCCAGTTTTATGTATGTATGTTTTTTCTCTTTTCTATTTGATTAGGCCTGCTAAATGTTTGATCAGAAATTTTTTTTCTACAAAGAATCCACTCTTAGATTTGTTTATTTTATCTAATTTATTTTCTAATTCATTAATTTCTGCTGTTATTTTCCCCTTTTTGTTTTCCTTAAATTGTATTTGTTCTTGTTTTTCCATTTTTAAAAATTGAACACTTATTTTAGTAATTTTCATTCTTTCTGACGTCCTGATAAAAGGCTTACAAGCTATAAATTTGCTTTGGTATATAACTGTATCAGCATTCCAGACGTTTTTATAAATTATGTTTTCACTTTCATTAGTGTCAAAATAATCCTTAATGGTGTGCTTGATTTTTAGTGCAATTATTTTTTGTTTTTTTTTGTTTTTTTTTTAGACGGAGTTTTGCTGTTGTTCCCCAGGCTGGAGTGCCATGGCATGATCTCAGCTCACTGTAACCTCCACCTCCTGGGTTAAAGCAATTCTCCTGCCTCAGCCTCCTGAGTAGCTGGGATTACAGGCATGTGCTACCATGCCCGGCTAATTTTGTATTTTTAGTAGAGATGGAGTTTCTCCATGTTGGTCAGGCTGGTCTTGAACTCCTGACTTCAGGTGGTCCACCCACCTCAGCCTCCCAAAGTGCTGGGATTACAGGCCTGAGCCACTGTGGTGCAATTTTTTTGTAGAGAATAATTTGTGATGTGATAATTTTGGACTGTCTTTTTTTCTATTTTTTGGGCTTATAAGAGTATATAGTGTACTATATAATTAGTATTTGCCAATATTCTTTGTAAGCTTGATAGGAAATATATCATCCTTTTCTCTCATAAGACACCAAACTTTCTGTAAACCTAATAAATCTTATTGTTATTTGGAACTTCTTTCTCTACGCCCCACCCAGGTGTATATATATTTGTATACTTCAACTGTGAAAGATGGAGGAAGGTCCCACTACTGTTAACTTATCTTTATTCCTCTAATGATTTGTGATTACTATATTTTGAACAATATTATTTGGAGCATAAAGATTTATGACTTTCATGTTTTCCTTTTGGATTTTATTATCAAAATACTATAACTCTCTTCATTTCAGGAGATGGCTTTTTCTTTTAATTCTCCATTGCCTGATAAGAATATGAAAATTTCTATTTTCTCTTCTTATATTTATTTTATTTCTTCCTGCCTTTAGCTGTTACATGTTTGCCTAATCACTTAATAATACTTATGTGCCAATTTATTTTAAGTGTTAGGGCTTTTAAATAATACTAGGTTGAATTTGATTAACTCACCACTTGAACTAACCAAATCAAACCATGTGGCTGTCTTTTACTTTGCAGTTTAGGGTAGATGTTTATGTTATTATTACTGATGTAATTGTGCTTCCTTTCTTTATCTTATTTCATTAAAAAAAATTTTTTTCCTGCTATTTCCCTAGTAAGTTTTTAAAAAATATAAACTCTGTTTTCTTTGCTCTTTTCTGTAGCAATTTTATTTTAAATTCTACTAGTAATATACTTTGTTATCAAAATGCTTTTAATAATATTAATATTTTAAACACATTAATGTTGATTAAACTACCTACATAAAAATAAAAGCACTAAATACTGATTCGCATCTATGTAAAGTGAGAAGATTAGTAGTCTTTAGTTTCCATATTATATCTAGGCCCACTTCCCAGTTTTCATTGGTGTCACCTGTGATTTTAGAGTGGGCTTATAGAAATTTTATCATATTATGTTGTAGGATTTTTTTCTTAGTAAGTTGAAGTAGATCCTGAACAAATATGCCCAGGGATGCCTATGTGCTTTCTCAAAACCTCTTTCAGGTCCCTTCACATGTAGACAACAATTTTTTGGGCCACAGAATTTGCATTTTTTGTTTTGTTTTTGAGACAAGTCTTGCTCTGTCACCTAGGCTGGAGTACAGTGGCAGGATCATGGCTCACTGCACCCTCAACTTCCTGGGGTAAGCATTCTCCTGCCTCAGACTCCCAAGTAACTGGGACTACATGTGTATGCCACTAGGCCTGTCTACTTTTTGTGTTTTTTTGTACTGGCGGGGTTTTGCCATGTTGCCCAGGCTGGTCTTGAACCCCTGGGCTCAAGCAATCCACCTGCCTCAGCCTCCAAAAGGGTTGGGATTATAGGCATGAACCACTGTGCTCGGCTGACAAGATTCTTGAATAAAATCTTTTCCCTTCAAAACTTGATAGATGTATCAGGTTGATGCAAAACTGTGATTACTTTTGCACCAACCCAGTAGTTTTATTGTATGAAGGCCTTTGATTATACAAAGGATGAAATGCTTGTGTATACATGTCAGAATTTTAAACAAATACTCTGAATGCTGATGAAATTTTTTTCTGTCCTAGCATTAAAACAAAATTATGCTTTCCACGAATTTTGTCTGGAATGTACATGGGTGTTTTGATCAGCCAGTGCAGACTGCCTTGTAGGTCAGTCCACTCTGTTGAATCAGGGGAGAGTCACTATTTTTTGGAGCAGTAACTTCAAGGGGCTTCATGATGGTGGAATGTGATAAGGAGAAACCACTTCACAGGACACCAGATTCCAATTTTGTCTTGGTTGTTAAATGCCATGTGAGTCAAAGAGCCCCAGGTGAAATGGGGGTGTTAGAGAAGATTTTCTCAAGAAACCCAGAATTGGTGAAGCAATTCAACACAAAGTGGTAAACCCATTTGCTGTATTAGCATTAAATTAAGTTTTAATTAGGCTGTCTGTGTTTTCAGTTGAAAAAATAAATTCTCTATGACAGAAAACTACTAGAACTAAACAGGTACTTTACATCTTATGGAAAACAGAATAATGGCTCCTCCAAAGATGTCCACATTCTAATCCCCAGAACCCATATTACCTCACATGGCAGAGAAGAATGAAGGTTACAGATGGAATTAAGGTTGTTAATCAACAGACCTTAAAGTAAGGAGAATATCTGAAATTATTCTGCTAGGTCCAATGTAATCACAGGGGTCCATAAAAGTGGAAGAGGGAGGCAGGAGAGGTCAGAGAGCTGTAGTGCAAGAAGGTCTCCAGGCACCATTGCTGGCTTTGAAGACAGTAGAAGGAGCCTGAAGCCAAGGAAAGTGAGCAGTCTATAGAAGATGGAAGACTTCAGGAGGCGCATGGCCCTCTGGACACCTTGCTTTTAACCTAGAGACCCATTGATATGGTTTGGATATTTGTTCCCTCCAAATCTCGGTTAAAATGTGATTCCCAATGTTAGAGGTGTGACCTGGTGGAAGGTAATTGGTTCTGGGGGCAGATTCTTCATGAAACGTTTGGTACCATCTCCTTGGTGATAAGGGAGTTCTTGCTCAGAGTTTCATGCAAATTCAGTGAGTTTCCGTGAAACTCTGAGCAAGAACTCACTTATCACCAAAGTGTGTGGCACTTCCCACCTCACTCTTTTGTTCCCACTCTCCCGTGATGTACTGGCTCCCACTTCACCTTCCACCATGAGTGAAAGCTCCCTGAGGCCTCATTAGAAGCCAGACAAATGCAGATGTTGGTGCCATGCTTGCACAGCCTGCAGAACTTTGAGTCAATTAAACTTCTTTTCTTTATAAATTACCCAGTCTCAGATATTTCTTTATAACAACACAAGAACAGCCTAATACAGAAAATTGGAACCAAGGAGTGGGGCATTGCTATAAAGATATCTGTAGATGAGGAAGCAACTTTGGAACTGGGTAACAGGCAGAGGTTGGAAGAGTGTGGAGGGCTCAGAAGAAGACAGGACGATGAGGAAAATTTGAAACTTCTTAAAGACTGGTCATATTGTTGTGACCAAAATGCTGATAGAGATATGAGCAGTGAAGGCCAGGCTGATATGATCTTAGATGAAGATGAGGAACTTACTGGGAACTAAAGCAAAGGTCACCCTTGTTCTGCTTTAGCAAAGAACTTGCCTGCATTGTGTTCATGTCCTAAGGATTTGTGGAACTTTGAACTTGAGAGTGATGATTTAGGGTATCTGGCAGAAAAAATTTCTTAGCCATAAAGCCTTTAAGAGGTGGACTGGCAGATATAGGGGCAAAGAAATGACTTAAGATTGGAACTTATATTTAAAGGGGAAGCAGAACATAAAAATTTGAAAAATTTGCAACCTGGCCATGTGGTAGAAAAGAAAAGCCTAGGTTTAGAGGAAGCATCCAAGTGGGCCACAGAACAACAACTTACTAGAGAGATTTGCATGACTAAAAAGGAGCCAAGTGCTGATGGCCAAGATGTTTGGAAAAAGGCCCTGAAGGCTTTTTAGGGATCTACAAGGCAGCCCCTCCCACTACAGGTCCAGAGGCCTAGGAGGAAAGAATGGTTTTGTGGGCCAAGCCTGAGACGCGAATGGCCTAAGCCACCCAGGAAATTGATCCCTGCATCTTCACTTCTCTGGCTGCAGCCTTGGCTCAAAGCGTCCCAGGTGTAGCTTGGGCCATGGCTCTGGAGGGCACAAGCCATAAGCTTTAGTGGCTTCCACATGGTGTTAAGCCTGTAGGTGCTCAGAACGCAAGAGTAAAGGATGCTTGACAACTTGTACCTAGATTTCAGAGGATATATGTGAAAGCCTGGGTGCTCAGGGAGAAGCCTGATGCAGGGGTGGAGCCATCACAGAGAACCTCTACTAGGGCAATGCCAAGGGGAAATGTGGGGGTCTGGAAAGGCTACAGGAACTCGACAACCTGTGAGAGCAGCCACAGGGGCTGCACCCTCCAAAGCCACAGGGGTGGAGCTGCCCAAGACCTTGGGAGCCCGTCCCTTGCACCAGTGTGCCCTGAATGTGGGACATGGGGTCAAAGAAGATTATTTTGGAGCTTTAAGATTTAATGATTGCCCTGCTGGCCTATAGCCCCTTTCTTTTGGCTGATTTCTTTTTTTTGGAACAAGAATGTTTACCTAATGCCTGTACCCCCATTGTATCTTGAAAGTAAGAAACTTGTCTTTGATTTCACAGGCTCATGGGTGGAAGAAACTCATCTCCAGATGAGACTTTGGACTTTAGGACTTTTGAATTGGGGCTAGAATGGGTTAAGTCTTTGGGGAACTGTTGGGAGAGATGATTGTATTTTGCAAGGTGAGAAGGACATGATATTTTAGGGGCCATCGCGCTGAATGATATCGTTTGAGTGTCTGTCACCTCCAAATCTCATGTTGGAACGTGATTCCCATGCTGGTGATGGGGCCTGGTGGGAGGTGATTGGGTCGTGGGGGCAGATTCCTCATGAATGGTTTAGCGCCATCCCCTCGGTGATGAGTGAGATTTTCTCTGAGTTCACATGAGGTCTGCTTGTTTAAAAGTGCATGGCACCTCTGTGCTCTCTCTTACTCCTGTTTTTGCCACGTGTCTTGCCTGCTCCTGCTTTGCCTTCTGCCGTGAGTAAAAGCTCCCTGAAGCCCTCTCCAGAAGCCAGGCAGATGCATATACCAGTGCCATGCTTGCACGGCCTGTAGAACCCTGAGCCAATACAATCTCTTTTCTTTATAAATTACCCAGCCTCAGGTATTTCTTTATAACAACGCAAGAATGGCCTAATACACCTGTTTAGACTTCTGACCTTAAGAATTATATGAGACATTTGTGTTGTTTTAAGCCACTAGGTTTGTGGTAATTTGTTACAGTAGTACTAGGAAATCAATACACATATATTATTACCTTTTTCATGGAAAAAGCTTTATGTCATGAAAACTGTGTGCTCCACCCTCTCCCCTCTCAACCCAGTATCTTGCTACTGGTACCTCTTCATCTGGCTGTTCATGTACAGCCTTTGTACTATCCTTTATAATAAACTGGTAAACATAGTGAAGTATTTCCCTGCATTCTATGAGCTGTCTTACCAAATTATAAAACCCAAGGATGGGAGTCATGGGAACTACTAGTTTATAGCTGTTGGGTCAAAAGCACAGGCCACAGCCTGGGGCTTGTGATTGGCGTATGAAGTGGGGGCAGTTCTGTGAGGCAGAGCTCTTAAGCTCTGGGATCTAGCACTATCTCCGGGTGGATAGTGTGACACTATTCTTACATACGGTGTCAGAAGTTGTGTGTGAGAGTGTAGGGAAGCAGTGTGCTTTTCTCATAATAGTGAAAGAATAGAGTTGAGAGGGTCTACTCAACCAGAAGAAAAAATAGTTTTGCATTTTTAGAGATTTTTAATGTCTAATAAGGAAGATATGGATTCTGGAAAATGTTAACTAATGCTATTTTTAGCATCATTTTTATTGGTGTGTCATTGACATCAAATGACCCTGGGCAAGCTCTTGCATTCCCAGGAGAGTATCTTGAAGCTTTAGAGGGATATCTCAAAGCATTCCACTCCCCCAAATGCAGAAGAGAATGAAGAGGAAATTGGGACTCTAACTATGAAACAGTCTCCTCTCTTGCTGAGTTTATAATCTTAAAAGATCTTATTTGATAAGGTGAACATCAATTCTCTGATTCTCAGGACTCAAGAGAGAAACTTCCTAGTGCCAAGGACAAGTTAGGAATTAGGGAATTGGAGCAGCTGAGTCCTAGCCCTGGGTCTGCTGGTAGCTGCTGTAGAGATCACCTTTCCCTTCCATCTGTTAGATGAGAATGGTAAAGTCAGTGAGCCCCAGTGTCTCATTTGCTGTTAAAATATAAATATATTCATGATATGATGATAAACAATAGATCACATCTATCTAGATGGTAAAATATTGACCAACAATCTAGATGGTAAAGTATTGATACCTATCTAGATGGTAAAATATTAACAATAATAACTAGTTATTATTACTAATAATAAAATAGTTAACATTTGCTAAGCACTTACTCTGACCAGGTTCACTAGATCCTTGGACTCTCACAATCACAACTTGGTTTTGGAAATAGTTTATCCATTATACAGATGAGAAAGCCAATGCTCCAGAGCCTTCGTTTTCATCCAGTCACATGAGTGTCTGGTTCCTCGGGGCACCTAGGTCAATATGTTCCATTGCTCAGCTTTTCCGCCCTCACCTTTGGTGCATTATTAAGACTGTGAGCCATCTGGGATAGAGAGCATGGGGAACGAGGTTCCTAGGATAGAAATAAATGGGTAAATGTGAGAATGTTCACAAGCAGACCAGGAAAGCCGAGATGACCTCCTGAAAGAGGAAGGTGCTGAATTATAGGGTTCAGTGGCTCAGAACTAAAGGACACAGAGGGTGAGTGGAAGTGGGGTGAGGCTGGAGTCAGGAGGATGAATGGTCTAGCTGCAATTCTTCACTCTGCTGGTATCAGGCCATGAGGTGCTCTTGGTTAGGCACATAACTGGTCTTTGTCTTTATGTAGATTATATGAGCATAACAAAATTCAGAATTTTCCCAAAGTTTTGACAGTGGCCATACTACATATAGAGAATCATGTGAAAAAACATTCATAGGGATCTAGTACTTTTTATCCATCTCCATCAGGAGACTGAGAATAATCACGTGCATTTGCTTCATTGCAGTGTCCACCAAAGGTAAAAAAGAATGAATATTATAGATATCAGAATTACCTTCAGTTTTAAGGGGCCATTAAGTTCTTGATTTGCAAATAAACTTAAATGGTACATTAATGTCTATGTGGTTTATTCAGGAAAAATGAAATATACTATAAATCCAAGTGATGGAAGATATTCTTACTTTTACAAACACACAGTTCCTTTTTTCAGTTGTCCTTCCTTTGTGCTTTAAAAGTGATTGTTCTTTAGTTTTGAATTTTTTCATGTAAAAAGTGCTTGTTTCTCAGATCTGAGACACTTTTTAGTGGGCTTATTAAATTATTAAACTGGGAACCTTGTACATACACTCTTCATTTTAAAATAAAATAGTAAGATTGAGTACAATCTGCTGTGGCTTCAAGTAGGGCCCTAAATTGGGTTAATCAAGTTAAGGAAGCCCTAACCTTTAGCTATGATATTTTAGGTATACTACTCCTCAAGTGGTGGCCTGGAGTGGCAAAATGCTGATTCTCTGAAGGGAAATCACCTGTTACTTCCTTCCTGGGGCCATAATCACAGGATTTGTAGACTTATTTGATACTTATATGTTCACCAAATTTTTGACACTGATACTGAAACGATATTTAAACCATGGAGACTGGCCAGGCCCAGTGGCTCACACCTGTAATCCCAGCACTTTGGGAAGCTGAGGTGGGAGGATCACTTGAGGTCAGGAGTTCAAGACCAGCCTGGCCAACATGATGAAACCCCATCAAGTTGGACGGGCATGATGGCAAGTGCCTGTAGTCTCAGCTACTCTGGAGGCTGAGGTGGGAGAATCGCTTGAACCCCAGAGGTGGAGGTTGCAGTGAGCTGAGATCGCAGCACTGCAGTGGATGGATGGATCACAGAGTCTGTATGACAGAGTGAGACACTGTCTCACAAAAAAGAAAAAAATAAATTATGAAGAACTTGGTATAAGGGCATTAGTAAAAAAGTACTTTTTTGCATATTTAATGTTATAAACATGTGGAGGAAAATCAGCAAAAGAAATTTAGTAATTTAGATATTAATGAGACAGGATGGACAACCTCATAAGTCGTGTCAGATTTTATGTAATATTGCCAAAAGACTCAATTTGATGTGTAGCTTACCCATGTCATGAACTAGTTTTTATCGCTTACCTGAAAGACAGAGTACTGCTTTCATATAACCACGTCTAGCTTAGTTAGGCCTCATCCTCACTTTTGGTGAATTCCTGGAGGAAGGACAGTGGCTATGACAATGGGTACCCTCATTCCACAATGGACACTTCTGTTTGGATTGGCTGGGACCTCAACCCTTTATGGCATGGGTTGCATCTTTGTCCTGTGCCATGGGAAAGGCTCATTCTCTGGATAGTCAAATAGGGAAAATAAGTGAAATTTCATTTCCTTTTTGGCATGTAAGCCCCTCTATTCAGAGGCATTTAGGGCATATGAAAGAGAATTTGGTGTGAATATATAAAGTGACATACAGTATGCATTTACAACTCAGTAAGGATAATAATTAAGTGATGAACATGTGGATGTGAAAACGAATGCCTGTTGTTATGCATTGGATTGTGTCCCCCTAAAGATCTGAAGTCCTGGCCAGGCGCGATGGCTCACGCCTGTAATCCCAGCACTTTGGGAGGCCAAGGCAGGAGGATCATCTGAGGTCCAGAGTTCGAGACCAGCCTGACCAACATGGAGAAACCCTGTCTCTACTAAAAATACCAAAATTAGCTCAACGGGAGTGAAACTCCATCTCGAAAAAAAAAAAAAAAATATATATATATATATATATATATATATATTTGAAGCCCTAACCCCCAGCACCTATGAATGTGACCTTATTTGGAAATAGGGTCCTTGTAGATGATCAAATTAGATGACATCATTAGGGTGAGTCCTAATCCAATGAGACTGGTGTCCTTATAAAGAAAACAGCAAGTTTGAGCCAGGTGTAGTGGCTCATGCCTGTAATCCCAGCACTTTGGGAGACCGAAGTGGGTGGACCACTTTGAGGCCAAGAGTTCAAGACCAGCGTGGCCAACATGGCAAAACCCCATCTCTACTAAAAATACCAAAATTAGCTGGGCATGGTGGCACACACCTGTAATCCCAGCTGCTCAGGAGGCTGAGGCACGATAAGTGCTTGAACCCAGGAGGCAGATGTTGCAGTGAGCAGAGATCGCACCACTGCACTCCAGCCTGGGCAACAGAGTGAGAGTTTGTCTCACAAAACAAGAGAAACTAGTAAAAAAGAGGAAATTCGGACACAGAGACAGACTCACACAAATAGAAGGTGATGTAAAGACATGGGGAGAATGTAACAAACTGAAGAGCTCCTGAAGCTTCCAGAAGCTAGGAGGGAGGCCTGGAACAGATTCTTCCTCACATCCGTCGGGAGGAACCAACCTTACCAACCTTGATCTTGGCCTTCTGAGTTCCAGAACTGTGAGAGAAATGATATATATTTCTGTTGTTGAAGTCATCCAGTTTGTGGTACTTGTTATGACAGCTCTAGCAAACCAATATAAGTTAATTCCCAGTTTAGTCATTTTGGCTGAAAATTGTACCAGTGGTAGTTATCAGTAAGTTTCCAAGTCAAGCAGTTCAGTCACTTCTCTAAACAGTCATCTGAGGGAATAGCATTAGACTGTACTGCTGAGTTATTCTTAAATCAGAACTACGTGCTAAGAATGCCATAGACAAATGCTCATAGAGCTGAATATCCATATCTTTGCCTTGTGCTAGTGCTGATAGGGACTGTTTAACCAAGGTTTGCTTTCTTTCATCTCTTCTGACACTTCCCTTTGTTATGGACCATGATTTCCCTACATAGGTCATTATGAAATTGAAGAGAACCTCCATTGCCCCACAAACACATAATACACTCTTGACCTTACTATTTCTAATTTTCCACTAGTGTTTATGTATGATGTGTGAATATCAACAAGGATTTTTTACCTTGCAATCTACTCAGCAAAAGAACAATGTGCTATCTTTAATTATGCTCTGTTCAGACAGGCTTCTCTTTCGGAATAATTTCACAAAAACTTATGGAAAAGTCAGGTTTGTTATAAGGCTGTGGGTTCCAATCAGCTCCTCTCCTTGATGAGAGAGTTTCCAAGCCTCAATCTTACAGAAGACCTGTGTGCTCCGGGGAACTCAAAGAGAAATCACCTAGCTAGCTCTTTTTGGTGGTTTGCTGAAATTCTGGCAAATTTCCATGGGAGGGAATTAGACACCTAAAATTCAAGGGAAGAATGAAAGATAGAAAAAGAAAGAGAGGAGAAAGGAGGGAAGGAAGCAAGGGAAAAGAGAGAGAGAGAAGAGAGAGATGGGAAAAGAGAGAGAAGAGAATGCTTGAAAGGAAGAAAAGGAGAAAGGGAAGAAAGAAAAGAAAAAGATATGTAAGAAGATATGTAATAGTGAAATTTGAGGACACTCACCCATTTTTTTTGTGTGTGCATCTGTAATAGGCATGAAATCTATCTTAAAGCACACTAAACCCATTCTCTTTACAGCGAGACTAAGATTATACAGCACTGTGGATATTTCAGTTTTAAAAGTGTGATGAGCCCTGATAGTGATACCACATTAAACACATCTCCTATTGATTCCTTCTAACCTTGCAAAACGAGCTGCGTGCGTTAAGTACCTTTTACTTCAACTCAGCTGATGGGACCACAGATGTTAACTGCAGGACTGAATTTCCTTGGAGGTCAGCAGACAGGGCAAGTGGGAGGTGAATGAGGGAGCGTCTTCTGGCCAAGAGACTCTTTATCCTTGCTGCCCTCAAATACAGCTTGAGGACAAATGTCTGGACAAGCCTGAATCATGGAGAAATTAAATCAGTCCTTACTACCTGGATACCCACTGTGTAACCAGCCACACAAAGGTATGTGGCTCCATTAGAACAGGGAGACCATCCTAACAGAAGAATGGAATTCATGGTTTGCATGGTGGAAGTCACCTCTTTGCCAAAGCCTGTTTACTCTAAGTTAAGGCTTTGTTTCAAATTATAAAAAGAAATAAAGTCCCACTGTGGTTTCATCTTCTTGTCTTGAATGCCTGCTTTTACCTTTAATGCCTTTGACTTTATGACACTGCTCTCCCTGATAACAGACGCGGAGCAGGTGAGACAGAGATGTCCACCATTTCTGTGAGTTGCATTGATGCTGCCTCAGACTGCACAATCAAGGGAGCTCTGTCTGAATTTGGAGAAGGGGCTGCATGTGCTGAAATGGAAAGGAAGCAGCCGCTGGCTCATGTCAGTTACCTGGATTGAAACTTCTATTCTCCACCTGCAAGATTCATCCCACAGTTCTATTTTCTGACCTGGAAAATGGATTGATAATATCTGGAGGAATAATTACCAGTTAAGATGTGTAGTGCATAGTGCTACATATTTTAGTATGTAGATATGCCCTACATATCCATACTATCCTCACTAAAAGGTGGCTTTTTTTTTTTTTTTTTTTGCTGCTAGTGTTATTGTTAATATTATAAGAATGTTAATTTTTGTCTGCTGGCGTGGATGGTTCTTCCATACTCAGAGAACCATCTGGAGTTGTAGTAGGGGCCAGAAGTCACCTCAGAAGAGGGAAGAGGACCCTGCTGCCCACTCCCTGGAATCTAAAGAGTTCTGGGAAGAAACTTATCAAGTACCTCCTCCCTATGCTGGCCATGGCTCACCAGTACCTAGCTAATACATTGAATGAATGAATGAATGAATGTCAGCGTCGTCTCATTCATCACTTTTCCTCCTCAACATGCTTAGTTTAAGGCTTTGCACAGAAAAAGATCTGTAACTATTTGCTGCATTTATTTAAGTTGAAACAAAAGTATTTGGACTGACATTGAACATAAAGAACTTGGTTCACAAAGAGTAGCTAAGTCAAATGTGGGTGGGAAGAAAATACAGAGATGCCTACAGTGCGGGAGCCTTCTTGGATGGACACTTTGGGAAATGTATTTGGGCCACCCATGAGGAAAAATAGGATGAGGCCAAAGGGCAGGGGGAAAGGAGGAGAAGGATTGAGGGAATGTCTCAAGAGCAAGGTGATAGCAGCAGGTAGCTCGGAATCTGCAGTTGGGTGAGTGTGTGTAGCTGTGGGGCACGTGTGGTGCAGATGAACAGCACATATGATGTGTAGGTTGAGGGTATGCATGCATGTGAGTGTGTGGAGCAGGTGTGAGGAGTGTGTGGTATAGGTATGCACTGTTTATGTGCAGTGTATATGTGAGTGCCTGTCTGCATACGAGGTGAATGTGTATGATGTGAGTTATAGACGTGTGGTACAGCTGTGTGTGCACGACAGTGTGTAATGTAGGCATGTGGTGTTTGTGTGCGTGATGCCAGTTTGTATTACCTATGAGTGGTGCAGATGTATAGTGTGTTTCTGGCATACACATGCAAAAAAGTGTGTGCATGTGTGTGACGGGTATGCCTGTGATACCTTGTGCAGATATGTGGTGTTCCTGTGTGGTGCAGGTGTGCCAGGTATAGATGTGGGTAGATGCATCCTGTCTGCTGTTGGCATGAGTTTGAAACATTGTGCACCAGTGTCATGGGTGGGTGGTTCTCAAGTGTGGTCCCTGCACCAGCAGTGTCAGCATCACCTGAGAACTTGCTAGAAATGCAAAATCATGGGCCCCCCCACCTCAGATCCACTTCTAGGGGTGGGCCTGCAATCTGGATCTTTACAAGCCCTCCATGGGATTCTGATGTCTGCTCAAGTCTGAGCACAGCGCCATAGGTCCACTTGCTTTGAGCTTTCTCTTCACTATCATAGATGGGTAGATTTCTCTTTTTCCCTCCTAGTGGTGAGATCATGGCAGTTACTTCCAGCCTTAACAGAGGAGAGCTGAAGTGGAGAGCCTAGAAATTAGATGCTTTATGCTAGTGGCATTGTTGACTATGTCATCTTTCCTTTAAATGTAATACCCATCACCTTTGAACTATAGAATGCTAAATGATTGACTTGGTAAATGCTTAAACATGGTCAACTTGGTAAATGTTGTCATAATAAAAAATGCAATGAATTCTCTATACTCAGGGCCTTATAATTGATGACACACACCTGATGTTAAATTTCGACCATATGCATGTATGATTACATTGATCCAAAACAACAATTTAGGCAGTAACCCTTCCTATGAGTGGTTTTGCAATTTGCCAAACTTAATTGGACAATAATAAAAGATTTCTCTAGGTAGATTTTGGACTGAGAAGCTAGCTGACTTCTTTACTTGTAAGACTTTTCCCCCATAAATAATGTTTCTGAGAATTCAAGTTCAGTCAGAAAGCAGGGCATGTGCTCCCCATTTTAGGATAAGTGTGTCTGTGCTTGATCATTTGATACAAAGCAAGCTTACAAACAGGAAGGATTCCTAGCGGGCTCAGAAGCTTCCCACCTGGGTTTGGATTCCGCCCATACTGTGTGGGACCAGTATTCGATCTCTCTTTTCCTCCCTTTCCTGGCTGTCTACAAGGAAAACACCAGTACCATCCTTAAAGTCACTGTGGGAATTTATCAAAATAGTGTGTACAAGGCACTTAGACAGTGTGCCATGGTTTGGGGTTCAGGAATATAGGTTAATTGTAATATTGAGTGAAAGTATTTATAATTTACCACGGAAGATTATTTTGCATTTTTATCAAGCAAATTATAGTTAAGTAAAAATAAAAATGAGTGTGTTTAGATGGAGATATTGTCTTAATGCAAAGATGTTGCTGATAGTGTTACCTCCTGGTTCCTGGTGTGGTTTCTTTGTATTTTTCTAGTAAATTGGCCACAGGAGAACCTTCTGCAAAAGATGAATTCTCCATACTCAGGGCTTTATAATTGATGACATACACCTGATGTTAAATTTCTGGGCTGGGCGCAGTGGCTTACACCTGTAATCCCAGTACTTTGGTAGGCCCAGGTGGATGGATCACTTGAGGTCGGGAGTTTGAGACCACCCTGGCCAACATGGTGAAACCCCATCTCTACTAAAAATACAAAAATTAGCTGGACATGGTGGCATGCACCTACAGTCTCAGCTGCTTGGGAGCTTAGGTAGCAGAATCGCATGAAACCTGGAGGTAGAGGTTGCAGTGAGCTGAGATCACACTACTGCACTCCAGCCTGGGCAACAAAGCGAGACTCCATCTCAAAAAAAAAAAAAAAAAAAGAATTCTGCCATATGCATGTCTGACTAAACTGATCCAAAACAACAGTTGAGGCAATAACCCTTCCTATGCGTGGTTTTGCAGTTTGCCAAACTCATGGGCAGCTGAGGTCACAAGACACAACCTGGAGTTCTAACCTTGGTTTTTAACATCTAGCATTTCCATCATTTAATCATACTTGTTACTTTGGTTTCTAATCAAGTCTTTTAAAAAATGCCAATGATAGATGAAGTCTGTCCACTCTAGAGCATCTCTCCTGGAAGAATCCCAAGTCTCCTGTCCAGGCTACAGGAAGGGGCAAGCAGGAGGGACGGAGTCGGGAGCATGTGTTTATGGAGCCAGGTGCTGTGTGTGACTCTGGGGAAATATCAGTGAATGAGACAGATAGTGTGTTTGTCACCATCATAGAGCTTACAAGGAAGATGAACTTTGAAATAGAAAATACGATGAAGAAACCATGTTAAAAGTAACAAATGCTATTTAAAAAAGGGAAAGGAGGCTATGATACTAGGGAGGCAAATAGCAGAGTGATCTTATGTGATTGAATGATCAGAAACTTCTTTGAGGAAAACATGGCTAAACTCATCCTTGAAGGATAGGTAAGAATTACCCAAGGGATGGAGCGGGAGAGGGAGAAGGAGGACTGAGTGCTAGGCAGAAGGAGCAGTGTAACCAAAGCCTCCAAGGTGGGATGGTGTGATGCTCTGAAGGAGCTCAGTGGGTCCAGGGGAGCTGGAGTGTGGTAGGTGGGAGTGACTTCTATTGGGTAGGCAGGGATGAGGTCATATAGGCCACGGTGGCCATAGGGCAGAGTGGCCATGCTAAGAATGTGGGCTGTGACCTGAAGGGAACAAGAGATGTTGACAAAAATTAACTGAACTCCGAAGTCTTTATGTGATGTGCACATAGCTGGTTACCGAGAAAACCAGAGAAGAACAAATCCTGCTCTGTGTCCACTGCCGGGCTCCTTCGGTCCTGTCACATTGGCTTAATACAACTTGGGGAATTGAGAGTGGGCTTTGAAATCACAAAGAAACATGGTAAAATTATAGTCCCACCACTACTAAATGCGAGAACTTACAGCATTTAGTTTATCTCTCTGAACTTCAGTTGCTTCGTCTGTAAAATGGAAAGATGACTCTTATTTTATTGGAATATTATGAAAATTAAATTAAGTAGCATCTGTAAATTACCCAACATAATGCTTTCTGCATAGTTATGGATCAATTAAGTGTTAATTTCCCTTTTGACACCTTTTTGCTTGGCCAGGAATTTGGTAACAAATGAACTTCTAGCTTTTAGTGAATAGATTGACAGGATTATTTTATGGTTTTCTAATTCCTTATCAGGCAGTGAGTCATTTGACAGCTTTCTTGGGACAAAGCTGTCTTGTTCAAAGACAGCTGGAAGTTCTCTATCATGCCCAGAAGGCTCCAGTTTTACACAGGGTTTAACTAATTGTGTTCAGTACATGGCCTCTGTCGTCTAGGAGAGAACCGATTCTTTGTAGTATTTCTGCAGCAGTGTAGGGCTCACAGGTACAAAGCAATAAGAAGACTTTAACCCCAGCTCTGCTGCCAGCTGTGTGATTTGGGACAAACCACTTAATCTCTCTGAGACCATGTGTCTTTATTTGCAAAACAGATTACAGGGACAAAAGCAAGTTGACGAATGCCAGGCAGCTACAGCATGCCCAGCCTAAAACAGGAACTTGGTAAATGTTGAAGACTCCACCCTCTGCCCAACCTTGGTCCCAGGTCCCAGGAGAACAATGTTTTGCAAACAACACCCAGCTTGGGAGTGTCTGGGGTTCTGATTTGATTTTGGTCTAACGTGGAAGTGGGGCTTCCCCCAGTTTTTCCCACCCTGGTCTGATGGCTTCCTGTAGCATTCCTTTCGCCTTCTGCATGCAGGCACACAGATGAGAGATCTGGAAGGCAACTGACAGCAGGGTGAGGTAAGAAACCTCACCTCCTGCTTATGCATCAGAGGGAACTGAAACCCAGAGTGGCAGGCAATTTCGTGTAGATTACATACCTAGCTCACAGCAGGGCTGAGATAAGGATCTATTTTTCAACTCTTTAAGCCAATGACTCTCTACTTTTCTACTCTTCCACTGGGTCTCCTCTCTCTACTTCTATCTTTTCAGTACAACGTCTCTCTTATTTCTAAGTCAAATTCTTAGGTCTATATTCATGAAAAGCACCTGTCAAAAGCTTTAAAAATTGTTGTTATTAGGTGTATTTTAAGTATCAATAGCTTTAGTTTGATTCTCCTAATAAAGATCTTTCTTGGTGGGTGTTCTAATTGAATACTTTGAAATTTGAAAATATTCTCTTGGGAAAACACACATTCTTATGTATTGTTGGTGGAAATGCAAAGTGGTACAGCCACTAGGCAGGGATTTCAGCAACATGATAGCTCTATTTATCTTTTAACCAAACAATCCCACTTCTAGGAATCTATCCCAAAGATAGACTACCAAATATGAAAAAAAAAAATGCAAAAGCCTATTTATTGTGGCACTGGTGGCAGTGGAAGGAGACTGGCAGTAGCCCAAATATTCATCAGGAGGGGACTGATTGAATAAACTATGCTACATCTACACAATGAACTACTATGTAGCTACTAAAAGAGATGAAAGACTAACTTATATACTGCCAAGGGGTAATCTTTAGAATATATTCTTAAGTGCAAAAAGTAAGACAAAAATTAGAATGTGTATTATGCTACCTTTTGCCTAAGAAAAGTGAGTGTGTATTTAATATTTAACACATTCAATGACAGTAGGATAGGAAACAACAAATTAATAAAAGCGAATCATTAGAGGAGGGAGGAAACAGTGAAAGCAACAGATTTGGAAACGAGGTTTTCCTGAATTTGCTTTGTTTTGTTCATTTGAAAATATACAAATATTTGACAAAATTATAAAACAAAAAAAATCCCTTAATTCAAAAACAAAATGAAATAAATCAGTCGGAGTATTAACCATGTAGAAAGGAATTATTTGAAGTGATTTACACTCTTGTCTATTTGGTTGTATATCTGCAGTGGGACATGTCCTCAGGACGAAAAGAACTGCAACAAAATATTAAATTGCTTCAGTAGTTATATTGTTAATAATATGTTGGTATGGATTCTTAAAATTTTTTTCTTACATTAACCAGGAAAAGCACAAAATAATTATATTTATGTCATAAGAAATCAAGTTTTTTGACTTAAGATAATTAAATAGAAAATCAAAGACACTACATTTAAAAATCTGTAGCTCTTAACTTGAATTGTAAATATTGGTATAAACTCCTGATGTATTTCTATTTAAAAACGTTTTCTGGATGTGTCCACTGAAAAGGTCTAGAACCAATGATTAACCCCCCCAAGAACAAGGAGCTCCCAAGCATCCATGCTTTCGTATCCAAATGCCTTTTTTATTGAAAGGAACCAGGGTCCTTGAGAGAAAAAAAAAAAAAAAAAGGTTAATTCCAGCCTGGGGCAAGAAATGTTCAAGATGAGGTGGTAACATCTTATCATACCAGAAAGCAAGGAAGCCTTCAAAGACAGCTTAGGCAATGGGAAAAGACTCAAAACACACAGGACTCAACAGGTAAAGCCTCCTACTGGCCAAAGATGAAAAAACTATATTCAAAGATGGATCTAAAAAGAACAATATCCAGGTGTTCAAGACCAGCCTGGACAACATAGTGATACCCTGTCTCTACAAAAAATAAAAAATGAAAAATTAGCTGGGTGTGGTGGTGCACGCCTACAGTCCCAGCTACTCAGGAGGCTGAGGTGGGAGAACCACTTGAGCCCAAGAAGTCGAGGCTGCAGTGAGTTATGATTGCAGCACTGTACTCCAGCCTGGGCAACAGCAGAAGATCCTATTTCAACACAAACAAACAAAGAATAATATCTGCAATGTATTGAAACATAGAGGATATGTCAAAATCCAAGCATTTATAGTGATATTTTAAAAGCTTTGCACTCCCCTTGTAGGATGCCAGGAACCAACTCATTGTTCTGAAAAGTGGCAAATAAAGGTAAAGAATCAAGCATTTATCCCCAGTTTCCAGAAAGCGCTGTACCTTGGGATAACCAAAATAGTTGAGGAGATAAATTTTTTCTTTTTCAAAAGAATTTATAAACAAAGGAGGCATTAGAAGGAGCTAGAATGCCGCCACTTTGTAACCACTAATGAAACAATGAGTCTAGGCAAGGATTATCAATGACTG
Source organism: Homo sapiens (assembly GCF_000001405.40). Taxonomy (NCBI): domain Eukaryota; kingdom Metazoa; phylum Chordata; class Mammalia; order Primates; family Hominidae; genus Homo; species Homo sapiens. Next base: position 35,436,483 of record NC_000021.9, on the reverse strand, counting down.
CTAAAACTGTTAGACAAAATGCTGAAGGGAAGCTTTGGATGAAGCTGGCATCACCTACTCCCAATGGTCAATGCCAATATCACAAAAAGAGAGAGAACCAGATATTACGTGTCTCCAGTTGGATGCAATGGGAAGGACACAGCACATCTCCTGATATACTATCACTCAAACCTTCTAAGCTAAATCTTAGCCAGCCTCTAGATCTCACTACTAGGGCTGTAGAAAACACAAGGGAAAAATAAATCTATCAAGAATCACCATGGGGATACAGTCAGCAACAAGCAAAATGTAGAAAATATGCTCTAGGTTTTTCAACAAACAAATTTTAAGAAAATTAAAAAGAGAAGGATAACATATTAACAGATTTAAGAGGTGCATTCCCAGGTGCAACATAGGAGCCTTGCTCACCCTCCAATTCAAGCACACCAATGATAGAACCAACCTTGATAGATACTTGAAATTTTACACAATGCAAAATAAGTTTTCATTAATTGTATGATTATGTATTTTTATATCTAGACATTTGGTGGACTCTTTTAGTAGCTGTTGGTAGGAGAGGGCTGCCTCTTTGCAGAAGTATTTTTGGAATATGTGTTGAAGTGTATGTATTTCTAAACTTTAGGCTCTAAAGGACTGTAAATTGCTAGAATGTATTTATGTTTCTACTCTACATAATTATGCATTTTTCTTTACATCCTCCTCCAGTTGAAAAGCTCTTTGAAGGCAAGAATTAAATGAATTGTTTTACCAAAAAAATGAAATAAATGATGAACTCAGGTGTTTTTTTGTTTTGTTTTGTTTTCACAAAAAAAAAAAAAAAAAACCAAAAAACAATGCTTGGAAAGTAACATCTGAGTAGCTGCTTTGGGTCGATGGATGAAGCCTAGTAAGGGTTGACCTGTCAAGCTCAGAAGTAGGTGAAATTTATTTCCATCATGGCTAAACCCCATTTTAAGTGTTTGTCTCCTCCATCTGTGATATCCTTTTCAGTCTCATCCACATCTTTTGCTGGAAAAGATGTCTCTTAACCATTGAAAACTGAATGTGGGATTGTTAGTATAACATTTCTCACAGGTATTGTTTTGTGATTGCTATCAATAATTGTGAAATGAAAACTGTTGTCTTCTATTATGGAAATTACAGGGAACATGAGGAGGCGGGAGATTTGGGTTTAGGAGACCTGCCCAGCATCCCATTGCATCAACTTACCTCCTGCAACTATTCATGAAGCTGAGGCTTCTGCCAAGTCAGAGGTGCAGAAATTCTAAGATGCACCCCTGTTTTGTGGGAAAGCAACAATCACGGGTGTTTGACTTTTTCTTCTTGTGATAAAGCTAATTCCTGGATAATTTCTCAGATGTGTCATACCTGCATCTAGGCAACTGAGAGGAAAGAGTTCCAAAGTTCATTGTGCTCTAAAATAAAACCAGTCTCATTAAACCTTAAAACAGATTAAATTAACTTGAACATATTTTACAGCCCTGTGTCACGTGTAGGGGAGGAAAAAACCACTTTTCCCTCTACCATTTTAGGTTTAGTAACTGGGGCATAGAAATTAAACTGACAAGACAGATTAACAGGGAAAATGGCATATACATTTTATTGATGTTAATATTTTTGTGTGCACAGGAGTTGACAACACAAAGAAGTGGTTAGACTCTGGGGCTTATATACCATTTTAACAAAGAGTAATAAACTGCGAAAAAGTACCTGGACAAAGGAAAGAGGAATTGGGCTTCCAGGACTGAAAATTTGTGGAAAAGTAACTAGGAAATTCCTAGGGAAAACTAATGAAGTTGTGATGGTTAGTACTGCCTGTCAACTTGATTGGATTGAAGGATACAAAGCATTGATCCTGGGTATGTCAGTGAGGGTGTTGCCAAAGGAGATTAACATTTGAGTCAGTGGGCTGGGAAAGGTAGACCCACCCTTAATCTGCATGAGCACCATTTAATCAGCTGCCAGCGTGGCTAGAATACAACAGGCAGAAAAATGTGAAAAGAGAGGCTGGCCTAGCCTTCCAGCCTACATCTTTCTCCTGTGCTGGATGCTTCCTGCCCTCGAACATCATACTCCAGGTTCTTCAGTTTTGGAACTCAGACTGGCTCTCCTTGCTCCTCAGCCTGCAGATGGCTTATTGTGGGACCTCGTGATCATGTGAGCTAATATTTAATAAGCTCCATAAATATATATATATTCCCTTAGTTTTGTCCCTCTGGAGAACCCTGACTAAAACCCTGACTAATACAGATTTTGGCACTAGGAGTAGTTCTAGAGGAAAATAATATTAAGGATGGAGTTCTTTCGTTGGTTTTGGGATTTCTGGAGCTGACTGCTTAATATGATTAGATCAAAACATGCTAAGGACTCTACTTCTAATAGTATGGAGAACACTGATAGTCCTTGGTGTGAACTGTTTAGAGAATTATGCAAAATAAATGCATTTGACACTCCTGATTTATCACTCATGAGAGGCAAGGAGTTTAGTGACTCTATACATAATGCATTTGATCATATGTGGAGAACCAAAGAACAGAATGAAGCTGGTTGGTTGCTCTGAAGTTCGCTGGACAAAGTGATGAAATAAAATGATGAACTCAGGGATTCTAGTTCCCAACTTCAGAAGCAGGTACTGAGCCTCAAATCTGCTAAGATTGCCCTGAGTAAGAGTCTTATCTCCTGTAGAGAAAGAGCTGAAATTGTGGAGAAACAGATACAAGCTTTTATCATGCGAGTGTCTGACCTGCAATGAAAGGTGCATACACAGTCTCTCCAGGTGTCTACTGTTAAAGTGAGGGCACTGATTGGGAAAGAAAGGAAACCTGCAACTCGGAATGGAGACATGTGGGGGGACCCTGATGAAGCTGGGGACACTGAGTTTGTAAACTCTGATGAGCCTTTTTTGCCAGAACCAACAACTTCCTCATCCCCATTAGTGGCAACATCCACTCCCCAACCCATGCCATCATGGCCATCAGCCTTTCCCCCTTTGTCTGAGGAGATAAACCCTGCACTGCCTGAGGCAACAGTGATGGCCTCCTCTGAGGCAGTTGCCAGGCAAAATAATGTTGATTCTCCTCAGGAGCCACCCCTAACACCCCTGTTTGCTTCTACATTTGTAACTAGACTAAAGTCCAAGCAGGCCCCTAGAGGTGAGGTTGAGAGTGTGACCCATGAGGGGGTGTACTATGCTCAAAAATAACTGTTTGAGTTTTCTAATTTATATAAACAAATCTGGAGAACAGGCATGGGAATGGATATTAAGGATGTGGGATAATGGTGGAAGGAACACAGAGTTGGATCAGGCTGAATTTATTGATTTGGGCCCACTAAGTAAGGACTCTGCATTTAATGCTGCAGCTCGGGAAGTTAAAAAAGGTTCTAATAGTTTATTTGCCTGGTTAGCTAAAATTTGGATTAAAAAACGACCCCTGTGAGCAAGGTGGAAATGCCTGATCTCTCTTGGTTTAATGTAGAGGAAGGGATCCAAAGGCTTAGGGAGATTGGGATGGTGGAGTGAATTAGTCACTTTAGACCTGCTCATCCCAGCTGGGAGGGTCCAGAAAAATATACCCTTGACCGATGCCTTGCAAAATGGATTTGTGAGGGCAGCACCTGCATCTTTGAAGAGCCCTGTAATTGCTCTTTTCTGTATGTCAGATCTAACGGGGAACCACAGTCACTCAACTACAAAATTTAAATACAGTGGCAATAATTGGATCTTCAGGTGGCAGGGGCCAAGTGGCAGCACTCAACCACCAAAGACAAGGTGGGTGTAGCTACCGTAACGGACAGCCGAGGCAAAGCAGCAATCAGAATAGTCTGACTCATGTAGAGCTCTGGCATTGGGTAATTAATCATGGTGTTCCTAGAAGTGAAATTGATAGGAAGCCTACTGCATTCCTACTTAATTTATACAAGCGGATAACTTCTAGGTCAAATGGATGAAAGTCTAATTTGAATTATAAAAATGGAGAATCACAGCCCCTCAATCAATTTCCAGACTTGAGACGGTTTACAGACCCAGAACCCCTTGAATGAAGGGGAGTCTGGGTTCTTTTGAGGAAGGACCAGCACTACATTACCAACTATTTATGCAGTGACTCTTTCTCCCATCCTTCCCCAAGGAGACCTCCAGTCTTTTACCAGGGTTAACTGTTCACTGGGAAAAGGGAAATGATCAGACTTTTTGAGGACTACTGGACACTGGCTGTGAACTGACGTTCATCCAAGGGGACCTTAAATGTCACTGTGGTCCTCCAGTTAAAGGAGGGGCTTATGGAGGTCAGGTAGTTAATGGAGTTTTCTATTAATCTAATCTATTCCATTAGTTCTGTCCCTCTAGCGTTCTGTCCCTCTGACTAATACAAAAGTTAAGGATAATTTTAAAATTTGTTTATGCAGACTCATCTCAGTGTCAATTATATTTCTTCAGTGATAAAGGTCATTCTTTTCATCCTGGTCCAGGGGGACTGGGGAATATATGACTCTTTCACAAGAGGAAATTTATACCCTGTTTTTAGGCAGATAAGGGGAGGGCAGAGAACTTTCCCTGCTTCTGTTGATTCGCAGTTGCCTTCAGCTCAAAATAATACTCATGCTAAAGTGGCATATTTTGGGGTGGCATATTCTGGACTCCTTCACACCATCTAGTGATCAGGAATGGAAAAGTTCATCTTACAGTGTACACAAAACTCTTATCTCTGAGAAATTCAATTCCTTTGATGGTACAATTGACCAACCTAAGGCAGCATTTAGGTTTCAGCACTCCTCTGTGCATCTTTCCCTGGTATTTTCCACTCTGCAAAAAATCTTCTAAACCAGCATCTTAAGAGTATGCAGGTCGTCAGGGAGATCAAAGCTGATGCTGGCTGAGAACATCTGGGTCTAAGAATGCCAACCCAACTGTCACCACCAACTCCACTACTCGGCATTCATTATGGTGCATGGTCCTTTTAGAGGAATCAGCGCAAATATGTTACTAAAATCATCTTGCTTTCTTGAAAAACTTTGGGAACAAATTGAGTACATGGTTTTCCCACTCACAGTCCTCAGTAATCATCTTTTCTGCCTATTTTTATTTTTCAGAGACTTCTGGGAGACTTATGGGGTGGCTTCTTAAACTTGATATGAATAGCAGCTGGAAAAAAAAAAGATGCGTAGAGATGTTGGTTGTGGGTATGGTAACTGTTTTGTTCTCTGCTAGATTTTATTTCTGTTGTTGTAACAGAGAAGAAAATTAGCAACTCACTTGTTCTAGTGATTTGAGGATGTTGCATGGGAACTAAAAGCTGGGTTTTCCAAGTTTTTTTTTTGACTGTAAAATATTCTGTTTTATTATGAAGATCATGGTTAATTGATGGCATTATCCTTTTGCTATTTAATACAAAAATAAGCATCAAAAGAAACATTCTTGTGGCTTAATAGGCTTTTATATTTTTTTCTCCTTTTTATTTTATTGCCCTTTTAACACATGCTTGAATTCTTTCCTTTTCCATGAATGTAAGGTGCCTTTTACTGCACATTGGCCCTACTCATTGTTTTCTGTGTTTCTCATTTGAGTGAAATCACTGGGCCTCAGAATTTTTGTTTGATTGTTTTCATTCTGTTCTTAGAAGGTAAAATCTTGCTTTTGAACTGTATAGTATTTTCTACATTTTATTAAGTTTTCTTAGAATTGTCATTTCATAATTAAGCACTTTAAAATATTGGAAGGTAGCTATTTGGATGGTATAGTCCTACGTCGTTTATTATTGGTAACGGAGGGACGCGTTTACAAATTTAGCCAGGATGCTCCCAGTAAGTAAAAACCATTTTTTTCCAGTTGTGAGCAGTTCTCATGCCACAACAAGTAGAACTATTCCAGATTAACACTTATTTGCCTGGGTTCTGGTAAGAGAATAAAATAGGTTAGCTACAGTCTCAGGAACACATGAGAAATAAGATGAACTTCGGGTATAAAAGAAGGAAGGAAGGAGTGAAAGAGAAAAGAAAAAGGAAGGAAGGAGGGGAAGGGAAAGGAGAAAAGAAAGGAAAGAAAGAAAAGAAAGGAAAGGGAAGGAAGGAAGGAAGGAGAAAGGAAGGAAAAAAGACAAAAACAAATACAAATAGCTAAGGAAAGAAAAGGCTATCGTTCTTTTAGCAAAGTTCGTCAAAGTCTATTAGGGAAACCTTCATTCAGAAGGACATATTTGCAATTTGCTTTTTAATCTAGAGTCTCTGAAATAGGATTACTAGATAAAATATAGAATGTGCAGTTAAATTAGAATTTCTGATAAGCTACAAATAATTTTTTGGTAAAAATGTGTCCAAATGCTTCTTGGGACATACCAAAAAATTGTCCATTGCTGCTCTGAAATTTAAATTTGACTGGGTGCCCTGTATTTTTATTTGCTATATCTGGTAACTCTATTTTGGATAAATTAAGTGGGATATTAGTTTTTTGGTTCTTTGGAAAATACTGATACTCCTTAAGTTTACTGTGGCCCCCACCTCTTCTGCGAACTCTGTTGGGATTTTCTTCACTCTCTGGTGGCTTCTTTTAGCCTTGCCTGGATGGCACACTTGTTTAAAAAATGGCTTCTTACAGTTTAGTGTGTGTGCAGATCACTCAGACATCCTGTTAAAATCCAAATTTTGATGCAGGGGTCCTGGGGTGGGACCTGAGTCTGAATTTTAACAAATCCCAGGTGATGCTGATGTTGCTAATCTTTGGGTTGCATTTTGAGCAAAGTGTCTAGACCTAAGTCTTTGGCTGGCTATGGTGGCTCACGCCTGTAATCCCAGCACTTTGGAAGGCCGAGGCAGGCAGCTCACTTGAGGTCAGGAGTTCAAGACCAGCCCAGCCAACATGGTAAAACCCTGTTTCTACTAAAAATACAAAAATTTGCTGGGCATGGTAGTGCATGCCTGTAGTCCCAGCTACTCAGGAAGCTGAGACAGGAGAATTGCTTGAACCTAGGAGGCAGAGATTGCAGTGAGCCGAGATTGTGCCACTGTACTCCAGTTTGGGCAAGAGAGTGAGATCCTGTTTCAAAAAAAAAAAAAAAAAAAAAAGACCCAAGTTCTCATTTCAACTAATCATAAATAAAACTATAAAACAATCATAAAATATTTCTCTGCGCTTACTTTTTTAATTTTTGTGGGTTCTTTGTGCTTTCAGTTTGCCAGAGAAAATGCTAAATGTTATGCCTTTTGTTAATGGAAGAAAACTGTATTAGGTTGTGAGAAAGTTCTGGAAAAGCACATGTGATTTATTCCAGGAATTGGTTATTAGATTGTTCATTCTTTCACATTTCTGGAAGGACCCAGATGTGTCATTAGAATAATCACATGATTGTATTTGGTTAACAGGCCATCCCAGGAGCCAAGTCCTAAAATGTATCTGTTACCAAGCATGAACACCCTGCTCCAAGTAATTTTTTAAAATAACACTGAACCTTGTTATGGAAGAGCATGTTGAAATGATTTCAGCATCTGCCTAAAAGGGCTCAAAAAGTCTTTTTAAAATGAAAATCCCAGATTAATTTCTGAAGTTTTTTGTTGTCGGGTATTTTGAGCCTTACAGTGGCAAAACCCCAGTGAAGGAGGGGTGATGCCTGTCACTCAGGAGCGCCTTTATTCTTACCACGGCTCCTGCCTAATTCCCATCACCTGGCCCACAAGCAGCGGGCTTCTCTCTTGCACTGGATGAAAACGCTGGGGATTAAATCATCCCCATGTGGGAAGCATCCTGTCTGCTGGTGACCCCCCGCCACTACTGTGCTGAGAGTCGGGCAGCCAAAGATGTGTTGACAGGGTGTGTGTCTGCTTCTTCTCCCAGCGTCTGATGTGGCTTCGGTGTCAGACATGGGGCAGACAGGGAGGGGGAGGAAGCTGGCACAGAGGAACAGGGGACGGGAACAACTGCTAGACAACTCTTCTGGCAGAAACTTAACTGTTAAAACTTTTGCTGTCAGAGGGAATTTTGAGAAATGAAGCTGGCTAAATGATGAGTTGAAAATGTGTTTCCTTTGAGAGTTGAATGCCATCTTATTGGAGACTCTTTGGACTGAGGTTTGGATGGTTTGAGGTCCACCTCTCTCCCTGTTGGGAATCTCTTAAGACCCAAATAAAAATGAGGGTTGTTTTTTATTGTTTTGAATACACAGAAACCCATGGAATAGGAGAAACTGTGCAAAAGGGGCAGTTAAAAAGTCATCTCCAAGGTTAGATGAGAGTATTGTGTCAATGATCATTTCCTGACTGTGATAACTGCACTGAGCTTATGTAAGAGCATGTCCTTCTTAGGACATACACACTAAAGTGTTTAGTAGAGAGGCATCTTGTCTGTAATTTACTCTCAAATGATTCATAAGGTAGAAAATGACAGAGCAAAAATAACAAAATGTTAATAATTGAGAAATCTGGTGAAGACATAAAGGAGACCTTTGTGGTATTTTGTAATTTTTTGTAAGTTTGAAATTATTTCCAGATAAAAAGGTCTTTAAAAAAAAGTCATATAATTTCTGCAGAATGCTGTTTGCTGTCCAGCCCGGTCCCTCGTATCACCTCCTTTCTGGAATTCCTAGAGCATGTGCCTCTTGCCTTCACAGCCAACACTGAGCTGAGGCTGCTCAGTTCATCTCCCGGAATTTGTGTCATAGCTCCCGGGCTGGCGGGTAAAACCCAGGGGGAATGGGCTATCTCACGGAGTCTCAGAATCTAGCACAATGAAAGCCATCAATAAACATTCTTTTTTTATTTTTTATTTTTATTTTTTTGGCTGATGCTCAAACAACCTTTCCCTTCGTTGTGATTTGCTTATGGGAAAGGGAAATCTCTAGCAACATATGGCTAATAGAATTATCTAAATTACTAGGTGTGTGTGTACTGGAGGAGAGTTTACACATTGTCCGCCATCCCACAGTAGGGCTAATTCACACATCTCTCAGTGGGGGCTCACTTACTCCTAGAATGTACACTATCTTCCTGGGTAGAGAATCTAGCACTTTCAAAACAGCTTGATTCCACAAAGAAGGGCGCTGAACCACAAAGAGGATAAATGACTGGGGGATATACAATAAAAGGAACAGAAAAAGAGTTAACACTCAATTTGTATCAATTTGATGACTTTCCATGATCCCAAGAAAGATACCTTTAATCTCCTCCTCTTTTCATACAAGAAAATTCTTGAAAATGTTTAGTTTCAGCTTATCATGAAATGTAGTAATTTTTCCTATAAATGCTAAGAAGCTTAAAGTATTTTAAGTCTATGAAATTAACAACTTAAGGTGTTCTTTGACGTGATTTCCATGCAGGATGAATACTCCCCATGCACATTAATTTCAATATCGTAAGCTGTCTTCTTCCTTTCTCACCAAAATTGAGGTGGTCAAAATGAATCATTTGGGGAATTTTTAACCTCAAAGATCTCTAGGAGCATGTAAACTCTCTAAGATCAGCATTTGTCTTTTCTTTGGGGTAGAAACATTTAGTTTGGTTTAGAGTTGTCTTTTTTAGATTTCTAGAGTGTTTAGATAATTCAGTTTTTTCCTTAGAATGTACTATGCTTTTTGAAGAATAGGGGTTTACAATTCTGCTTTAGAGCTTACTAACTCGCTGTTACTTCTATCTGTACTAAATTGCTGGTCATTGTTTTTTAAGGTGCTCTGTTTATACTTTCTGAGCTTTCTTACCATGAACTCTTAGTCTATCTCGTTCCTCACTAAGGAAGAGTCATTTGTTGCTCAGAGCCCCCTCTGCAGTTATACATTCCCATGCAGGAGGTGGGAGTACAGGGCTTCTGGGAGGGCTGATAGATGCTGCAGGCTTCTCATTAGGAGACAAGACAGCATTGGAACGAAGGAGAGCAGTGGGGAGGGGCTGGAGGATCTGGGAGCATTAAATAGCTCTCTGAGTGAGAACAATTAGTGATGTAAGTGTCTTCTTGAAAATGAACTGCTTTGGGGTGAGATTACTTACAAGCACCATCATCCCAGCTAAAATCTCCATAAAGAGTTCCGCAGTTCTGAGAAGTCATCTTTAGAGACGATGCTTATTGGAATTCATAGATAGTATTTCATTTTGTACTCTCTGAAATTAGCTAATGTTCTGGTCACTCCAGAGCCTTTAAAAATGGCCCCAATCCCAAGGGCTTTCATGAAGGGAAGTCTGGAAGTGCAGGGCTACAAATGCGTGGCTATTTGTGATTATTTATTTTAAGTCAGCATCACCATCAGCATCTTTTTTTTTTTTTCCTCTCAACTGGATGTAACGTTTCCCTTTTCATTATCAAGAAATGAGCAATGCTTTCAACATAGCAAAAGTACAATATGAGTTTTTTTACTTCTAATTTTAAAATATAAAATTGAACTTTTTAAAAAAGTATTTTTTCATCTAATTGATTTAACTTACCAAATTTCATTTTAATAAGCCCAAGAGGGGAGAGAGATAGGTGATATTTTCTGATAACATATTGACACAGAAGCCCTGGAGAAGTGCTGGTGTTATTTTTACTTGTTTACATACAGGAAATATACTGTATAGCCCGTGGAACATCAGTTGAGATGGGATAGATTTCTGAGTTTTGAGGAAAAAAAATCACCTTTTGCTGAAATATTGACACAGTTTTAATGTGGTTTTGACTTTTTATTTTAATTATATTTAAATACAGCATTTTATCAAATAAAATGAAGCCTGACACATTTTTCAAACTATTTCATATTTTGATACTTTATGTAGGAAGAGCTTCCAGTGCTTTCAATATGTAGAAAATGTGCATAACATTGATAATTATATCTACTCAAAGTTTTCAGTGACCATTGGAAAGAGCCGAAACAGCCCTGTGATTTATCAGGTGCTTTGGATAATGTAAGGATCATAAACCTACAACTCAGTCCATAAAGCACTATATCTGTCTGGCCCAGATAATTGTTTCTAAAGTATTTCTAAAACGCTTGTTTAAAACCCTCCCAAGACATTGATATATTTTTGAATATCATATTCGTTTTATTTTTAATATTATGACGTTAATTTAGACTTTACTAGTAGTTCAATACCTTATTTTAAATTGATTGGCAGATGAAAAGGGCACTTAAATACTTATTAAACAACGTTGTACTTTTCAAAGTACGTCTTGGCTCCATATACACAAAGCTATGCCAATTCTTGAGCCCAAGTCTGGCCTGAGGCATGGACTGCTCTGAATGGCCAGGCTGCTGTCAGGGCCCATAGGAAAATAGGGATAAGTGGGATCAGTCCCAGCCAATGTGGTTAGTCTGAGGGTGGGTGAGAGGTGGTTTCTAAAGGAAAATATTTGCATTAAAACAACAACAACAACAACAAGGAAATGGGTGCTGAGTAGGCAAAACCAACAGGTGTCCATTTGGTCAGAAAAAGTTTTTTATTTATTTTATTTATTTAGTTTTTGAGACGGAGTCTCGCTCTTTTACCCAGGCTGGAGTGCAGTGGCGCGATGTTGGCTCACTGCAAGCTCCACCTCCCGGGTTCACGCCATTCTCCTGCCTCAGCCTCCCGAGTAGCTGGGACTACAGGCGCCCGCCACCACGCCCGGCTGATTTTTTGTATTTTTAGTAGAGACGGGATTTCACCATATTAGCCAGGATGGTCTCGATCTCCTGACCTTGTGATCTGCCCACCTCGGCCTCCCAAAGTGCTGGGATTACAGGTGTGAGCCACAGCGCCCGACCCAGAAAACATTTTACCACAATTGACCTAACATTTGCTGATCATCAAATAAATGCACATTTAAAAAATTTTGGTGCATTTCTCATGAGAATGCTTTGGCGTATCAAGGACATTTTTCCCTGTACCAAACTAGAAACCAAAAGATGAAAAGGATTGTCTAAGCCAGACAGACTCTTCAGTCAAAACAGGACTGGTTTTGTGAGGTTGCTTTGGGTCCTGTCTCTCCAAGGACTGCATATTTCCTTCTTCGAGCTTTCTTAGTCTTGAAAAATTCATCACCTCACCTTATTCACCCATTATTGCTTCTTGTCTTAAGGTCTTGCCCTGCTTAACAAGTAAGGTCCTTCAGAGCGGAAACCACGTATTGAGTTTCTTTATTCTCCATTACACACTGCTTGGCATATGAAAGACAGCAAATAAATTCTTGGTTACATAATTTTTGCAAATTGGAATAACATATTCTCTAATACACTAGTGAAAGTCACATTACAAGAGACGAGATTGCACAACTTTCTCACATATCAAAAATAGCTCAAATGAATGTTCTGAAGGCCAGCAAGTCCTTATTATTAATTTAAAGATTTTCATATTTTTACTTGATTCAGGGTATTTTAAGTGTCTCATTTCAAAAAATAGTATGCTGCTGTCTTAATATACATTTTACAAGTGATGTCAGAAGGTGAAATGAGAAAACAGGAACAACTTCCATGGAAGATGGTTGTGCTCCATCCAACTCTTATAGTGAAGATTATTGAAGAAATGGCTAATTTCTATTTTTACCACTACTACTCCCATCATCTCTGTCATCAACATCCTCAATACCATGTTTCTTGAGTTCCTGCCATATAGTGAATAAGACTTTCTTCCTTGGTTGTGAAAAATAAGAATTTCCCCAGAGGAAAGACCTAGCTCAACAGGAAATACCCAGCTCTTCAAAACTGGATTAATCACTGCTCCTAATGGAACAGCTGGACCTTCTTACTCTGGTGGAAACAGAAAACTTTTATTTCTTATTCTTGGCAGTAATTAGTTGGCTGACTGTATCATAATCAGGTCCTGGTGATGAGTTTAAGGAGCATCGATTTTCAAGGTGAGCTTCTAGTTGCAGATGTTGGCTGACCCAGGTCACATTGGCCTGTGGGTACAAATGCAGCTACATTCCTCATTGTGTTCATTTCCCAGGGCTGCTGTAACAAAGTCCCACAAATTGGGTTGCATTAAACAACATAAATTGATTATCTCTTAGCTCTGAAGGCTGGAAGACTGAGATCAAGGTGTCAGCAGGGAAGGTTTCTTCTGAAGCTGTAGGCTGAATCTTGTGTGCCTCTCTCCTAGACTCTGGTGGATTTCTGGCAACCTGGCATTACTTTGGCTTATGAAGCATCACCCAGATATCTGCCTTCATCTTCACATGGTGTTCTCCCTGTGTGCATGTCTATGTTTCCATTTTTTTTCTTTTTAAAAAGACACGGTCTTGCTTTGTCACCCAGGTTGAAATGCCAGTAGCACAATCATGGCTCAATGCAGCCTTGACCTTCTGGGCTCAAGCAATTCTCCCACCTCAGCCTCCTAAGTAGGTAGGACTACAGGCATGTGCCATCATGCCCAGATAATTTTTTGCATTTTTCGTAGAATCAGGGTCTTGCAATGTTACCCAGGCTGGTCTTGAACTCTTGGGCTCAAGCAGTCTGCCTACCTTGGCCTCCCAAAGAGCTAGGATTACAGGAAAGAGCCACTGCATCCACCAAATTTCCTCTTTTTATAAGGACATCAGTCATTTTGGCGTAGATCTAAGCCAGTATGATCTCATCTTAACTAATTATATCTGCAATGATCTTATTTCAAAGTAAGGCCACTTTCTGGGGTACTAAGCTTCAACATACAAACCTTGGGACATGGGGGACACAATTCACTCATAATAATAGGAAAATTATTTTCCACATTTTGCTGTCACCTCCCCTAGATGACATTACCTCACCTCCTCATCTCTAGTTCTCAGTTTAAGTCTCCCTCACATATTTCTGAGCAAGTATTTACTAGTGAATGATGGTGCTCTCAAATACACCCATCAAACACTGCTTTCTGTTACCACCAGCCTGTTCACAGAGGACCTCTGCCTCTTCTCCTAGGTACCCTGGCTCTCCTGGGCACCAGCACTCGTGCCCTGGTTCCTTCTGCCCATGACCACTGGCACACCAGCACTCTACAGCATCTCTGGGTCTTGGGGTGATGAGGCTAGTCTGTTTTCTGGAGTTCTCTCCACCCAAGGTGCCTTCTTAAGTGTGGAGAAGCTTCTCTCCCACTTGGTCACTGTGTGCCATGAGAGGATCATCAAGGCAGGACCTACGCACAGATGTCTTAGGAAATCTGTAGTGAAAACAGACCCTGCTACATTCAGAAAGTTCAGGAAGCAGGCACTTGGTCAAGCCAGCCTTATCTGCTTACCTTTGTATTACATCTGCACATGCTTTTTTCCAGAATGTTCCTGGGTCCTGCATGCAAATTGACTCCAGGCAGCTGCACCCCACCATTCTGCCAGACATCCTCAGACAGGTCTGAACACTCCAGAAAGTGGTGGAATGCATCTGTGGGTCTTCTTTTAGCACTCCATGTTTCTCTTAGCACCATCCCTTCTAAGTTCACCCAGCACCCTCCTGCTTTTTATCCCTAAGTTTGAATCTGATCATCTTCTCACAGGGATCAAATAAACTGATGATTGCTGTAATCTGACATGATGTGGAATTTGAATTTTAAAAGAAGAAAGGGTAGTGAAGAATAGGCATGAATTTCTAATGGTAGACTTTGGATGCTATGGCAGTTTGAGTGGGAAAAGTATGGGTGCTTTCATGAACCAGCATGCACCTGTGTGCATGTGTGTGTACCTGGCATGTTACTCTGGAGCTTTTCTTCAAATTCCTAGTCCGAGGGTGTCACTTCTGGCGCCACTGAGAGCAGCAGTTTGCTCATGTTTCTTGCCTTTGAGCCCTTTCTTCAATTGAAACCTTACATAGATGTAAGTGGAACCTCTCACACAGGCCCCAGGTCAATCCATATAGGTTTGAATTTTGGCTTCTCAATTTTTCAATTGTATGATCGTAGTCAATACCTGAATACCTTGTGCCTCAGTTTCCTCATCTCTAAAATGTTAGAAACATTCTACTTAACTCATTTAGGTCAATGCACATAGAGTGTGTGAACAGTGCCTGCCACATGGAGCTTCTGGCTAGAGGGTAGATGAGGGTGAGTTCCCAGCAGCTCAGGCAGGTTCCTGATGTGGCTTGAATGTTTGTCCTCTCCAGATCTCATGTTGCAATATGATTCCCAATGTTGGAGGTGGGGTTTGGTGGGAGGCGATTGGGTCATGGGGGTAGATCCCTCATGAATGGCTTAGCGTCATCCTCTTGATGATGAGTGAGTTCTTGCTTAGTTCACATGAGAGCTGGTTGTTTCAAGGAACTTAGATCCCCCTCCTTTCTCTCTTGCTTCCTCTCTGGCCATGGGATACCAAAGTGTCCCGCTTTGCTCTCCGCCATTAGTAAAAGCTCCCTGGGGTCTCCCCAGAAGCCGAGCAGCTGCCAGCACCATGCTTCCTGTACAGCCTGCAGAACCCTGAGCCAATTAAACCTCTTTTTCTTTATAAATTTCCCATCTTGTATGTCTGTGTAGAAATGCAAGAGTGGTCTAATCCAGTTCCCTTCCTCTTCGAAAAGTGTCCTTGAAAGAACATTTTGAAGGAGAATCCCCCTGGGGTGACTCCTTTTGTAATTTCTGCAGAAGGATGAGGCAGGATCAGCTGGGATCTCAAGAAAGAAAATTGTGCCAATGTTCCCTGAGTGACATAATGCCTTTCTTTTGTGCTTCTCGTTTTTAAGACATTGACTGCCTTGGTGAATCATTCTAATGTCTCATGGTGGGCAGCATGCTTGCTGTGTGGAGAAAGTCCCAGGGCCCGCCTGCTCCAGCCACTACTGCTCTTGCTCCCATTTCTACCCACTTCCCTTGGCTATGCTCATGAAAAGTGTATTGGCAAATATTGTGATTCTTGGAAATACCCAGTGTCCAAGAGCATGTAGGGAAACAAGCTTTCTCACATGCTGTTGTGGAATGAAGCTTTGTGGGAGGCAGTTTGACAGTATCCATTATGATTTGTTAAGTGCACATACCTTCTGAGCAGCAGGTCCACTTTGTTGAATGTATGCAACAGAAATATCTATATTATCATGTTAAAATAATACAATATTATCATGTAACAGTATCATGTCATATATGGATATAAAATCTATATCATCATTTATCATATAAAATAATGTTTTTATTTGTATGTATCATTATTCATGATAATGGAAAAATAAGGAAAAATCTGTATCAATCAGAAGCTGGTTATAGAAATTACTGTGGCTAAACTGTAATGGTTACATTTAATTTCATGGTTATTGTTGGTTAATTTCATGTGTTGCCCGGGTAGGCCATGGTGCACAGTGTTTGCTTAAACACCAGTCTACATGTTACTGTGAAGCTATTTTTTAGCTATGATTAAACTTTAAATTGTAGACTTTTAGTAAAGTGTATTACCTGCCATAACATGGGTGGGCCTCATCCAATCAGCTGAAGGCCTTAAGAGAAGAAGATTGAGATCCCCAGAGGAAGAAGAAAATCTACTTCCAGACTGCCCTCAGACCAGAGCTACAGCATCAGCTCTTCCTTGGGACCCAGCTTGCCAACCTGCTTGTAGAATCAGGACTTGCCAGGCTCTACAATCCCCTGAGCAAATACCTTAAAATAAATCACATTATCTATCTGTCTGTCTATCTGTCTGTCTATCTATCTATCTATCTATCTATCTATCTATCTATCTATCTATCTGTCTGTCTGTCTATCTACCATCTATCTGTCATCTGTCTACCTATCAGTCAATCCTCTGTGTATCAAATCTCTATCCATCCATTCTTACTGGTTCTGTCTCTGGAAAGTCCTGACTAATACAGATACCATGGCGTTGCCTTAAAATGAAGCACTACCATATTTTCTGATACAAATTTTTTCTCTGAATATATTGCTAATTGAAAAAAGCTGGTTGCAGATCTATATACGTATGCGTAGTTCCAAACGATGTCCTAGCTGTTGACTTGTATTTTTGTGTTTTCTTGCTGTGTTGCCCAGGCTGGGCTACAGTGGCATGATTATAACTCACTACAACCTTGAACTCCTGGGCTCAAGCAGTCCTCCTGCCTCAACCTCTCCAGTAGCTGGGACTACAGGTGAGAGCTGAGACACCACAGCTAGCTAATTTTAAATTTTTTTTTTAAGTAGAAACAAGATCTTGCTATGTTGCCCAGGCTGATCTTGAACTCCGGTCCTCAAGCGATCCTCCCACCTCGGACTCCCAAAGTGCTGGAATTACAGGCATGAGCCACTATGCCTGGCATCTTGACTTTTTATATATGTCATGCTACCTTCTGGGACTGTCTCTTCTAGTGCAGGCCCACTTTCTTTCCTGGTCTCAAGGCCAACTCCCTCCTTTCAGCTTTGCCTAATTTTATGGCTCACAGGCTTTTTCTGTCTCCTGTTATTTGTGTGAACTTAACCATGACTTTTTACTTGTTTTAATCGCTGTCCCATCATGGCATTTGGCAAATAGTTATGTCCATCACTCCCAGCTGTTTCCAGTCTCCCACTTGTTTCTACTCTCCCACGTCTACCTCAAATCCTGGCTTAGGTCCCCCCGGATGGCACCTTCCCCAGGCTTCTGGAACATTACTTTGCCTGTGCTCCACTTAGCTGGTCCCCAGTCCTCTCTGCTCCCATTATACGCTGCCATCTATGACCATGCCATTGGCAAAACACTCAGGAAAAAATGAGCATATATGAGACACAACTGATACACTCCTCTTCCAAGGTTATCACAATGTATTGATGATAGTATGAGGTTATCACTAACAAGGCCAGGATTAGAGTGATGTAAGAGGGTTAGTCATAAAAGTTCCGGGCTGGCCTAATCTCCATTTATAATTTTGTTATTTTGTTCATCATAATTGTTTGGATTAGTGTTGACTTTTTAAATATTGCATTAATATTCATCTTGATTTATGAGTTTTGTGCCTTTGAATTTGCACCTCAGGCAAGCACCATAACTCAGCCTTGGTTACTATAAGCATCTCCAGCCAAATAAAGAATGCAGCAAATGTTCTCCATAATAACTTCAAAAAACAGGAAAAATAATGAATATTCAACTTTAATTGGATAGTTAAACACATAGTTTAGGCTTAAGAAAAACTTTAGAAAACTTATGTATATTCTCTTTTCCTATTTGATTTCACTTGGTCAAAGAATTCGTGAAGCTAGTATCAGCCTTGAGATCTCCAGCACCTGGACAATGATGTAGCTCTTGGAGGAGGGCTTGTTAAAACATTGTTGGGCCTCATAATAGACTTTTTTAATTCAGTAGGTCAGGGGTGGGGCCTGAGTACTTGTTTTTCTTTTTTTTTTTTTAACTTTTAAGTTCAGAGGTACATGTGCAAGTTCGTTACATAGGTAAACGTGTGTCATGCGATCTGTTGTATAGATTATTTCATCACCCATGTATTAAGCTTAATATCTATTAGTTATTCTCCCTGGTCCTCTCCCTGTTCCCACCCTCTACTGTCCAATAGGCCCCAGCAATCCCATTATTGGGTATATACTCAAAGGAATATAAATAATTCTATTATAAAGACACAAGCACATGTATGTTCATTGCAGCACTAGTAACAATAGAAAAGACATGGAATTGACCTAAGTGTCCATCGGTGATAGACTGGATAAAGAAAATGTGATACATACACACCATGGAATACTATGCAGCCATGAAGAATGAGATTATGTTCTTCATAGGGACATAGATAGAGCTGGAAGTCATTATCCTTAGCAAACTAATGCAGGAACAGAAAAATCAAATACCGAATGTTCTCACTTGTAAGTGGGAGCTAAATGACGAGAACACGTGGACGTGTGGAAGGAAGAACTTGCTTTTCTAACAAGTTCCTGGGTGATGCTGTTTGTCCAGGGACTACACCTGGAGAACCACTACTGTATCCAGAGCTGTCATTTTCAAATTACCCTGGAGCCTTGGGTAGAGAGGTGGGGAAAGGTCACTCCTGGTCACTCATAAAACACAGGCATTTTGAATTTTTATTGATTCAGTAAGATGTTGAGACTTGATGAACCTTCTATTATTTTTTAAACAAGTATTTAGATAACAAGTGTATGCACACATCATAAAATTTCCTTGTAGTTTATATTCTTGTAGGGCAGCCTGTTGATCTTTCCTTGATTAGTTTTAGCTGAAAACTTGTTCACTACAACACAGAAAACTCAGTGCCCATGAGGTTGAGCAGCGGGCGCACTGTGTGAAACATGCTCAGGTCCATAAAACGGGGTGATGCCATTTGAGTCATTGCTTCATTCATTACTTATTTAAGGATTAAGCTGGAATTGAGACATTGATATCAAAATCAGATAAGCTTGTAACTGAACCAGTTAAAGAAGGTGTCAAAAAAAGAAAACGTCATCAATTTTAGGAGAATGGCTGTGGGCTATTTGGTGGGGAGGAAAAACACACCAACGTTATTTTGTTATTTTACAGCACAGAACAACAGCTTTTATCTAGGCAGGCCCAGAAGGCAGTTGAGAGGTGAGACTGCCAGGTTGGGTGATAGTCCCCATTGTGAAACCACGTTTATCTCATCCTTGACAGATACTTCAGTTAGATGCGATCAAATGAACAAATTGCTGTGCTGAAACAAAATGCTGTGTGTAATATCTCTCTGTAACATATAAAGATGTTTTGATAAAAAAGAAGGAACAAACAGGAAAGGTGACCAGGCAGGTTGAGAATCACAGAGACGTCTGGAAGGATAACAAGCCCTTCTACCTGAGGATCATTTCTCTAATAGGTGAAACGTGGAGGTTGTGATGATAGCTCAGATTTGATCCCAGGGGTGATTAGGATCAGAAGGGGAATAGAGCTGATACATGTGGTAGCCTATAGAACAGTGAAAGCAGGACGACTGAGTGAGGGATGTAGGGAATAGAATGTCCTGAACCAATGTTTAACCTGGCCTCGGGGGATATTCAGTGGATGATGCCTGGGCAGTCCAGGGTGAAGTGATGGTCTATAGGAAAGAATCAAAAGAGATTAAGTATACAGTGCAAGTGTGAAGGACTGACACGATTGGAATGTCACTTTACAAACACAAAAATTGGGTGGAATTTTAAAGAACATGTTGCTCATAAGTATATGCATGGATGTATTCTCTTTCCAGTGGTTGTTTGAAAAACAGATTCCGAGCCCCCCACAAGACCTTCTATATCAGGTTCCGGGTTCCTGGAATTTCTATTATTTAAAAGCATCCTAGGGGATTCAGATACAACCCATTAAAGGGCAAGGTTTGGAAATCAAAGCTCTAGTGGACAATTAAAATGTGATGTAAAACATCAGGAATGACATATTAATATATATGTATTGATTAATGATGGCCTCTCAGCAACATCACGACAATGGGCTGTTTCACGACAGCCATTTGTAGATGCATTCAGTGTGTACAAGCATCATTTTCAAACTTTTTATTTGAAAATAATTTCTAACTAAAAGGCATGTTACAAAAATGAAAATAACATGAAGAGCAGACACGAATCATTTAGCACACACATTTTTACCATTTGCTTTGCCTTTGTGTTTTTTCTCTCTCCATTCAAATGTACATGTGCACACACACATATGCATACACGTGTGTTCACACACACGTACCTGTTTTTCTGAACTATTTGAGGGTAAGTTACGTATATCATGCCCTTTTATGCCTAAATTCTTCCTGGGCTATTTCCTAAGAATAAGGATATGTTCTTACATAATCATGGTACACTTATCTACTTTGGTATTTTAACATTGATAACATGTTTTATCTAATCTACCATTTATGTTCCAAATGTGTCCGTTGACCCAGTAATGTCCTTTAGAGCATTTTTCCTGCAGTACAGGATCCCTCTGGTATCAGGTAGTGCATTTCATCGTCTTGTCTTTTTAGTTCCCCTGTTGAATCAGGAATATTTCCACAGGCTTTCTTTGTGTTTGAGATGTTAACATTTTGAAGAATATAGTCAGCCCATGCCCCTGCTTATTTTAATAGAACATTTCTCATCGTGGGCTTCTCTGATTTTTTTCTGTGTGTGATTACATTCAGGTCATGTGCTCCATGCTGAAATACTACATAGGGAATGGTGTGTCCTTCTCAGAGTACCATATCTGGGGACACTCAACGGCCATCCAGCCCTCTTTGGTGATGTTAACATTGATCACTTGGTTAAAGTGGAGTTTGATATCTTCACTGTTGAGTTACTATTTTTCTCTCCTTTGCAACTAATAAGCAGTCAATGGGATGACATTTTAAGACCCTGAAAATATCCTGATTCTCATAAAAAAAAATCCCTTTAGATTTAAATACACGCATTGACAATACTTGCCTGATCCAGTCTTTGCCATGATTATTGCAGAATGCTGATTTTCCAACTCCGACATGCTTTCCACATCTGTCAGTCAGATTTTGGCATTCTACTATAGGATCCATCCCTCTCTCCTTACTTTTTATGCCTGTGTATTCATGAATTCCTATTTGTCAATAGTTCATTATTCTACTTGCATTATTTTGGGATTCCAGTTGTCCACAATTTGGCCACTGGGATCTCCGTTGGTGGCTCCTGTGTCCTTACAACATAGTTCTCTCATTCTATAAGCTACTTTCTTCCTTTCCAGCTCATGCTGACCTACCCTGCCCCAAGCCCTGGAATTAGCTATTCCTCTGAAGAGCTCTTGTTCCTTTTAGTGGGGGATGGCATTTGCAGTGAAGAGCTGAGCTCTAGGAGTACTCATAGCTACTGAATGTCTTTGTTTTTGTTAAACATGACCGAGGCAGATCTCAGTCGATTCAAAGGTTTATTTTGCCAACGTTGAGGATGCACCTAGGAAAAAGAAACACAAGTCACAGTAGGATCTGTGCTTTTTCCAGAGGGTTTAGAGGGCTTCAATATTTAAAGTGGAAAGAACCAGCAGGAGGGCCAGGGGGAGGGTAGGCAATGAGGCAAGTGGTTTCATGCTTGTGAGGCTCTGATTGGCACTCAGTGGATCTACATTTTACATGTGGAGAGAAAGGAGTGGGAGGAAAAGTCAATTGTGCATTCATCTCGGGCTCAGTAAATCTGCATTTTACATAAGACAAAGTAAGCGTGTGAAATTACAGCTAGGCGGTTTTTGAGAGGCTTAGTTCTTAAGCTTAACTTTCCGTTTGGCATAGGGAGTTTGGGGTTCTGAGATTTTATTTTCCTCTCACAATTTCTTGGCCCTTTCAATGGGCAGAGAAGAAATATATACATGTATATGTATATTTCCAATATATTCATGCAAGCAAATATACACAAAATATATCTACATAAGCACGCATATTTTAGAAATCATGACTTCATGCCAGTACCTCGAATTCAAATCTATCCCCACAGAGTCCCTTGTTTCTTTCTTCCATTACATATTTGCATATTCCTTTTTCTGCAGTGAGAACCCTGCAGTGCCTGTTTGAGAACCTGAGGGTTCTCAAACATCAGCACATTTTTATATTTGCTCCTCTTTCAATACATCCAAAACGGTCACAGGATTTGTTTTTTTTTTTTTTTTTTTGCCCATACACTACAAGAAATTCTTTTGATTAGATGAATTTTAATTCATCTGATTATTAATGCAATTTATTACCTAATTACTAATTTATTTATTACAAGTAGTCAGGATTTGTTTGCAATTCTCCTGTTCCCATTCCACTCTACCCAAAACAGAGGTTCTAAAGTCAGATACTGTGTTCATAAATTTGTTGGATTTTCCCTCCTTCAGGTTACTTGGATTTTCTTCTCCCCGCCCCTGCTTCCCTCTTCCCTCCTTCCCTTCTTTCCAGTACCTCTTTCCTGCTTTCTCACTTTCTTTATTCCCCTTTATCATTGTCTGGTACTCATTTGAAATACAATCATCTTCTTTTTTTTCAGTCTGCTTTTGGTTTTAGTTTTTTTTTTTTCTCCTCCTCATTCTTACTAATTTTTTTCTAAAAATGTGTGGACTCTAAACATGTCTTCAAAAATCAAAATATTACAGTTTTACTTATAAAAGCTTCACGTTTTCATGTTCTCATCACTGGTATCTTACGTCCCATTGTAGGTAACCTGATTTTACTGTTTTGGTGTTCCCTCTTTCTATATTTTTACTGTTTTTTTAAAAGTAAGCCGGCCAGGTGTGGTGGCTCAAGCCTGTACTCCCAGCACTTTGGGAGGCTGAGGCGGGCGGATCATCTGAGGTCAGGAGTTCAAGACCAGCCTGGCCAACATGGTGAAACTCTGTCTCTGCTAAAAATATAAAAATTAGCCGGCTGTTGTGGCGTATGTGTGTAATCCCAGCTACTTGGGAGGCTGAGGCAGAAGGATAATCTGAGCCTGGGAGGTGGAGGTTGCAGTGAGCCAAGATCTCACCACTGTACTCAAGCCTGGGTGACAGAGCGAGACTGTCTCAAAAAAAAAAAAAAAAAAAGAAGCCCATATGCACATTTTCCTATTGTGCCTTCTTCCTACACAAAGAGTGCTGGATTATTCCAACTTTGCCAGAGACTTGTACTTTCACCCACATTTCCTCCCAAACGAGCTGTGTGAACCCAGGTAAGGAATTCACGTTTTTCAGAATTCAGTTTCTTCAAATGCTAAATGTGAACCTTTTAAAAAGTCTGTTTTTCTTATCTCTCACCACAAAAAGTTGGCCATGAAATAAATTCATTTTTCTTCTTCTTTCCTATTATGAAGCTAGAAATGTGTATTCAGAGGGGAAAAAAAGCCTCAAATAAGACACTTTGGAGGAGATAGGATTGAACCAGGGCTGAGGTAAATCCTTTTGTAGTACCGTAATCATTTCTACCACTTTCCATGTCTAGACGCTCCACTCAACCCTGGTCACCCTTTGTCATTTCATTTCAAAGGGGCTCCTCCTCCACAGAGGATCTGCTCACTCTAGGACACAGCTTTCTTCTGCTTTCTGAGTGGGCCTATTAGATCCACCTGAGGTGTTTCTCCAGCCAGTTTGTAATTTGGCTCTGAATTCCTTAAGCGCAAGGTTCTGTCTTAGAATCTAGGGTCCACACCCCACCCACTCCAATCATGCAAGCCTGAAACATTCTCAAATGAGTTCGCTTAAATGGCGTGTGGCTGTAGGATGGTGTCTCTCTGTGAGGTTTAGGTGTCTAAGAATTCTCCTTAAAGCTAACTCAACACCTGAGAAATGCAAACCTCACAGGGAATGTAGAATGAAAGAGAATTAACTCTTGGAAGGCCCTAAATCAAGACAGCTGGTATGTTAAACACGGTATTGTTGACATCTTCTGCATGCTAAGTTAGTTATTCATCCATGATTCCTTGTTTTTTTGTTGTTGTTGTTTTGTTTTGTTTATCTTCAGACTGTCACCCAGGCTGGAGTGCAGTGGTGTGATCTTGGCTCACTGCAGCCCTCTGCCTCCCAAATTCAAGCGATTCTTCTGCCTCAGCCTACCCAGTAGCTGGTTTTACAGGCACGCGCCACCACGCACCCAGCTAATTTTTGTATTTTTAGTAGAGACGGGGTTTCACCATGTTGGCCAGGCTGGTCTCAAACTTCTGACCTCAAGTGATCTGCCCGCCTCGGCCTCCCAAAGTGCTGAGATTACAGGCCTGAGCCACTGCGCCTGGCCCAAGATTCCTTGTTCTAACCCATGTTTTCAAGCCTGGCTTTTCCTTCTGTTTCAAGGAGATGAGTCTAAACTGGTGTTGTTTTGTTGCCCAGAGGCCACACACCTCATGGCATGGTATCCCCAAGTCTGATTCTCCAACCCAGTGTGGCCAGCCCCCTTCCTGATTTTTTTACTCTAGAGCTGGTCACTGCTGGTGTCCAGATTCAGCCATGGATCCAAAGAGCAAGAGTAGCTTGCATGTACCCTAACTAAAAATAAAGCAGGAGGAAAAACAGACTTGAGTCCATGTTGAGTTCATCATTATGTTATATTAGAACTGAAAGTTGTTTCTTGAGTTCCCAGCACACACCCAGCGCAGGTGGCATCGCCCTGTCCCACGCACGTGCGGCGGCGCCATTCTTCCCACGGCGGGTGGAGGACTCAGCTTCGGAGCCTCCTCTTTAGGCTTCCTCTCTTTTTCCCAAGGTGGCTTCATGCCAAAACCTTCCCTCTGTCCCTGACATTTGCACCACGTCTCCTTCTCTTCTCAGGATCCTTCTTTTCCTTGTTCTTCCCAGCAGGAGAGACTTAGAATTCATGGACATTAGAAACAAAGATACCATGGAATACTGTGCAGCCATAAAAAATGATGAGTTCATGTCCTTTGTAGGGACATGGATGAAGCTGGAAACCATCATGCTCAGCAAACTATCACAAGGACAAAAAACCAAACACCGTATGTTTTCACTCATGGGTGGGAATTGAACAATGAGAACACATGGACACAGGAAGGGGAACATCATACACCGGGGCCTGTTGTGGGGTGGGGGGAGTGGGGAGTGATAGCATTAGGAGATATACCTAATGTTAAATGAGGAGTTAATGGGTGCAACACACCAACATGGCACATGTATACATATGTAACAAACCTGCACGTTGTGCACATGTACCCTAAAACTTAAAGTATAATTAAAAAAAAAAAAAGAAACAAAGATAGGGAGGTAAGTGTTTCCTTATCCATAAAATGGGATAAAAACAGTAACCCCCCTGCCCCACCACCAGTGGCAGTTGTGACATTAAATGACATAATACGAATTATTAAGTTGTGACATTACATAACTTAAATATAGATTTAAATAATTCATATTTAATTAATATTAATTATAAATGAATTAAATTGAATCAATTAATTAAATTATATTAATTAAAATAATTGAATTAATTAATATGAATTATTAAGTTGTGACATTAAATAACTTAAATATGAATTATTTAGGGCAGCACTTGGCACTAGGTAAGAGTGAGTGAGATAAAGTAGGTTCAAGGTGCACTTCCACCCCTGGCTTTCTCATTTACAGGCACCTCTCCTCAGCCAGCCCCAGATCCCTGCAAAATACAGATAAAATGGGTCTGCGAGGATGACACAAGATCAGGCAGGAAAGCTTCTGCACACACAGTGTTTAAACAGAGTGAGCTCCTGTCCATTGTAAATGTCAGGGTGAGCAAAGCTTCTCTTTACAGAGACCCAAACAACATAGGTATCTGCAGCCCTCTCTCCCTGTCCTGTGCTGGTTATAAGGGTTATTTTACATCTACCAGGCGTGATTTCCTTTCTATCCTGCAACAACTTATGATAAAGTTGGGGACACAAGGCATGCTCTCTAAGTATAAAGAGCAAGGCAAGGTGGCAGAGGCTGAGCATGACTAAGTGGCAAAAATGGTAAGTGCTGAGTGTTCAGGATGACAATGCTGGTATTGGTGCTAACAATCCAAATGATCAACAATAGGAGGCAACATAAGAAAGTAAAGGCACAGTAGCAGGTAACATTTTCTGAGCACAGGCCATGTGCCCAGCCCTGTGCTATGTGCTTCTGATGCATTATTGGTTTTAATTTCACCAGGAATCCTGTGGGGGAGGCACAGTGGATTCAGTTCACAGAGAGTTCCCCCCTCTATGTGGGAAGTGAAGCCCAGGAGAATTTATCAGGCTGCACAAGCAGAGTTGGACTCTCATCAAGCAAAGTCTGCAAAGTGGATCACCTGTATCAGGAAAGAGGTGCTGCTTCTCAGAAGCCTAACAGTAGATGCAGCTGGACACCAGTCAGGAAGCTAGCACAAGGGCAAGGAACAGTGGGGTTGATTCAGGAGGAACTCTGTTAAAATGGCTTTCAATCTTACACAGAAAGCACTCCACAGTATCTGTGAAGTTCAGAATGCTAAGTTAGGGTTCAGGGTGTTTAGTGCTTGGGTTCAAAATATTTTAAAATACATATAAAGTACTGTGATGGGCCAGAGTTCATTTTTCTTGTGTGTGTGTGTGTGTGTGCGCGCGTGCACATGTGTGTATGTGCATGTAAGTGTATGAATTTATCTCGTTATTTAAAGAGCCAACAATGGAAGTCCATTTTTTGGAAGAAGCATTGCATTTTTATAAACGTGATTGAAGAGGTTTAACTCTACACTATTAAGATTGCTGCCTTGATTCCTCAAGGATCTAGAACTAGAAATATCATTTGACCCACAAACCCCATACTGGGTATATACCCAGAGGGATTATAAATCATTCTACTATAAAGACACATGCACACGTATGTTTATTACAACATTATTCATAATAGCAAAGACTTGGAACCAACCCAAATACCCATCAATGACAGACTGGATAAAGAAAATGTGGCACATATACACCATGGAATACTTTGCAGCCATAAAAAAGGATGAGTTCATGTCCTTTGCAGGGACATGGATGAAGCTGGAAACCATCGTTTTCGGCAAACTAACACAGGAACAGAAAACCAAACACCGCATGTTCTCACTCATAAGTGAGAGTTGAACAAGGAGAACAGGTGGACTCAGAGAGAGGAACATCACACACCAGGGCCTGTTGGTGGGTGAGGGGCTAGGAGAGGGATGGCATTAGGAGAAATCCCTAATGTAGATGATGGGTTGATGGGTACAGCAAACCACCATGGCACGTGTATACCTATGTAACAAATCTGCACATTCTGCACATGTATCCCAGAACTTAAAGTATAATAATAATTAAAAAAAGATTGCTGCCTTGAATGTGTTTTTTTA
This sequence comes from Homo sapiens, assembly GCF_000001405.40. Classification (NCBI taxonomy): domain Eukaryota; kingdom Metazoa; phylum Chordata; class Mammalia; order Primates; family Hominidae; genus Homo; species Homo sapiens. Next base: position 35,408,962 of record NC_000021.9, on the reverse strand, counting down.
AAGCCATGAATTCCAAAACTATTTTTAAAATATTTCTTAATTTCAGCATTTAGATAGAAAACATTGATGTTTATCTAGAGAAATGAAAGAGTCTAGAAGTCAAGAAGGAAAAGGAGAAAGAGAAGTAGAAAGACGAGAAACACAAGGAGGAAAAAAGGAATGAAGGGTGTGAGGGAAGAAATAAGGACACAAATGAATCAATGAGTTAAAGAACCATTCTCCATTCATTTTCTTCTGTCTGTAAATTGGAAAGCATGCTTTACACCAGCATAATCCATTGTCAGTGAGAGACCTGACTCCTCCTTGGCTGCATTCAGAACTCCTAACAAGCTCCTTAGGAGACAAGTCATCAAGGATGGATGGAGAATGACACACAGAAAGGCTGGGTGGAGGGTTAAATAATTCCCAGACAATTCCTTCAGAGAGACGTGGATTACGAGGGCTTTTTGTTTCATTTTCATTTTTTGTTGTGACTGCTTTTAATAATCCACTGAAGTTGTTTGATTTAGATCACTTTAGATCAGCTTTTTTTCCTTCCTCTCTGTTTCATTTCTGAGCCTATCCAGGGAGTGTTATTTTAGTGAAAACAACTTCTCGAAAAGAAATGAATAAGCCTGAATTGCGTAGTTTTGTAGGAAAGTATCTGATCTGTGTATGTATGGCATCTTTAGTCCAGGACTTCTCAACAGGAGCAGTGATTTTTAGGGGGGCTACTGTGTACTACTGGTGTCTAGTGGGTGGAGGCTGGGGATGCTGCCACATATCCTGCAGCGCACAGAACAGCCCAGCAAAGAAGAATGATCTGGCCCCAAATGTCAATAGTGCCAGCGTTAAGAAATCCTGCTTTATTATAACATTTTACTGATTGCTTGCTATTACTTAATTAGAAAAGACATTCATCAAATAGGAGTGAATTTTAGACGTAAACTCATTCATAGCACACGTGACTGCTATGTCCTAAGGCCTGATCCAGCCATGGGCATTACAGATACAAAAAAAGGAAAGGACTTATCCTCCAAGTACTTGTCACCTGGTAACAAGTAAATAAATTCAGGTTTTATGGGTGCAAAAGACAGCTGAGGAACAGGAGAAGAATGGCAAAGGCACCTTTATTTTATTTCAGAAAAAAATACATGTAAATTAAGAAACCAGTCTGGACAACATACATTGATCTCTATACCGTTTGCTCCCTCCCTCAATACTCCTAGTTTGATTAAAAGAAGTGAATGCACTTCTATATGAACACTTGCTGTGATGGGAGAATAAAGTGTTTTTGTTTTCATCTGTGCCAGCTTCTTAACATGCTGGTGTAACACCTATCTGTGTCTTGCCAGCACACTGCTTGAAGCAGAGGTTGATAGGATGCCTCTGTCTTCTTGATAATCTGAGTGTTGCTCCAGTTGCATGTAGCAATTAGAACTTGTTGTGTAGAAAGACTAGAGTGTTGACTGAGCCAATTAAAAGATCAATTAGTGCAGTGCAAGTGCTTAGAGAAGTAGTTTTCTATGACAGGGAACAGGTTTTCCATCAGTATTTAGAGCTACAAGCGAAACCAACATCAAGGAGTATGTATTCTTTGCTGTTAACTCTTTTTTGTTTAAAATGTTCTGTATATTGTTAAACATTCAGTGGAACTTATTAATCAATGGGCTACTATGACCAAAATGACTTTTTTTTTTGCAATGACTCCCATTTATAATAATTAAACAATTACAATTCAGTAAAAATAATAAAATAACACTGAATTTTATTTTACTTTTGGCTGTGATATAATTTGCTAAAAAGAGTTTTTTTTCCCCATCAGTTATTTGTATATGGCTTAGAGTTCTTATTGTTGTTTTTATTACTTAAAAAATCACCCCAGTTTGTTTTTAGTTCTCCTATGCTGGGATCTCAGCATATGTGTGCCACATTGAATTTCCAGACTTCTAAAGTCATAACTCCGGAAGGGGTCTTCTCATCAAGTAAGAAATGAAAATGGATTCCATGCGAATTTTTCGAGGTGTAAAGTGTTAAGTGCATTTGTTCAGCCAGTATTTATACAATTAGCAGATAGCAGACAAAGTGACGGCTGAAGCCCAGAGCCTGTTGCCTGCCCTTCTGTGGTTTATACTGCAGTTGTAGGCAAGGGCTAGTTATCTTAGTTATGACCATGTGTGGCCAGGAATGGATCAAATCCTTGACTCCCTGCTCTGCTTCCTGCAACCCTTCCAGGGACAGAGAGAGAGAGAAAGATAGAGAGAAAGAGAGAGGCTCACTGAACAGGAGCAGACGAGATCACGGGGTGTATTATGTCCAGGGCATTGGTGTTAAACCTCTCTAAGGAAGTTCAATCCTTGGTAAACTAAACTGGACAGGAGAACTTCTTTTTTAGCACAGGTGGTTGCTATGTCCTAAGCCCCGATATGTCCTAAGCCCTGATCCAGCCATGAACACTACAGACACAACAAAGGGAAGGACCCAGCCTGCAAGTACTTGTCACCTGGCAACAAGTCAATGGATTCAAGTTTTATGATGGGTACAAAAGACAGTTGAGGAACAGGGGAAGAATGACAAAGCAATGTTTATTATATTTTAGAAAAAAATACATGTAAATTAAGAAATGAGTCTGGACAATATACACTGATCTGTACTGTGTCCCCCCTCCTCCCTCAATACCTCTACCCTGATTAAAAGAAGTGAATGCATTTCTATATGAACACCTGCTGTGATGGAAGAATAAAGTGTTTTTGTTTCCATCTGTGCCAGCTTTTTAACATGCTGGTGTAAAACCTATCTGTGTCTTGCCAGCACATGGCTTGAAGCCAGAGGCAGGTTATCTGGCTTCCCTGCTCCATTTCCCACTTGACTCTTGATTTATTCTGGAGACCCCTTCCAAGTGGAAGGCACCTCCAGGCTCTTCTTCCTACCCAGACACATGGATTGCCAAGAAAGGCAAGTCAGGAGGGAATCTAACAGAGAAACTGAAAAGCAGAGTCCCAGGCCGGGGGGTGGGTGCTCCAGGTTCATGTCCTAGTGTTTACTCTTCCTCCTTCCCCTCCAAGATCTCTGCTCAGCCACTGTGGCCCAATAGCATTATTGGCATGGCACAATTGCCGGTTTCTTGTTGTGGACCTGAAGGCCGAAGGAGCTACATATATCTGCTGGGGGCTGGAGTATCTGACCAATTAGAGATTTAAATGAAAAAGGTATAATGTAAGGTGGTATTCGACGGAGTACCAAAATTAGCAGGAGCATTATAGCGTATGCCTCGGAGTTCTTAGTTCTGGACAACAGAATTCAGTCTAGTTCATTGAAAGTCTGTAAGCTGTAGGGTGTCAGGTAGTGTGTGGAAATTCAAAGAGGTTCAGAGAGCTATGCTTGTGTGCAACACAGCAGGAGGAACACCCACCCACAGCATGGAACTATTACAGGAGAAACCTCATGCCTGCCACAGCTGTGTGTGTTTCTTGGGTGCTCCTAGGGAGCTCCCTTCCAAGTCTCCCCTGGGTGACTGCCTAGAACATAGCTACTGACCAGAGAGAACCTGAGCTGCTAATGAGAATGGAAAACATAGTTTTCACCAAATTTGCAGATAAAGGTCACTAGAAGGGATGATAGTGGGTAAGGAGTGAGTCCACTTGTATCTGCAAACCGGCCGCAGGACTTGGTTGAAGGTGGAAATAAATGGGGGCTGGAGTGGTTGAGGGAGACCTTAAGGTGGAGCCATGCATGAGTTGAAATAAAAGGTCTTGGATTGTTCAGAGAAGGAACATGGACTGTCCCAGCAAAAGGAGAGCAAAGACGTGCGGTTGAGGATGCGTGGCACTCCTGGAGACTGCAGTGGTGGGCTGGATTGGGAGTCCATACTTGAAGGTCCGAGTGGTAAAGCCAAACAGAAGTGGGGCAGGGTTTGAAAGCATTTGGTCACCAGAAAGGGATTGAAGACTTCCTCCTGTGTGTGGTGATGAGAGACTGAGGTTTATAACAGAGGGGATATGATGGGGACCCATGGTTTGTGGTTCTAGTATATAGGATTGCTGGAGGAAGATACTCTCCAGCCAGGAAATCCAGTGAGGGCCAAATGATCTGGGTGGCGGGTGGTGACAGCTTCGTCTAGGGTGTCAGCAGTGAGAAAACACACACACACAGAGAACATCAGAGTCTTTCAAAAAGAAGAAACAGCGTAGGAAAGGGGACCCACATTCAAGAGCCAGTATTTACTACTTAGTACTTAATGATGTGAGTTTGACCAGCCTTGGTGTTGCTGAGTTGGTCTTTGTATCTGAAAATAAAGGTAATTCTCATTCACCACCTCACTGCACTAAGTCACGATGAAGATCTAATACTGAATGGTTACAAGAGCCCTTTGTAAACCCAGGAAGCATCACATAAACTAAGTTATTGTTATTAAGAGAGGAAGAATCAGCATGATTTGCTGACTGAGAAGGAGAAAAGAAAGGAAACTGCCTTTTTACTGAGAGCAGGAAGAAAAGAGGTGAGCTCCGGGTGGAAACAAAGAGAGCTCAGGAGGTTTGGGGCTGTTGAAACAGCCTGGGTTTGAGCAGGGCTATGGCATACACAAACAGAGATGTGTAGAAGACGGCTGCAGAATCAGGACTGGAGCTCCAGCAAGGCCCAGGTAGGGTGAAACTACCTGTTAGGAGTATTACTGATGCCCTATTATTCCAGAAAAATTATGAGGAAGGGGTAACTAATTTTCCGTGTACTTCACTTTTTTTGCTTGTTTTAGGGATAGGATCTGTTTAAATTCTGCTTAACTACAAGCCAATAATATTTGGGCTGTGTTGATTCAAATATAAGAAAGTAAATTAACAGGAGGGGGACTGTCCAGGTGTGCCTGACCGAGGGGTCTCAGAACGTGGACACCAGTGCTGAAATGGGAAAGTCCGGGGCAGATCAGGCCACCCCAACAGGCCGAGAAGAAATAGGAGGAGGTGAGATAGTGACTCCTGACTCCTTGATCATCACATAGTTGCTAAAAGGGACTCAAGTGGCTATTAGTGGAGTAGCAAGTGCAGCTGGCACGTATCCTAGTTTAATAAGAAAAACTCTGTAGAGTTACAGGGTCTTGTTGCATTTAGGGAAGAGCCAGAAATGTCTCTCCAGGGAAGAAAGGACACTGGCATGCTCAGAACTCCAATACGTTGAGGTTTATACGATCAAGTTGGGAGGATACCTGGAAAAATAATGTGGAGATGATCAAAACCATGCCAATTAATAAGGACACGTGTATACTTTAGGAATTACACATTTTGTAACATTACTCTTCAAAATATTTTTCTCTGTGTATTTGATGTGAGTGTATAGTCACCTGGTTCAAGCATCTTTTTGAGTTTGAACAAAGACCTGCAGGCCAGGAGACCAGGACTGATAATGAGGCAGGGCTGGGACAGGATGCTGCCAGCTACTCTGTGGGAAGAAATTGCCGGCCGACCTCACCAGGGGACGATGGTGGCCCCAGCATGTGAGCCAACGCCATTGAAGGAGCAGGTCCAGGAAGCATCAGGCCCCAGTGTCATGAACTGTCCAGATAAAGCAGCCCTGTGCGGTTAGACTCCTGTGGCTGCAGACTCCCTTGCCTGGCACCAGTTTTCAGGATGACCCCAGACTAAATGGGCCTCTAAGAACTAAAGGAGGCAAGAGTCACACGAGGAATCATCAGCTGCAACCGATTATTCTTGATTTTTTAAAATTAGGCATGGCCTTAAACATGGTTACCTGAATGTTATGATTGAATTATGTCTCCCCGACATTCACATGCTGAAGTCCTAACCCCTAGAGTCCCAGAATGTGACCTCATTTGAAAATACGGTGGTTGCAGGAGTAATTTGTTAAGATGAGGTCACTATGGTGGGCCCTAATCTGGCGTCTTTATAAAAAGGAGAAATTTTCACACACACACACACACACACACACACACACACACACACACACACGGAGTGCCATGAGAAGACGAAGGTGGAGATGGGGTGATGCCAAGGAACAAGGATCACCAGCATCCCCAGAAGCCAGGGAGAGGCTGCAACTGATTCTCCCTCGCAGCCTTAGAGGGAACCAACCCTGCTGACACCTTGATGGTGGACTTGGAGCCTTCAGAACTCGACGACAACAAATGTCTGTTGTTTAAGGCACTCTGTTTGTGGACCTTTGTTATAGCAGCCCCAGGAGTTGAATAGGCTCACAGAGTTTCATTTGTACGTTTTTCCCATCTGAAAAATAGAATGCTGCTTTACCACAATTTATTTACCTTTGGGCAGATAAGAAATAAGCAATGGTTTGAGAGATTACCTGTAAACAAACTGAAAACCATCATACTAACAAGGAGAAATCAGAAATATATTTATTTGAGTTAAGTAACATTTTTCAAAAATTATGATTGACAACCACCCATTAGTTTACAAGTGGGAATTTTTTCCCACCCTGTAACACCCATCATTTATGAAGCTAAATATTAGTTAAGGGCCTCTGAAATTTCCAATAAAACTGCTAGAAAGATTCTTTTGATCTCTAGGCAGCTCTGAGGACAGATACAACTTCATTCCTCCTGGAAAATGCTTTGTTCTTTGGCTCCACTTAAGGAGGCAGTGGAAAAGCATATAATACATCAGGCTTTCTTTCTTTGTAGAACAAAGTTAATCCAGGTCCTTATCATAGGAAACTGCACAGGGATATAATCTTTTAGAAGACATAAATAATTCTCCATAATACTTTTGGAAATACTTTGATCTTTCTGTATACTTCTCCATTGCAAAAGGGTACTGCAAACCTTATTTTCCTTGTTTAGAGATTTGTTAAATGAAGTTAGTCATATTAGACCTTTGAAGTTGTGTTTTAAATAGAAGCTACCAAAAGGATGAAGATAATTTTACTATGTCCTGAAAAATTCTGAAAGACGTGCCAGGCAGCTGCCTCCTGTGGTTCTAGTACATAGGATGGATTCACAACACCATGGATGGACTTTTCATATATCTAATGTTCTTCTGTTCTATTAACTTTGTTAATGGACTCAAAAAGACTCTTTAAAACTTCATTCTCCCTTGAATATTTTAATATTCAAGTGAAAGATGCTTTCTCTTAGCATTCCTGCTATACCAGTTCTCATCTTCCTTCCACCCCACTGCTAGTATTGATTAGGCTGATGAAGGATTGGTGGGAAAGGACTCTGGAAAGGAAGGTAAAATCTCAGAAGGTCACATATTCCATGATAAAGATCTGAGGTTCCTTTGATGGGGGATGAGGAGCTGCTGAAGAATTTCAAACGAAGGAATGATGTCACCAGATTTGCATCTTGGAAAACCGCTCTGGAAGCAGCTTAGAGGAGGAGTCGGTGATGTTGGGGTGGGGGAATGAGACTAGAACCAGAGAGGCTCGATGGAGAAGTCATTGAAGCTGTCAAATATGGTGGCATTGTGGATAGGGAGGGTAGGCAGGAGGTAGAGATACCCAAGAAGACTGTGTCAACTGCCTAGAGCTACATGTTAGTCATTTCCCTGCTAAAAACACAAATATTATTGATTACTTGACCCAGCTGGTTAAAGTTTAGTGGTTGGTGCTATTTAATCAACAAGAAAAGAAAATCAAGAGTTATCATTGGCTGGGCACAGTGGCTCATGCCTGTAATCCCAGCATTTTGAGAGGCCAAGGCAAGAGGATCTCTTGAGCCCAGTAGTTTGGGGCTGCAGTGAGCTGTGATTGCACCACTATACTCCAGACTGTGTGACAGAGCAAGATCCTGTCTCAAAAAAAAAAAAAAGAAAATGAAAAAGAATTATCATTTTGTCCTAGATGTTCCCATCCCAACTAGGTTCATCTCATTCTAGTTAATTCAAGAAATTCCAGGTCAAGATACCTGGTCAAAGTAAACTCACGCACATTCGTAGAATTTCCTGGGTGGGACCCAGTGATGAGCTAAATTAGTATATTTCTTTGCCATCCTGGTCCACCAAACACCTCGGGGGAGGACATCCTTTTTTAATGTGTTCAGGCCATGTACGGAGAATGAGAGGTTAATTCAGCCTAAATTCCTGGTTGTGTCCAGGTGGGGCCAGCAAGCATTTGTTGAACAGCCTCTGGCCCACTGTGCTGTGAATATGTGGCCTTCTTAAGTGCAGTTGAGGGGAGTAATCCGCTGCCTCTCAGAGTGGGTCCACAGAGGTGACAGTGGGAGTCCTGCTATTTTCCTTGGTGGACCCAGTCTTGACCAAAAGCCTGAGAGAGGACCAGATGGAGTTGCTTGCAGTTTGCTAAGTTGAGGCTTTCTCCAAGTCCAGGAACAGGTAAATGCTTGCTACCAGGTAAGATTAAATCTATTTCATAAGGAAGGCCAATAGGTGGCAGAGCAATCTTTCCTATGCTGCAAAGTGAGGACATATAGAGAAATCTTCAGCAGAGCTCCCTCGCTATGCTTCCATTAGCACATACTTTAACACTTTAACGACCAGGCCATTTTAGAAGTTTTGCACATTTTATATGTTTATAGATGTTATTGCTGAACGTTGTGTAAAATATTTCCAATTAATTAAAACTTCAAGCCCTAGAACGATCAGCCAAAATATTTATAGGTATAATTTAGTTACTTGAATTTTGTCTTCTTCCTGTGGCTAGAAAACTTGTTTTCATTTTAAGGGATATTTCCTCTTTTTTGGCGCGTAGAAACAAAAGTAAAAACAATGCTAGTTTATGCTGTTTTAAAATAATCACTCTTCATTGATTTACAAGCCGAATATATAGAGAAACTTAGTCTCTGTGAATTTAGAAAGTTGAATATCTAATAAGGAGTTCACAGACATGCTAGAGTTTAGGAATCTCAGAGATGGAAAAGATCTGTTTGAAAACTTAAAATTTTGCTCTGAAATGGAAGTCAGGGTATTAACCTAGAAATCCTTCTCAATATTATTTTAACTCTATGACTTTTGCCAGTGATTTTTGTTTTTCTTTCCTGAATTAAAAAGTAAGTATTTAGAGCTAATTTAGGAACACTGAAGTGGGAAGACTTTAGAAACCATCGCAGGTGTCTTGGTGGCTTTTACAGACGGTGAATTACCGTGTCTCGGGCATTCTGTCTGCCCTGAGCAGTTATCCATGGAGCTTTCTCTAAATCTCTCTGGGGTGAGGTCAGGCATATCATTTAAGGGGACACACACACAAAAACGCCTGTAATCAGGATAAATAATATTTTAATGCTATATATTTTTAAAATCAAAATTAATGCATAAAAATCTATGATGAACAAACTGTCAAAGTCTAAATAATGACAGGATTTATAACAGTGCTGAGCTGAGCTTGTTCATGCCTAAGGCTCAGGAACGCTGATTCCATCTTTATTTAAAATTTTGATATTTTGTTCATCATGACTTTTAGCATTGATCTTGGTTTTTAAAAAATAGTACATTAAAACATGATTGATTTTGATTCCTGCATTGTTTTGTTGCCTCTTTAAATTTTGCGTCCGAGGAGAGTGCCTGGCTCTCTTCACCCTAATTCTGCTGCTGGTTGTGGTCTACTCACTCCTGTAGTTTTATCTCCCTGCTTTCTGAACAAGTTCTTCTTTAAATGTCTAGAGGCCATTCACACAAAAATGATCGTGGCCCCTGTAATGCCTGTTTGTAATCCAAAAGTAAAACACCAGTGACCTGCAAACTAAGTGTAAGGATGTCCAGCAAATTGCTACTGTTTTCCATGCCAACTTTAATTTTTTGAAAGTATGTATTATGTTCTTAAACAACTTCTTCTGTTTCTGCTCTTTTTCTTTCTGATTGGCTTGTGACTCATACACACACTTAGTCTGTGTGTAGGGGAACCTCGCTCCATTTCTGTAAAAAGCCGATTATTTCTGATGGCATTACCTTGTTCAGAGGTCTTCACAGCCCTTGCTGACTGTATCATTGCTTTTTAATCAGATCTTGAATTGAAAATATTGCTAAGGACGGAGACGTTTTCATTTTAGCCATTTGAGTATCCACATAATAGTCAAAATGAATTCAAGCCTTCAGAGGATTTGCACTGAGTCACTGCCTAATGTTGTAGGGGACAATCTGGTTTCTTTCCCACCTTTGGCTACAGGGAAACAGCCTTTCTTCTTGGGCTTTCATTCTCCCTCCCTGTTTTCTACTCCTGATCCCTGTAGAAAGTGGTTCCATTCCACAGAAAGTTAATTGATTGGATTCCCCTCTGTCTACAGCACCTTTCCACACAGCTATGAAGTTTATTCTACCATGACTGTGTGCCATCCACTTTACACAAAAAGTGTAATTCCACTTTTTGATGGAATTTTCTTGGGACTGCTTGTCACAGGCAGCATTTTTCTATGAATGGAGATAAACCTCTGTTAAAGACCAAAGTGAAAGTGTTCATTCTGCCCTATTCCTTCTTCCTCTCTAGCCAGCCATCAAATGCCTGGCAGTCTCCACCTCAGAGGAGCTGAGACTTGAGACTTGGAGGTGGGCCCAACCTAAGTGAAAACTCCAGCATTCTTGGGTTTGTTTGTTCATTGGACCTCAGAACAATAATTGATATATAGGACATACTTTTTGTAAGGCAGATTTTAGAAACATTTAAGTTAAAATACTTCAAAGCAAAAGAGATTTTTCTGCTAAGAATCAGGCTTTAGTTATTCAAACATTATCTAATCTATAGTAACTTTTTCTCCAAAAATTCCAGACATAGAAAATGTCGTTCTTAATATGTCAATTCCCAGTTTGATTTGTCATTTTTGAAATAATTAGCACAATATTTTTACTTTTATGATTATTTGATAATTTACATTTTGGGGGCTATCTTCCCTATCTTTAACTAATTCTGGAACAATCAAAGCAAAATAAAATGGCATACTTAATAAGTTAGTTATTTTTCTTCTTCCAAACATGTTTAAGCTCATGTTGGAAAGAAAGTTGGATTACTTGCTTCTTAAGGATATAAATGTATATCCTGTCTTTTCCTGAATACACAAGAAAACTGGGTTAAGCCACTTTATTTCTTTAAAATTATTCTTGGCCAGCCTTCGGGAAAATCTGTTAGCTTGTCGAGATGAATTTTACAAGCAGTATCCCAGGTTATGGAAACCATTGCAAAATATCCGAGAGATAAAGGACCTTTGCAGAACTAGGGTTACAAATGTGTTTATATATTATATATATATATTTTGGTACTGTGAGTACTCAGAATATTTGGACTGTTGTGTAAGTGAGAGACAGCTTTCGTTATTTTATTTTATTTTTTAAGTAAGAGATACCGCAGTGAGATTTAAAATGTTAAGGGAGCACCTGGCGAAAATGCATACTCTCAAATGTTTTGAGAAGCAATGCCGTGTTCTGCCCAGACTGTTTTCTGTGGACGACTGTGTAGTGTGTTGGTTTTGTTTCCTAATGTTTAATGAACGTTATAAATGACGCTCACTAAACAAGACCTCACACCAACCAAATTTTCTATTATTTTGAAATTTTCTATCCTTTTTGCCATAAGGCCTTTCATCTTTTGCTTGATTAGAATATACGCATGAGTGTTATGCTTTTCCTTAAATTCCTGTAGGTCATCAAGTGTCTGCCCCCAGTTTCTCCTTTTGATGGACAGATGCCTGCTTCCTTTCTACCTCTGACATAGAGTGCCGCTTCCAGACTATTGGCAAGAAAGGCCACATAAAGAAACCATTGCCGGCCGGGCGCCGTGACTCACGCCTGTTACCCCAGCACTTTGGGAGGCCGAGGCGGGCAGATCATGAGGTCAGGAGATCGAGACCATCCTGGCTAACACGGTGAAATCCCGTCTCTACTAAAAATACAAAAAATTAGTCGGGCGTGGTGGCAGGCGCCTGTAGTCCCAGCTACTCGAGAGGCTGGGGCAGGAGAATGGCGTGAACCCGGGAGGCGGAGCTTGCAGTGAGCCGAGATTGCGCCACTGCACTCCAGCCTGGGCGACGGAGCGAGACTCTGTCTCAAAAAAAAGAAACCATGGCCCACCTCTTATGAAGTTCCTTCTCATAGGATCATAATGAATGGAGAGTTGAGTCGTCCTAAATTGAAAGTGCAGGTCTTGGAGTCAGATGAGCCTAAGTTAAAACTCATAACCCACTCACTGGCTGTGTGACACTGGACAGGTTATTACCCTCTCTGAGCTGAGCTCTTTCCTCCACCATCTCCTAAAGCTACTGTGAGAACTGAAGGAGACAAGGTCTCTTGAGTGCTTAGCATGGCTTCAGTGCACTGTGGATGGCCCATAAGCAATATTGGTTTTGTATTGTTGCCACTGTTTTTATTATTATTAATAAATTGCAGGATCCTCCATAGAAGCAGGGTGATGTACAAGATGTGAGAAGAAAACAAAAGGCAGAATGGTTTGAGGGGCAGAGGGTTATTTATGGGTTTGGGTATTGTGCGGATGGGAGATTAGGAAACCAAACAAGAAGCTCCATCTGGAGTTGTTGAGGATGCATTGACCAGACCACAATCCACAGCCAAGAAGTCTACCTTCCAGGAGAGCTCAGTTCTTATTTTCATCAGACTATAGGCCTGTGCTGAGATGGTCATGTTTCACCATGCCCAACAATCCATGACTAGGGAACCAAATTCTGAAGTCAAACTCTTAAAAATCCTCCCCTTCTAGAAAGGTGCCATTGAGACAATCCTTATATCTCAGTCCTGAGCATCCCAGCCCTCCATGGCATCTGTTGTCACCATTCCCAGGACTTTCCTCCCTGACAGGTCATCTGGGCTGTCACTGCTGGGTAGGGTCCCAGGTTCATGGCCCCAGACAAAAAGCTTCCTGGTCATTGCTGGGCTCTCCCCAATCCTCTCCCACAGTTTAGCTGGTGTTCTCTACCTCCTGTCTGGGTCCTGCCCTTCACCTGCCTTGGTGGTCTCTTTGTCCTGCTTAGGTCAGCCCTGAGCAGCCATGGGGCTTAAGTAAAATGCCAGAAGGTTTTCCATCTTGCCTTATGGGTGCTACTCTTCCGACCCAACCCATTCTCACATTGCCAGGGCATATAACTCTGTCTTTTCCTTTCCTGTCTGTCAAAGCTCAAGATGATTCATAGGATTCAAGCTATTTTTCACTCTTCCTGATTTGTACTGGTTTCTCTAATCCCTCTACTGCATGAGTCAGCAAGACTCAACATTTGATAGAGAACTTATTTTTAAAATATTTTTAAAATATTAAAAAAATAAAATTTATTTTTAAGTTGAAGGATATTTTGAGTCAATTAGAATTAATTTTGAATAGGACTGAGATTAGGGGCCTGAGAAGAATATCATTGGCCGTAATCAAAGAAGTAGAGTGATCCAATATTCTTTTTATTTATTCATCTTTCTCTCTTTAAAAATGTGATAATATATATATATAGCATACAGGCGCCTGTAGTCCCAGCTACTCAGGAGGCTGAGGCAGGAGAATGGCGTGAACCCGGGAGGCGGAGCTTGCAGTGAGCCAAGATCGCGTCACTGCACTCCAGCCCGGGTGACAGACCAAGACACCTTCTCAAAAAAAAAAAAAAAAAATATATATATATATACATATATATATATATATATATACATATATATATGTATATATAAAATAATATTTATCATTTTAACTATTGGTAAGTTTACAACCCAGTGGCATTAAAGTATATTGACAGTGCTGTGTACCCATCACCACTATCTATACCCAAAACTTTTTCATTGCTGCCAGCAGAAACTCTGTACACATTAAACAAAAGCTCCTTTTACCCCCGACAGCCCTTGGTAACCTTTATTTGTTCATCTTTTTAACCACTGAGAAGTGAACTCAGCTAGCTCACTATGCGTATTGGTTTTCTATTGCTTCATACCAAATTACCACAAACTTAGTGACTGCAAACAACCCATATCAATGGTCTCACAGTTCCTGTAGGTATGAAGTCTAGGCTGGCTATGGCAGGGCTGTCTGCTGGTGGTTTCACAGACCACAATTAAGATGTTGAACGGACTACCATACTGTTCCCATCTAAAGGTGCTGTGGTTCTCATCTGAGGCTTAGGATGCTTTTCCAAGTTCACTGTTAGTGGGATTCATTTCTCTGTGGTTGTATGGCAGAGGTCCTTATTTTCTTGCTAGATGTTGGTCCAGGAAGGCTCTTGGCTTCTAGAGGCTGCCTGCCGTTCCTTGCTGTGTGGCCCCTGTAGGTGGTTCACCACATGATAGTTGCTTCTTTCAGGCCAACAAGAGCACATGTCTCTGACTTTCTCCTCTGCAACCAGGTGGAGTAAACACTCTTAAAGACCTCGTTTGATGAATTAGCCTCATCCCAAATAATCTGCCATTTGCATATAATGTAATATAATTCCAGGACTGATACCTTATCGTATTCGAAGGTTCTGCTGATACTTGGAGGAAGGGATTTTATAGGGCTTACATACACCAAGAGAGGGTATCTTGGGGACCATCTTAGAATTCTGGCCCCACATTCTACTAGGGCCAAGATCCCTCAGCGCAAATGCTCTTTAATAGTTCTTTCTGTGCTTAATTTCTACCAAGGTGTTTCTAGTGTTCTGCTTTTTAAGACTGTGCAGGTTGGTTACCAAGACAGAGAATGTAAGTTCTCACCTTTAATTAACATGAACTTGATTAAGTCCTTTCACTTTCTCAATTATTTAATCCATGTCTGTACATATGGAATTCTCAGTGAAGACTAAATCTGTGTGGAGCGATGGGCAATCATGTGTTCACTCAACAGTCACTGAGCATTTATCAAATGCCAAGTCCTAGGCTGGGTGCCAGGGGGCTGGGACTTCTTCCAGTTGCAGATGTATGTTTAAGAGATCCTCTTTTTCATTGTCTTAGTCCATTTTCTGTTGCTTATAACAGAATACCTGAAACAGTTTATAAAGAAAAGGAATTTATTTTTTGCAGTTATAGAGGTTGAGAAGTCCAAGGTCAAGGGGCCACATCTGGTGAGGGCCTTCTTGCTGGTGGGGACTCTATGTAGAGTCCTGATGTGGCACAGAGCCTCATGTGGCCAGGGAGCTGAGGGTGCTCACCTACTTGCTTTGGTCCCTCTTCCTCTTCTTAGAAGGCCTCCAGTCAGACTCCCACAATAAGCTATTAATCCATTAACCCATCAATCCATTAATCCATGGGTGGATTAATCCACTCATGAGTGCAGAGCCTTCATGACCCAATCACCTCTTAAAGGCCCCATTTCTCAATACTACCACATTGGGAATTAAGTTTCAACAGGAGTTTTGGAGGGGACATTGAAACCGTAGCAGTCATTTCTCACTGAGGATACACCAGTGATCAAAGCAGCTAAAAAGTCCTACCTTTCTGGAGCTGACATTATCAGCAAGGGAGACAGAAAGTAAATATCACATATGATACAGTATATAATGGGCCAGAGGGTGATAATGTTCTGGGGAAGGAGTGCTGGATGGTGGACTAGAAGGAGAGTTGTAATTTTCAAGGGTGATCTTGAGCAATACAAAAGTCTTAGAAATACCAACCAGGTTGGCCCGGCACGGTGGCTTACATCTGTAATCCCAGCACTTTAGGAGGCTGAGGTGGGCGGATCACGAGATCAGGAGATTGAGACCATCCTGGCCAACATGGTGAAACCCCATCTCTACTAAAAATACAAAAGTTAGCTGGGAGTGGTGGCGCATGCCTGTAATCCCAGCTACTTGGGAGGCTGAGGCAGGAGAATCGCTTGAACCAGGGAGTTGGAGGTTGCAGTGAGCCGAGATCGTGCCACTGCACTCCAGCCTGGGCGACAGAGTGAGACTCTGTCTCAAAAAAAAAAAAAAAAGAAGAAGAAGAAGAAGAAGAAAAAAAGAAATACCAACCAGATGATAGTCTGAAGCCATTCTTGAAAATAATCAACAGAGAGGCCTTTCCAAGACATCTAGCTCCATGGCATGCTGTGCTGCATGCTGTTTAAAGAGAATTTTACGTCCATAGACCCAGCCTCACAGAGTGAGCAATTTCAGTCCCGTGCACAGCCAGAGACAAGAAAGCAGAGTAATAAAATGAAGCCAACGGACAATGAAATGTTCATACCCAAGATATGCCCAGAGCTAGCCCTCAGTGAATTTTAAAAAGGCTTCAGAGATTATTTTGGAAACTCTTGCCTTCCATTTGAACCTCCTCAGCTTTAGCAATGTCCCTGGGACAGACATAGAGCGAGGTGAATAGTGGAGCTGGAGGAACTTAGAAATGACCTCATTTATCCTAACCTTTAATGCATTAGTTTAGGAACCTTTTATCTACTGCTTTAGGAGACTGTAGTTCCAAGAAGTAGTGATGTCCCGAGGTCACCCAGAGAGTGGCAAAGCTTGAACTAAGCTTGGCCCTCTTCACTCTTCATCCAGTGCTCTTCCCCCTTACCTTCCAGAAATGGCCCTCTGGATACCCCCTCCCAACTCCTGCACACTCACACCACACGGTAGGGTTACCTCCCTGCTCTCCTCCAGCCCCTATCAAAGTTCTCCTGGCTCTCTTCAGGCTATGAGTGCCCCAAGAGAGGAACTATATTTTATTTGATGCTGGATTAGTTTCCTGGGGCTGCCACACCACAAACTGGGTGGCTTAAAAAAGGAAATGTATTGTCTTGAGGTCAGAAGTCTGATATTAAAGCATTAGAGGGTTGGTTCCTTCTAAGGCTGTGAGGGAGAATGTGTTCCAGGCTCTTTCCTAGCTTCTGAAGGCTGCTGGCAATCTTTTGTGTTTCTTGGATTCTAGACATATCACCCCATCTCTGTCTTCATCTTCATGTGGCATTCTCCCTGAGTGTGTGTGTTTCTGTGTTCAAATTTCCCCGTTTTATAAGTCATACTGAATTAGGGGCCAGTCGCAAGACCTCATCTGGACTAATTACATCTATAATCGCCCCATTTCTAAATTAGTCACATTCTGAGGTACTGGGGGTTAGACTTTCAACATATGAATTTTGTTGAACCCATGACAATTCAACCCACAACAGATACTATCACACCAGCATGCAGCATAGAGACACTCAATAAAAATGTGATAAATAGATGTGCGTACGTTGTCTGCACTGGCTTTTACATTGTCATCATCTGTCTCTTTGTTACTTTATTTACCTTTCCCAACTCTTAGCATCTCTCAGGCTACTGTCTGCCCATCAACTATGGGATCAGGTCTAGGGATGAATCAATGAGAGAGGGCTACACAGCCTCTCCCAGTTCCCAGAGGTAGCCTTAAGGGGATTTACCCCAAAGGAAATGTTGATTGGTGCACATGGAACAACAGGAGAAAAACGTGCACTTAGCTGGATATTTTGAAGGTGGCCTCTAAAAATGACACAGTGAGGCCAAAATTTACCTGTAATTCTATCTTCTCTACAAATTCCAAACTCCAGCAGTCAACCAGTAGAGCGTCTTGGTCAGGTTCTTCTAGGCACCTTGTTCTAGTCAAATCTCACCACAAACATTTTACAGCTGCAGAAACAGAGGGAGATTCTAGGATGTACATTTCAAGGTTCAGTACTAATCTTACTTCCTCCATAAAGAATTCCAGGATTTTTTCAACCAGAAGGGCTGTCTTCCTCCTCTGAACCCCTGTGGCAAATACCATATTCATCATGCTCAAGACTGTTGTCCCAGAATTAATTTTATCCTAAGTATTGGCCAAGAGATTGAATACAAGAGTAAATGGTTAGGGTAGTCCAGAGATGGTCTTATGTATTAGGAGAGTAAGTTTTCAGGTTCAGTGGTGCTAAGAAATTCCTCCTTTATCTTAAATAACTCTTTATACTCCGATAGTAGAAATTCCTTCTAGTGGAGGAAGGTGGTGTACAATATAATTATCAAGGTAAGACATCTACTTTAGTTCATACTAAGGTGTGAATGACTGATATAATGACCTTGTCTAAGAAAAGGTTTTGATAAAAGATAAGGGAGCATGGCAATACAGAGGTTGCCTGAAGGGAAGATGGAAGAGGTAGTTGGGAAACAGAACCAATGCATGAGGAAAGGGGCCTGGAAGTAGGAGACAGATGCCACTGGAAATCAATTTTCTTTACAATTGTGTTTGTAACCATCTGTGGACGAGAAAAGAAGACATTAAAGTTTCTGGATCCTTTGGTTCCCAAAAGAATCATTCTCTTCTCCTGCCTATTGGGCTTCTATGTCTTACTTTTTTTAATATAAAGGATTTCTTTACAAAGAAGTGTGAATGTCTAGACATTTAGGAACATGCTGGAAGCTGATCAACTTTATTCTTGAGCCTGGTCTTATCCTACAATTGAAAATATATTTATAAATGTCCACCTAGATGACAATACAAAATCACCACCTAAACATTAGTATTTCTGTGAAATGACTGCTGAAAAAAGTAGGTCAGTTTATGGAAACCTCTCTGAGAGGCTGTGAGTTTAGTAAGTTTCGTGGTACTTATGAGTCAGGGCAGAGCTCCCAGGACAGCTGCCTGATAGATAGAGGTCCCTTCTCCTGGAAAATTTAAAACATGTCTCATCAGACTGGTAAATGTGCTAGTAGAGTTGAAGATCCATTTACTATCTGTGGGAGAAGGAAGTTTATTATATTTGACCAACTCATGGTTGGGTCCTAATAAAAGATGTGTCTCAAATTATGTCTAAGTCTTCATTCTAAAGCATGCCAGAAATTTTGAAGGGAAAGCTCAGCTAGAGACAAGCCAAAGATCTGTCTTGCATCTCCAAGGCGTAACTTAAGCTGAGTTATTGGAACACGCACACATTCACAGTATTACAAAAAAAAAAAAAAAAAAAGGTCAGCTGTGGCGACCGCCAGGAAGAAATGCCAGACACTGCCAGTTTGGCTGTGCCCTAACATATGTTCATTCATGGGCATGCAGCCAAAATGGGGCCTGTTCTTCAGTCCAGGCCTGACTTAATGCTTCATTACCTTACTCACCTCAACACAGGATGTAATGTTGAGCATTGAGCAGCAATAGCTGGCAACAGAAATCAATGTAAATTACTGTAGGTTTAAATAGTTGGATGTTTTTCCAGGGCATATTCCCAGTCTATATTCTGAAAATAACTTGATAGGGTACTTAAAAAACAATGTATCTTTGCTCTTAAGTCAATTTAATCTCATAAATATTTTCTTATTGTGACAATTTCCATGTAGCATGCAAAATACAAGTAAAACAAAGCTTTGATTTTCCTTAGTTAACTTATGCCTTTTCCAATAACTGAGTTTTAAAACTAAAATAGGAGCAAAAGACCAATCTTTTATACATTTGTTAAGTGTTCATTGTATGTTTAGTGTTCACTGTATTAAGTGATAAGATTCTCTTACAAATACTTTAAAAAATATTATTATTATTTAGAGATAAGGTCTCATTCAGTGGTCCCACTGATACAGACTATATTCTTATTGTTTTAATTGGCCCCTTTATGTCTCTAGACTGGAAACTCTATGAGTGTTGACCTTACATCCTTATCCCAGCCTCCACCAGGAGAAACAGAACAGAAACAGATTAAGCTAAGGAGAAAGCAAACCTAAAAATGCAAATTCAGTTGGGAAATAATGAAAAGTGAAAAGCTTTTAGAAATAACAAAACAAAATTACATTTACTTTTGTTCATTAATTTATTTTATGACCATTTGATAAACATTTGTTCTATACAATGGTATTTGAAAGCTTAAGGATCATATTGTCTTTGGAATACCAAATTAAAGAAACCTACTACAATAAAAAGCTGAATGAAGTAGAATATTTATAGATAACCTTTTAGCTACACTACTATTAATAAAATGCTAAATGAGATGTCCAGTTGCAGCCGTGATGAATTAATGAGTTTTAGACATAGTTGCCAATTCATGAAAGTAAGGAAAATACCTGAGGCAACTATTTTCAGATATTAAACTCTACAGTTAATGCAAGGCTGTGCTCCTCAAAAGAAGGGAGACACATAAAGTGAACCCCACATTCAACTCAGTCTTTTGCCTGGGTATGCTTTCCAACCTGTGACACAAGGAAGCAGAACCAACACTGGGCGGGGGAAACAGACCAGAGGCTGGATCAGCATTAGTAACTGAGTTTGTTGGTTGAGGCACTAGATAGAGGGGAACCTCACAGAGAAGGAGTTCTATATATCAGCATAGGGATTCCCTGGAGTTTTGAGTGACATACTAAGCTCTGTATGGGCAGATAAGACTCCATGAGGCCAGGCAGAATATAGTTGCTAGGGACTGTGAGAATGGAGAATCCTGAGGACACATAGTATTAAGAGATGTTGGGGTGCTAATGAACCAAAGTTGAAGTTCCAATTTTAAAGGAAAATATCAACATAATGAATGAACAGGTGGGAACTACCAGCTGATAAATGAAAACTATCAAAAAGAACAAGATAAAATTTCTATAACTTAAAAATAAAATAGCAGAAATAGAAATTTCCCAGGATGGCCTTAATGGGGATTGGAAAATGCAGTACGAAAAAAAAGGGTGAATTAACATAGAGGTCCATGGAAACCACCCAAACTGAAACACTGAGATGGAGGAGAAGGAGAAGGAGAGGAGGAGATTGAAAAAATATGATGAGAGCTTCAGTGACCTGTGGCACAATATCAGGTGATCTAATATATTTATAATTGAAATCCTAAAAAATAAGGAGAGAGGTTGGAGAAGATAAGAAAAAAAGGAAGGATAAAAGATCAAGTCATTTCCAAATTTGACTAAAAATGTCAATCTGCAGATTCAAGAAGCTCAAATAATCCCAGACAAAAAAATACAAAACAAAGTAATTTTTAGGAGCATTATAATAAAATTGATAAAAACTAAAGAGAAAATTTAAAGCATCCAGAGGAAAAAAACCAAATTAGATACACAGGAAGAATGATAAGAATTATTTTAGGCTTCTTGCAAAAACAGTATAAACCAGGAGACAATGGAATAATATCTCTACAATGCTGAAGAAGCAACAACAAGATTAACATAGAATTCTACATATAGCAGATATAGCCTGTGAAAATAAAAGCAAGATGAGAACATTTTTCAGGTAACCAAAACTGAGAGAACGTGTCAATAGTAGACCTATACTTTAAAGAATGTTAAAGGAAATTATGCAAGTGGAAGACAAATGTTACCAGATGGAAATCTGGATATTCAGGAAGAAATGAAGAGTAACATACCTTATAAATATGTGGGAAAATATAAAAGTTGCTCTTTTCTCAATTATTAATTTCTCTGTAGGCAAGAATAATAAAAATGATAAAAATGTGTGGTTTATAACATATGTAGAAAAATATATGGCAATAGTAACACAATGGATGGGAGAAGGTAAATGAAATTATACTTTTGTTAGTTTTTTATATGATGTGTTATTAATTCAAGATACATTATATTGTGCTAAAGACAAATATCATAATCCTTAGAGCAACTACTGAAAAATAATATGTGGTGTTCTAAATATCCAAAAGGGAAGATAAGAGCATATTATAAAATACAAATTGAATCCAAAAGGAGATGTGAAAGAGAGAAAAAAAGAAACAATGAACTTCTGAGACAAAAGAAGACAAATAGAATGTTAGGAGACTCAGCCATACAATCATTTTATACAATCATTTTATTAAATATGAAGGCATTTACTTAAAATACAAAAATTATAAGGCCTTTTTTTAAAAAAAGCGAAACTCCAACTATATGTTGTTTTCAAGAGATTCACTTTAAATATACGGGCAAGGCTAGGTTAAACAAAAAGGATAGACAAGCTAAAACATGCAAATAGTAATCACAGGAAAACAGAAGTGGCTATATGAATATCAACAAAATAGACTTAAAGACAAGTATTACTTTCTGTAGTTTTGTCTGATTGATGGAATGATTTCACAGTTGAAGAAGATCTTTAAAAATATCAAAAATCTCCCTAGGTGGTTCTCATGCTGTGTAGCAAATTGGAAACTGAAGTAATTAGAAAACTCCTCTCCAATGAAGGTTGATTAAAGAAACAGAGTGAGGAGGTGAGAGAAAGGGGCCTAATATTTGTGTTCATTATGAACCACTCTCCATGGGGAAAGAAAGTCAGATCTATGCTGAATTTCCTCCAAGTGTTTAAAGCAAAACCAAGAGGTGGAAACCTTCATGGCACTAGATTTCAACTTAATATAGGAAAGTACTTGCTGACTCATCGCGGCTATCCAAAATAGTCTCAACTTTTCACAAATGAAATGTGTTAATATGCAAGGCAGTGAGGCAGTGGGTTCCATACACTAGAGATTTGACAAGGCCAAGTGACATCTTGGTGAGGATGTTAAATGTGAACTTAAACATCAGCCAGCCAGCCCTGAAGTTCGTCACCAATGTGAAACTCTGTGTTTATGCATCAGTCTGCTGACTCCCTCCCTCGTTTGTAAGTGTACAGCAGAAAAAAAATGGAAATGCAATAAGTCTGACTTAGTCTGTTTTTAAGAATGTGTGTTGCTCCATAGTATTAACCATGTCTTGTTTAAGTCCTCACAAACCATCTACATAACAAGTGATTATTGAGTCATGTTAGAAATTATTATTTTGCAGAATTGGCCGTCTTCTTTTTGAAAACTGAGGTGACCTTGTTCTTCTTTTTGAAAATTTCCTATCCTCCATATCTCCTCAGAGGTTGCCAATGATTCAGTGATTGCCCCTATAAAGTGTCCCAGTCCTCAAGTTAGTTTTTGGTTTTTTTTGTTTTTTTTTTTGAGACGGAGTCTCGCTCTGTCGCCCAGGCTGGAGTGCAGTGGCGTGATCTTGGCTCACTGCAAGCTGCGCCTCCCGCGTTCACGCCATTCTCCTGCCTCAGCCTCCCGAGTAGCTGGGACTATAGGCGCCCACCACGGCGCCTGGCTAATTTTTTGTATTTTTAGTAGAGATGGAGGTTTCACCGTGTTAGCCAGGGTGGTCTCGATCTCCTGACCCCAAGTTAGTTTTATAGAGATAACAGATGTGAAGAGTCGCATCATGTAGTTATTAACTCATTGGCTTTCTGAGTCCACAGTGTAAAAATCTTGGCTCAGCAATTAAGTAACTGAGTGCTGTGAGCATCTATGCAGTCTCAATTTCTATTTTTTTAATTTTTTTTTTTGGGGGGACGGAGTCTAGCTCTGTTGCCTAGGCTGGGGTGCAATGGCGTGATCTCTGCTCACTGCAACCTCCACCTCCTGGGTTCAAGCGATTCTCTTGCCTCAGCCTCTCCAGTAGCTGGGATTACAGGTACCCCCGCCACACCCAGCTAATTTTTGTATTTTTAGTAGAGATGGAGTTTCACTGTGTTGGCCAGTCTGGTCTTGAATCTTGACCTCGTGATCTACCTGCCTCAACCTCCCAAAGTGCTGGGATTACAAGTGTGAGCCACCACGCCCAGCCTGTGGGGTCTCATTTTCTTTATCTGGAAACTTAACTTTCTAATTCAGAGAGTGGCTGTGAAGATTAAATGAGGTGTCCATGACACACAGTAATTAGTCAATCAATGTCAACTCTCACCTAACTGAGGCCTCAGCTTTATTATAGCACTAAGTGTTCTTAGGTCGAAGAGGACTGTCAACAGAAAAGATGATTCCAAATAGGAACTCAGGTAGTTTCAGCTCCTTTCCATTGTCTGTGACATACATTGACCTATTTCTCAGTGCAGTAAAACACTAAAATCCACCCCTTCCTTCTTGGCTTTGGGGATTTTTTAAAGACTTATGTTTCTAGACTTTGCCAATAATCTAATTACAAGATAATATTACTGGTTATGAGTTCCTCTCTCCTTCTGCTCTCCTTGTCTTTGAGAAGCCCCAGCCCACTGGATGAACCTTGGTCATCTCATCCTTGTAGACATTGCTCCTTGATTTCCCTCATCAAAGACATTCCCAGTTTATCATCAGAAATTAATTTTTGCACACTTCCCTTTCTTTTTGAAATGATGACTTTTTCATTATTATATCAGGAAAGACAGACCTAACATGGTCTTTGAAACATGGTAGGTGTTAAAGGAAACTTTTGTTTTCCTTAATTCTTTTGCAGCCATTACAACTTCTAAAACAACACTTTCTTCCAAGATTTCCTTTCTTCTTACTCCAACCGTCTGCTTGGATTCAGCATAACAATTCTCTGTATCTCTCTAAGAGATAAAGATAATTCTCGGAGTCTGGGAGCAAATGAGAAGAAGAGTTAGAGATGGCTGTCAGTTTCATAGCCTGGGGCCTGGGAATTAACAACGACTTTTGCAGAAATAAGGGAGAGTGGAAAAGGCCTTATGGAGGAGGGAAGGCAAAGATATTTGGTTTTTATTTGTTAGTTTTAACTTGCTGATGTGAGATGATGGCATATCAGGATTTGTTTAGCAGATAGTTTGTGGGAGAGGCTGAGCCTGTCCTTCCACATTTGGGAGTTACCCATAAGTAAGACAGGGATAATAGGAGTTTTGGTCATGGGGAGATCACAAGGGAAAATAGGAGGAGGTGAGGATCAGCTGATTACACTCCTAAAGACAGTGTAGAGTTTGGTGGGGGAGGAATCGGATCCACTGAAGACAGGAGAAAAATCATCAGAGATAAGGGCGGAATTAGATGAGTAATTGTCATGGGTAAGGAGAATATTTAAATACTTTAAACAATCTTGAAATAAATGGTGCTGAGAAGACAAAGAAGATGAAAATTGAGGAATGTCATGGGATTTGGCCTCACAGCATAATAACAATGGAAAACACACAAAATTCAGCACTTCTGACCACTTAAAATTGGACCAGTGTGGTGTCAAGCACCTGTGTCACTTACTTTTTACAATAACTCTGTGAGACACTGAAATTTATTAGAATCCTATTTCAAAAGGAAGAAAAGCAAATTGTGTAGCTAGGCATTAGCCCTTGAGAGAATAGGGGATCCAGCTCTTGGAGTCTGACTCCAAAGCAAGAGTTCCTTAACATTTAATTTCCACGAAAAACTTATCTCTAGTGTAGGGCTGGATAACAGATTATAAAACAACAAGGAACTCTTGGGTGATGAGGAAGTCAAGGCAGGAGGTGTCAACTACTCTTTCAAGAAATACAGCCGGGATGGGAAGGGTAGAGAGAGTAAATTTGAGTGCAGTTGGGAAAAGTTGAGAGTTTTACTTTTGTTTCTGAGGATGAGGAAATATGGGATATAGGAAGAAGAGATGGAATTAACAAAAATTAAAAGAGAAGGCAGTGTTTTGTAACTTCATCTAGAAAATTATGGTAGAATGGGATTGGATATTGCTGAGGTAGATGCAGAAATAGGTTTAGAAAGTTTAAAAAAAAAAAAAAAACAACCCAAATTTTCAAGTTGTGAGCAGGGCTATCAGTGAAGGGGAAGGTACCCTGGAACACAATGAAAGATGAAGACTGGAATAGGGAGAGGAGAGAAGATGAGACTTCTGTTAAAAAAGAAGAGATTGCTGGGAAGACAAGTGGAGAGAAACTGAGAGAGACCACTCCAGCTCAGAGTGGCCAAACATGTGTGCATGGTGGATCCCAACTCCTGGTAGGAAAAAGAATTTGTAATGCCTGTCCAATGTCCTTTGTTGGATAAAGTTTCTACAGAAAACCATGTGATCAGGTATGATATTTTGGATTTGTCATTCTGTAATGCAGTCAACTTGGGGGATGTGGGGGATGGATGGAACTTGAATTTGCAATGCATTTAATGGGCTATTGGACATTTTGTCAACTTAAGGTGCCTGGATTTGAGTTTCACTTGGTGGTATTGTATGGAACTGCGTAGGTCAAACCAATTTCAATTTCAAATATTAACATAACTAGAAGCGCCTTGTGTCTTAATTAGGGGTCATCAACTCCCTTGTAAAGTGGTCCTTGTCAGGACTGCCCGTGGTAATTTGGGGAGCTCAGTGAAGCTTAAAATGAAGGATTTGATAGTCAATGTTTTTAGTCATATTGTTTTGTTCTCCAGCAAATAATGGGTAGCTCGTACTCCAATTAGAGCAGTATTCAAATAATTTTATATTTGCATATTTGAACTGACCGTCTTCAGGAAGGAGAGGCCAGGCCAAGCAGCTCTCCAATTATTTAGAGCAATTAGAAGAGATGATCAGACACTTCTGAGGTCTCATTAGCAGGCATGTTGCCTGCTCTGACATCTCCAAGATCACAGCCGCGACTGGGTGCTGGCGGCCCACATTCTTCTCTTTCGGAAGAGTTCTGCAGACAGTGACTCACTTCGAGTTCAACAATGGTAGCTATTTTCACAGCTGATTTCTGCTTTCCATTGGAAAAGTCATACATTACTGCTTTTTCTCTAAAATATACATTATAAACACCAATGTCTTTTTCTATTTAATAGCTCTCTCATTTTTGCTTTAGATCTAAATCCATCATCATCTTGTTACTTAATATCAGGCCACAGTGATTTCCCAGAAATACAACTTTGTACCTAGGAAACTGACTTTTGGGAAGTGAGGTACCCAGATTTCAACTTTTGTGTTCATTCAACTATAATCACCTTTTTCACTGATAAGCACTTTTTTTTTTTTTTTAAGGCAGAGTTTTGCTCTCATCACCCAGGCTGGAGTACACTGGCATGATCTTGGCTCACTGCAACCTCCGCCTCCCGGGTTCCAGCGATTCTCCTGCCTCAGCCTCTGAGTAGCTGGGATTACAGCCACCTGCCACCACGCCTGGCTAATTTGTTTGTATTTTTAGTAGAGACGGGGTTTCTCCATGTTGGCCGGGCTGGTCTTGAACCACTGACCTCAAGTGATCCGCCCGCCTCAGTCTCCCAAAGTGCTGGGATTACAGGTGTGAGCCACTGCGCCGGGCACACTGATAAGCACTTTAAGCATGGATCAGAGTTTTGGTAGTAGACGTCCTCCAGTTGGCAGAAAAAAGCTGTTAGCTCTCTGTTGATGACCGCACTTGGTGTCACTTTCCAAAGTAGGGATTTCCTTTATAATGACACCTAAGCCTCCCATTCTGGTATAGTTACCAAGCTACCCCAAGACAACTGAGCAAACAATTCAGAGTGATGGTTTTCATTTCCTTGTATCCTGCTTCAGCAAGCCCAGCCCTGCCTCACATTTCTTGTAATCCCAAACTTAAAGATATTCCTGCATTGCAAAATCCAGATTTTTAAATCAGAGCAAGACAATCATTCTTAGCATTTTCTGAGTTCCATTTTTGCTTACCGTATTGAGCCTAGGTAAAGTGGATAGAGAATCTGGTTTAGATAAGACTCTGTGTTTACTAATTTACTAATGTTGAACTTGTCATGCATCACTGCTCACAATCTTATCTCTCTTAATCTGGTCTGCAAAATAGCAATAATGATACCTATATTACCTGTCCTTTATCCAGTTGCTCTAAGATCCAAAGGAGATGATGTTCGTAAAATAGTTTTGGAAATGATGAATAGATCATGTGCTTTTTCATACATGCAGAGAATTCTTGATCTGTTTCCAAAATTTTATAATATATGGAATTCAAGTTGACATTGCTTAGTGGTTCAGAGCATGAATTCTGGAGCCCGCCTGCCCAGGTTTGAATCCTGGCTTTGTCATTTACTAGCTATGTGACCTTGGGACATTATGTAACCCCTCTATTCCTCAGTTTCCTCCTCTGTAGCATTGGAATAATAATAGGATCTACGTCGTAGGGTTTTATGAAGATCAGAAGAATAAAAGATACAGAGCCACACCCAGCACAATAAATGCAATACAAATATCAGTTAAATAAAAATTATCTTTCTTGAGAGGCCTGAGAGAGTTGGGCTGGGGGCCTTGGGTTTAATGTTAGCTGCTGCTAGCTTTCCTCAGGCATCACTCTTTTAAACCAGGTCGCAGCTCTGCCATGTTTTTGTGCTCACAGGTTAATTTTTAAGCAAGAAGTTTTGCTAGGGTAGCCTGACTTTAGATGTATTAAACTCAGAATAATATGTCATATTTCATTTTAAGGGTACATGAGGCAGCTTAGCACAGGTCTTGGGCAAGTGATATAAGCTCTCTCCAAGCCCCCAGTTCGGCCTACCTTTGGGAGTTGGGAAGACAGACAATGGAAAGGATTTTATATATATATATATATAAAAATTAATATATATAAATATATATTTTTATATATTATATAATATATAATATATATTAATATAGAGATATATATATCTCTATATATTTATAGAGATATAAATATATATATATTATATAATATATAAATATAATATATATATTATACATATATAATTTATATATATAATTAATATATATTTAATACTTTAAGTTCTGGGATACATGTGCAGAATGTGCAGGTTTATTACATAGGTATACACATGCCATGGTGGTTTGCTGCACTCATCAACCCATCATCTACATTAGGTATTTCTCCTAATGTTATCCCTCCCCTAGCCCCTCATCCAGCAACAGGTCCCGGTGTGTGATGTTCCCCTCCCTGTGTCCATGTGTTTTCATTGTTCAACTCCCACTTATGAGTGAGAATATGTGGTATTTGGTTTTCCTATGTTAGTTTACTGAAGATGATGGTTTCCAGCTTTATCCATATCCTGCAAAGGACATGAACTCATCCTTTTCTATGGCTGCATAGTATTCCATGGTGTATAGGTGCCACATTTTTTAAGCCCGCAAGCCACCTTAAAAATGTCTTGAAGATTCTGTGAAACTTGGCTTCATCCAGTTATCGTACCCTTTGTCTAACACCAAGTAATGCCTGACAAGAGTTTGACCAGCATGGTAGCCTGAAGATGAAGTATCATTTAACTGGAATAATAATAATATTTTTGCCAGGTAAAACATAGGATGCCCAGTTAAATGTGTATTTCAGATAAATGGCAAATAATGTTTTGCATAGCGGTGTCTCAAACATTTCATGGGACCTAGTTATATTACAAATATTTACTGTTCATCTGAAATTCGAATTTAACTGGGAATTTTGTATTTTTATTTGCTAAAACTGGCAACCTTTGATAATAGGATTTACCTCAGAGGATTTGGTGATTAAATAAAGTTATACAAGTAGCATGCCCAGAAGAGTCTTCACATGTAATATGTGTTTAATCAATGGAGGTATCTCTTAAGTAAATGGAAAACAATTTCCCGGTTCCGTAATGATTGCTGGGAGTTGACCATGCTAGACCATGCTAAATTTTGCATATTCAAAATAATCCAGCATTCAGCTGAATATTTCCCCGTTTCTGTCTGCTTTTTAGTTAGCTCCTGTCTTTCAAGTTATTTAAGAATGCTTATAGGCTAGGTGTGGTGGTTTACACCTGTATTCCAGTGCTTTGGGAGACTGCGCTGGGAGGAGAGCTTGAGGCCAGGAGTTCAATACCAGCCTGGGAAACATAGTGAGATCTTATTTCTACAAAAAATAAAAAAAAATTAACAGGGCATGGTAGTGAGCACTGCAGTCCCAGCTACTTGGGAGGCCAAGGCAGGAGGATCTCTTGAGCCCAGAAGTTTGAGGTTATAGTGAGCTATGATTATACCACTGCACTCCAGCCTGGGTGACAAAGCGAGATCCTGTCTTTAAAAATATTTAAATAAAATAAAAAATATATTTTTAAAAAAGAATACTTATAATTTCGTTATCTCCATTTCCACATTATATTGTAGATGCTTAGTAAATGTTTAAAAAATAGTCTGTGTTAAGCTTTGAAAAAACAAACATCCAGCCCAATCCTTTTTCCTCTTTTTGTTACTGAAAACATGGCTTATTAAGTTTTGAAGACTCTCTCTTTCCCAATCAGTAACTTCTACCCTCTCAATTCCTTCTACAATGACATAATCCAGCCTTTCATACCATCAGGCCCACTGTAAGAACTGATCCTGATACCAGGTACTTTGTATCCAGGAATGGAATCACACAGTGAATGGGTGGAGTTAGGCATAGCTTAGGTCTACTTTGGGTGCCCAAATGGTGAAGAATTGGCTTTTAATTGAGGAAGCCTTTCATCTGTAGACTGAGGCCTAAGGGAAAACACTCAGCAGGTTCTCTATGCCTCTTTGTGAAGACCCGGAATCTCATGACAAATGACCAGGGACTGAAGCCCCAGCCAAACAGCTAACCTTGTCCTGAAGGATAAGTCACACTGTGTGAGGATCATCTGAGGACTCTCCTAAGGAAGAGGAATGGACATGTAAGATCCTGGTCTACTGCATCACTCTATTCTATGCTCAGGTCTTACTAAAAGAGAACAACAAGGACAAGGCAATAGATACGGCTGCTGATCATTGGTCTGGTCCTCTGTCCCTGTGATGAATTCTTTATTGCTCACTCTAATTATCTCATCATCATTGTTTCTCATTGATGTGCTCCCTCTTGCTCTCCTTCTCATTTGTCCCCTGCCGCCACCCGGCCGCAAGACTGTAAAACTGTAAAACAAGATATTGGATATGGAGGAGTGACTGGTATGAAATGCACCTTTGAGTGTAACTTCCAGGAGTCCCTAAGAATCAAGTCCGTGCCACAAAATACAGTAGCTATTACTAGACAAGCAGCTCTCATAGATTGCTTTAATGAAGCTGATTTTTCATACACCTACTTCAGCTTTCAGAAGTTTTCCTGGAGGTTTGACTGCTTATGCATTGTTTCTCACTACTGGAGAATTTCTGATGTTTTCATTTGTTTGTCCTTTGAGCAGAGAACCAGCAATTGGATAACAAAAGTATCTCCTTTTAAGCACATTCAGTCTTTTGGAAAAATATTTAGAGCTTTCTTAAATATAATAACACATAATAAAAATGATCAGCCTGTAAAGCTACAAGTCCTCTCTGGCCTTTTGTGGTTGTTTTGTCTGCCTCCAGTCATTGCACTATCCTGCCATCACTTTCTTGCAGGGAAAAGACTTCCAAAAGTCTTATTTGCCACCTGGTCCCAGAGACTTCCCCAGTGTGTACCCAGTGGATGCAAGTGAGAACACCGCTTTTGGGGTCCTAAGCATGTGGGTCACAGTAGTTTGTGGGAACAATGTGTAATAAAAGTCTTCTACATTGATCAACTTTTGATATTTACGTTGGTTGGTAATGAGAGAAAGCTCATGTATGAGAGATAGGCATGGTTGGGAGTTTAGGTTCTTTTTGAATTCGTTCATATGGGTCCTTAGGCAAACCTGTTCCCTCTTGCGACATATGTTTTCATCCCGTGGAGCAAGACCAGCCTACCACAAAATGTGTGATGAATATTTTATTTCTGAACCTAACTACATGATTTTGTATGGAATAAAAACATAAGAAATTCATTGTCCGATGTTGTAGATGCTTTTTTATTGGCATCAATTGTCAGAGGTGTAATAATTGCAAGCATCCATATCACAGGAAATTCCAGAGAAGTGAGAAAGACTTAGAATAATAGAATTTTAATGCAGGGAGGAAGCTTAGCGATCACTCTGGCTGTGAACTGCATCTCCAAGGAGGAACTCACATCTTGGGACAGCCAAGGTGACACAGTAAGCTGGGGAGGGGCAGGAGAACTGGGACCAGACCCGGGGGTCTGCTCTCCTAAGCCCATGCTCTTCAACTGTGGCTCTGCAGAAATGTATGTGTTTTTTGTTTTTACTGAATTGAATGTCTGAATGAACTCCAATTCATTTGCAAAAAATGCCAAGAAAAATGTTGAGTTTGTTTTTTTAAATATCCAGAATTAAAAATGTGTGTTGCAGAGAATAACACCCTTTTAAGAATATATTATTAAACAGGATCACGGGAAGGCCTTTAAGGTATTAATGAGTGGATTTCACAGGAAGCAAACCATCATATATGATATAGTTACATTTTACATTTTATATCTTTGGAACTCAACTATAATTGAAGGCACTGATTGCACTTATAAGTGAATATTCTTTCTGCCCTCAATGTGTTTTCTGAGATAGGTGTATTTGTTCCAGTGTACTATATTTGTTGATTTTATTAAAGATTCTATTATAATAAAATTTAAATATTCACATTTCTGTATATAAAATGAAAGTGTAATATTTATTATATAATTATAATAAAACAAAAACAAACCAACACTGAAAGGATGGGGATCCACAATTTTACTTTCTTATTGTTCTAGCCTGTTAGGAAGTCTGTTGTTTATAAATTGTGGTTTCTGAAATAACCCTCATTTTTTTGCTACCACTCTGAAGTTCAGTGTTAATTTTTTAGCATCAGCTGTCATCCTTCCCATCACAGTCACCACTGGTAGTTATAAAGCAATTTCAGTTCTATCCATTAGCCAAGAAAAGAGATACTTATTCATAAAATACTTGGAAATTGTCAGAAAAATACAGAAATGGGCAGCATTGAGAGTGGATCGGTACTGGAATCCGTGCTATGAGTAAAGAAATTTGAAGTTAGAAGCATGTGTTAGAGAAATCTGTGGAGGACAACGAAAAAAATTAAAAATAGAACTACCAGTGGAAGCAATCCCACTTCTGGGTATTTATCCAAAATCATCAAAATCAAGACCTCAGAGAGATATTTGCTCTCCCGTGTTCATTGCATCACTACTCACAATAGCCAAGGTATAGAGATAACCTAAATGTCCATTGCTGAAAGAGTGGAAGGAAGCCGGGCGTGGTGGCTCATGCCTGTAATTCCAGAACTTTGGGAGGTCGAGATGGGTGGATCACCTGAGGTCAGGAGTTTGAGACTAGCCTGGCCAACATGGTGAAACCTCATCTCTACTAAAAATACAAAGATTAGCTGGATGTGGTGGTGTGCACTTGTAGTTTCAGCTACTTAGGAGGCTGAGGCAGGAGAATTGCTTGAACCCAGTAGGCAGAGGTTTCAGTGAGCCGAGATCATACCACTACTCTCCAGCCTGGGTTGACAGAGTGAGGCTCTATCTCACAAAAAAAAAAAAAAAAATGGATAAAGAAAATATGGTATATTCATACAATAGAATATTATTCAGCCTGAACAAAAAAGGAAACCATGAAATATGCAGCAGAATGGATGAACCTGGATGACACTGTGTTTAGTGAAATAAGCCAGTTACAGAAAGACAAATGTAGCATGAGGCATCTAAAATAGTCAAACTCACAGGAGCGAGAGTAGAAAGGTGGTTGCCGGGGGTTGAGAGTGGGAGGAAATTGATGTGTTGCTATTCAAAGGGCATAAAGTTGCAGTTAGGCAAGACGAGCAAGTTCTATAGATCTGCGGTACAACGTTGTACCTATAGATAACAATACTGTGTTGTACACTTAGACATTTCTTAAGTGGGCAGATCTCATGTTAAGTGTTCTTACCATAATTTTTTTAAAAAGTGATATGGAGGACCCAAAATACATCAGGCACTGCTTGTCTGTAAGCCACTGGAGAATGCCGTTGGCCTGTTTTCTGTCTTTAGTCCCAGCAGTAACCCCTCTATCATAGACATCATTTACCATGAAAAATGTGAACCCTAGAGAGAGTAAGTACTTTGCCCCAACTTATGCAACTGGAAGCATTAGACTTCATATTAGAGCTAATGATGAGGTCATCCCTGGGTGTGAAGGGTAGTGAGATCCTCCATCCTTGGGGGATGGTTAACCATCTACATCTTCTGTCCCATCTTCCAAAGCCAGAAAGAATCCATGGCTTAGGGATTCTCTGGTCAAAGGCTGACTTCACTGAAAAAGAAGAAGATTCAGATCAGTCTGTGCTGGGTGAAGTGACTCCAGAAATATGACGCAACTTATGCATTATGGGGAGCACACACCAAGGGGCCAGGCATCCAGGAGTGCCAAGACACTGTCCAGGCAGAAGATGAGCTTTCCCTTACATGGCTAGGTATGAATCAGACTCCAGCAATCCAGGCAGCTGTAACAGGAAGGCAAGTCTTCCTCCAATTCTGAAATAATTAGTAGTCACCATTAGGAATGTTGAGGCCAGTTAGTGTGTTCCTGTCTTCTAGACTTATCTACAGGGATCAGAAACATAGCCCTGACTGAATGGACCTCTGTCAACAGTGTAAAAGTCCTCTCTCATTCCTTGTCTAAATAGGCCTAATTCTTAGAGATCCCATAGATATCATAAAACTTATCTTTTCTAATAGGCAAGAGGAATATCACAATGCTAATTGCCTCTTTAAAAAAAAAGAAGTTCTGATTTGAAACCTGATAAACCTCTCAAGTAATGATTGGGTCATGTTTACCTAATTCTTATGCATCGGTGAGTGTCTAAAAGAAATCATTATTAAACCTAGCTTGCTGACTGCTTTCACTAAGTGTTAAATAATAAATAATGCATTTCTACTTCAATTAATCTACTTAGACATCTCACAGGCCAAATGCCTTGGTGGAGATGTTCTAATCTACAGAATCAATCCCCGGCATGACTCTGCCTCTTGACATTTGGAGCTCCCTAACACAGAGCTCTTAATTCCATATACAAGGTAAATGGATAATTTAGATGACCGAGTTCTGCCATTGTGCTCAGACTGATAAATAAGAGAAGGCACTGTAATGACAACTTGCAAATCTACTCAAGGCAAAATTTGGAATGAATCTTCACTCCCATCCATATGAGGCAATTTTTTCTTAATTTCATATGCTTGTACATTTTTCACCTTAACATGAAGGTGTGCGTGTGTGTCTAAGACTTTTGTAGAAGTGCTACGCATATTGTTTCCTTACTATGGGGTTTATTAAATGATCCAAATTCTAGTCTTATTAGGACTGCTTAAAAAGTATTAGCAGAAAGTCTGAGTATTCAAGATAACAAAAAAGTGTTTATGTAATATTAACTGTTATTTTGATATTTCCTTCTGATTCTCGTCTATGTAAATAAATATCTTATACAGTTGAAACCATAGTATACATGTCATTTTCTAACACTTTTTGATAATCATTATGTTGAAAGTGTTTCCATGTGACAGGAGCTTTAATAATTATAAATGTTAATATTAAGAATAATACCATGACTCATCTAAAAATGTACAGTGATTTAACACTCTTATTAATTTTGGAAGTTTCATTTGCTTCTCTATTTTTGTTATTAATTTCATAAATAATACTGACGTGAACATCTTTGTGCATAGAGGTTTTCTTTTTTCCTTTCTTTTGAGGTCAATGGTCTAAAGACATATAGTACAATTGCCACATGTAAATATATAGATTCACTCGATGCTTCCCAGGATTAGACATGATCACTGTGCAAAATATGTGATAATACAATAAACAGAAAGTTACTGTTTTTTTAAATGCATACTTTTAATTAATAGTGAGATTGAGACTTTTCCATTTCTGTGTTCACTAATTCTATGTTATCTTCTGCTTCTGCATATCATTAGGCTATGTATCTGTTGGCATCACTGCTTTATCATTTTAGGAGATTTCATCAAAATTTTGCAGGATTTGTAACCACATATAAGAGGAGTGGAGGATTAAAGGCAATCAATCAAAAGTATGGGTAATTGGTGTGCATTTCATATGCTGCTAATCTCAAGGAGTTAAAAACACACATCCTTTTAAAAATAGGAGCTAGAAAGTCCCCTGGAGGCAACATCTTTCTTCATTTGTTCCATACTTTGCATAGCATACTTCCTGGAGGACCCCTTTGTAAATTGTTGTGCCGTTGACTCAGATACTTTTTTCCAAGTTATCTCTGCTCACCCAGAGTACCCACCCTCGCCAAATATCGCACTCATTGTCATGCTTGAGAATGTCATCCATCACTTCTTGGTGGAGTTTGTAGGCCCTTGTTTATGCTGTGTCTTGTTCTGCCTACACCTCTGTTGTGGCTCCCCTCACCTTGTAATGACTTATTTATGCTTCAGTTTGTGCAACGGGCTGCGAGCCACTGTGAGAGCACAGGGGGTGGGGGGCTGTGCATTTTCATCTCCATGTCCTCAGTATACAGAATGGTGCCAGGAAGGGACTGAGTGCTCCATAAGTGCATGGAGGTACTCAACTCAGGCTTTCAGGTGCTCAATAAATGATTGTGGGTGATAAATGAATGGAATTAA
The DNA here is from genome assembly GCF_000001405.40 of Homo sapiens. Lineage (NCBI taxonomy): Eukaryota > Metazoa > Chordata > Mammalia > Primates > Hominidae > Homo > Homo sapiens. The sequence continues at coordinate 35,373,143 of NC_000021.9, read as the reverse complement.
ATTGAGGGATTAATTTTTATATCAGTATGCTATATTGATATGTAATCCATATATTAAAAGCACAATTTTTATATTAATAGTTAATATAATTATATAAATTATATAATTAAGTATAATATATAATTATACAATGCAATTTATAATTTATATATGATATCAAAATGGTATATTGATATGTATTCAATATATTAAAAGCCCATTTTTATATGAATATTTAATACAATTAATCATATAAATTATATAGTTAATTATAATATATGCTTATATAAATATATAAGATAAATAATAATTATTACATAATTATTAATTATATAAATTATATGAATCCTATCACATTGTCTTCTTCCTAGGGTCTAAATCAACGTCTGGTTATGAAGGGCCTAGAGCCAGATAGGAGCTTCTTACAGCTTTTGGCAGTTTCTGGTGGAGGCCAGCTCTCCTTGTCATCTACCTTGGCCTGAGAAGCCTGTTCCCCTCTGCAGAGGATGAGCTCAGGGCTACACCTTTCCTTCCAGGCTCTCATGGTGTGGTCCAGGCTCCATTTCTTTCTCTTTGAACCTCACTTCAACATGATTAGAGTGACTGAAGGTAAAGAAATAGGAACTGTTTTACCGTAAATAAATTAGTCCCTGCTACACTTTTTCTCTGTGTTGTTTCATCACATGTACTCACCTCAAAGGTCTTTTCAGCCCTTCACACCCCTGTGAGTTGCATTAAGCAATGTCACAGTGCTGCAAAACGCTTAGAAATATGTGTGTGCGTCACACAGAACTGTCCAGCCTTCAGAAGGAAAGGACCGAACATCTTTGTGCGTCTCCCTGTGGGAAAACAAAGATAGAAACTCAAATGGGCTCATTCTTTGCCTACATAAATATGTTTATCAGATGCAATTAGACAGCAGAGAGAATGGAGTCCAGTGTGTTGGTGGAAAAGCTGAGAAAAGTCCATGAGGTTTTTGAAGACTGAGGTTTTCCATTTTGTTGTTCAGAGAAAACTAGATTGGATGCCTTGAAAGAAATTAAGATATTCTAGTTTACACTTTTCTTTGATATCATGAATTTTGATAGAACAATTGTTCTTGGACAAGGTTTTTCTTAACAGGCAATCTAAAAATTTCCCAGTGGGGCCTTTACTTAAATGAAGGAGATTTGAAGAGCAAAAACATAGCTATAACTGATTTTCAAAATTATATAACTATAGGATTTAGAACCATTCAGCCTTCTGAAACGCTTACAGTCATGATCTAAGGGCGTGACTATGACTTTGATAGGGAGGTAAATAACAAAGCCAGTGTTGTCCTGGCCAGGAAGCCGTAGAGGTAAGCCACTTTGTCTTTACATCTAAGCACCCTGCCCTGCACCCGGTTCAGTAAGTAGTGATGTCGAGTCTTGCCCCAGTTTATCTCCCAGGGATATTAGAATAAACACATTTGGAAACTAAAGATGCCGTGTAAACACAGTAAATTTATCCCTATTTTTGTTTAACATCTTAAGGGCTAGAATTTCCAGCTGTCTCTTCACACAAACTTCTTGCTGAGAGAGGGGGCGAGGGTACTTGAATTCAGAGATGTTGATTTTTGCCCCAAATACAGCATTTTTGAACTACAGATTCTTACTAATACAGGGTAAATACACCTCATTAAGCGGGTGACTTTTACAGCAGGAGGGCTACAGTTTCACCTGGGAAACCACACATGGATTGAGTGTCCTGATACAGCAGTGAGACGTCCTCTGTTCTGTGCATTCTGTAACTACACACTGAGACGCCATCTCTGACAGGTAAAAGTGCTGCTGCTTGTGGTGGCAATGGATAGTCACACTGTAGAATTTTTTTTTAAATGCAAGTGAAGTTTGCCAAGTAAACACCTCTTTTCAAAAATTAGAACTTAGATTGAAACTCATTTATGAAAGAATCACATGGCTGTGTCAACAGCTTAGAAGAAATTCATTTTTTTTTTTTAACTTTTCCTATTACCCAGATAGGCAAAAATAAATTCTGGATCATCCACTGAAGTTTCCAAGTGGTTTCCCTGAACCAGGGTTTCTAAATAGCAGCACTATCAACATTTTGCTCCTGATCATTCTTTGTTGTTGGGGCTGTTCTGTGCACTGTAGCAGAAACCCTGGCCCTTCGGAAGCCAAAATCACCCGTGGTTAAAATATCACTGTTCTAAACTAAACCAAAGCAAACAAATATTGAGCAAGATACCTGGGACCCTGGCCTCAGTTTCCACTTTGTCACCCCTTGGTCCTTTATTGTCCCTTTCCATACCTGTAAAATGGGCGCAGTGCCATCTGCTTCATTCATTCACCCCGTGGCATGTGTCAGAATCATTGAAACAGGGCCTGGCATGCTGGAGATGATTGATAGATATTTGTTAAATAAATGATGAATGAATGTATGAGGGAATGGATTGAAGAATTTGAGCACACAATTTGGAGATCTCTAAGGAAGACAGTATCCTCCTTTCATGGGTTCCCCCTGCAGCCCAGGGGCCTCCAGGTGTGTTTCTGTGTCTGTTCTCACAGTGTGGATGGAAGGTGGGAAACGTGCCCACGCTCTTGTGTGTCTGTTATTCTTAAGCACTCAATCCCTATTGCACAACTGAAAGCTTTATCCCCTAACGGGATAATCCCAGTAGTGTATGTATGTGTTTTTGTTGTTGGCTAATATTTTTGTTTTTGTTTTTCATTTTGTCAAAATGTCAGATGTCAAACTAGACTCATACCATGGCAAAGCGCGTGCAAAACGAGAATACTGCATTGTATTATTCTGTTCAACCATAGCCCTCTCTAAAAGTTTACATCCCTTTCTTCTGATTCTAAGTGGGATTCATCATGTTCCTTTACTTTAGTTTCCTCCCACATATCCCCACCCTCCACCCACAACAAAGGCTTAACCTATAAGTAAACATACATGCATATATATAACAAAAACTCATCCTTAGCTCATTTAGTTTGTTGTAAGTGACTGGGTTAAGCCACAAAATAAACCACTGTTAAAAAATAAATAAATAAATAATTAGGAATAGCTTTGCATACATGTTCTTTGTAGAAAGCATAACATATTTCTACGAGGGAATAATAACATTCACTCACATTGATTTAACCACCAGCCCTAGGAAATTATTGACATTGCTTTCTGGACACTTATAGAAAATACCTTTGAGTTATAGCAACTCCTTTACTTCTCCATACTGTTCCATAAAATCTTTATAAACACATTTATTTGTAATATCTGTGTAAAAGCTATCATGGGCTCGCTTCATTTGTGTATTAAGTACGTGTCATCACAAGAAATAATGTAACTTACAGAGGTGAGAAAATTTAAGTTCATGCTAAGTTTTGCAGGTTTTTCAAACAACTAATTCTTCAGGTTAACTTCATTCTGCTGTTTTCTGAAATCTGGCATACAACTGGATAAGACAATAAATGGTATCAATAAATGCTGTCTTTCCTTTTGATTATTTTGATAATTAATAGAATAACTTATGACATATTTCAATTACATTATCTTGACATTGCTAAGAACACAGAATAATATTCCTGAAGTCTAAAGGAAATATTGTTGGCAACCACAGCAGTAATATCAGAGACACTAACAAGTTATTTTGATGCCATAAAATCTAATTTCTACTTTCAAAATATCATTTAACATGTTGAACACTGACTAAATTAGTAAGTGCATGAAGCAAAAGTTATTCTAGATCCAGGAGCATCTGACATTAGGGCAGACCCCTTCTGCTTCCTTGGATAGACCTTGGCCTGTTCCATCCACTTTCCATCCTATACCTAATTTGACTTTTTCAAAGTAGCAATGTGACCAGGTCACCACCCCTTTACTTCTCAAAAAGATGCCTCCCCAGCTTTGGTGCTGTCATCCCATGGAGGGAGGTGGATGGGCAAGACAGTGACCAGAGATAGCAAGAGATTGAACTCCCAGCCCTGAGCCCTGGTATATTCAGCTTTGATACATTCATGAGGGTGGAGTTCTCACGACCTAAACACCTCCCATTAGGCCCCATCTCCCAACATGGTTGCATCGGGGATTACCGTTTCCAATAAATTCTTTGTGGGGTACACGGTCAAACCACAGCACCATCTTTAATGACTTTATGTTTTTTCCTAAAAGAAGGCAAAATTCCCAAATGTGACCTGAAAGGGCTCTTTTACCCCTTCCTGTTTCTTCCGTTTTCTCAAACTGGAATTTCTAACTCTCTCTGGAATCCTTTTTGTTCCCTGTGCTTTTTAACTTGCCTTATTTCTCCTCTTAGTTTGATCTCATCTCAAGTGTTTCTGTCTTAGGGAAGCTTCTCTGAACTCAACACTAGGTCAGCCTCACAGCCCCACAGTCCACCCACTGCCCCTTAACAGGATGCGCTGAAGCTGGGGCTCTGCATTGATGTGTGTGATGCCCAGAATCCTCACCAGACCACCAGATCCAAGATAAGACATGCCATATTTGTCTTTCCTCACCATTGTATCTACAGCGTCTTGCATGGTGCCCAACACTGAATACATGCTTAGCAAATGTTTGTGGAATTAGTGAGTACATAGTGAGCACACCTATACCTTCTCTCCTTTCTTGTTCCTGATGATTCAACTCTGTTGAATAGTCATGACTTTTGCTTCGTCACTGGGAAGTGAAACGTCCACCAGTGGGTGTCCTCATACTGGCCTTGGCTCTGCCTCTTCAGGATGGTAATGATCAAGCATCTACTTCTTTCATATCATGGCCCTCTGCACACCTGAAGCAGTTATTATGTCTTTGAGTCCCCTTTTCCCTATTTATTCATTTTCTTCAACCATGCCTCATACTTGTCTTCATTTCCATTCCTGCCAGAGGATTACTTGCTGTCCTATCAGCCTGCCCAAGATCATCTCTGCCTTTGTTAAAGGAGAATGGTGAAAATCTGACCTAGGAAGCTCTCTGAGTGAGTTTCCTCATCTGTCACTAAATATTTACATCCAAATTGTATCAGAGGCTGGCAGAGTTGGCATCTTTATGACAAGCGGCAATAAATTAAATTTTTTCTAATATCATACCAAAGTTTGTGACAGCCGTAACCTGTCAAAATAGAAGAGAATACACAGTAGTTTATGAATTGTCCTTCCATGTGTATTTCTACTACTCAAGCTCGATTAAAAAACATAGCTTTTTGTTTTTCCTTAAAAATGAGTAGAGACCCCTACTAACTTTAAAGCATAATGTATACATTTTAATAATTATATATGGACTGTATAAACCCTGAACGTCTCAGCTCCATAGGTATTTTGGGGGAAGTAAGGCATAGGAAAGAATCGGACTGGAAGCACAAGCTGGATTTTGCCACCCTCTCTCCTTTCCAGAGGACTCTTCTGTTTGTCATGTGGGTGTGGTGCACACAGTGTGAGATGCCACTGGCTGAGCAAGGATTGCTAAAGCCATTTCAGCATAATAATGAACACGATGTTGATTTAGATTCTTCCTCCAAGGGGATACTTCAAGCCCAGGTGGTCAAGGGCTCTGAAGATCATTTAATACAGATCTTTTTCGGTCCACTGATGAAAAGTGCTACATTAGTACAGAGAATCATAATTGTTTTTATTATTGTTATTGAAACTGCGGTTGATCATCTTGATAGGCCTACTGTGGGGTGGATATTGACAAACCATCCTTTGATGTAATAATCTTTCTGGACATTTTTATTTATAAATGAATCTTCTGTCAACATCAAGTTCTCATTAGCATCATTAGCATTCTACACTCTTCTTGGTAGGATCATGTAAAATTGATGGGCTCAAATTTCTATTAAATGCAGCGCATGTTTCTGGGTTCTTATTTATACCGAGCATCTGGAAGCCTGGGATCATACTGTCTTGTAAATAAACATTACATTCAGTGATATCACCTTTCCTTTTAAAAGGGTCTTTAGAAAGCTTTTAAATGGCACAGGGATGGAGTGCTCATTATAAAGATTGGAAGGAATGAAGCAATCATTTTATGTGTATGGAATTTCTGGGTAATAAGTGCAAATTAACATTACAGAGAAATTGATGTGAACAGAGTACATTTAAATTGAGATGGGATCCTCAGATTAAGAGCAATTTTTATTTTCATGTATTTATTTGCCCAGAGGTTTTCCATGTTGGCCATCAGTTATAATGGGACATAATGCTGGATACTGAATACTGGTCAAATGATGAAACATTTTTTTCAAAGACCCAGGAACAGCTGCTGCTTATTGAGTTACCAACACCACTTCCTGAAGAATGTGATTTTGTTTCAAAGATAGCCAAGTACTGACCAGGCTGTCTCAGCTTAGTTTGAGCTGTGATAACGTGGCATGTTGTTGTCATATTATTATTAAGTACACTTCATAAAGTGATTCCAGATCCTTCTCCCCATTACTTGGGGGAGGGGAGGCTTTATTGACTTTTGGAGACTATAAATTGATATGGTACTTCTATGATTGAGAGACAGACGGCAGTGAGAGCGTTTGTAGGATGTATTAGGAAATTTCATAAACTCGAAAGATTCATGGAGTAGAATCTGGATTGCAAAATGCATGGAAGCTTACTGGAATCTGTGAACTTCTTAGGGTTACAAGAAAGATGCTGACTTGTTTGCCAAGCCCCACTCCTATGGGATTAAGTTTAAGGCCGACTTTCAAAGTATTTCTTGTGCTGCAAGATTTTGGAATGTCTCTGCAGTGAGACAGCTAAAATACTGTTGGTACATTTAACTCACTCATCTCCACCCTACATTTTCAAATTACTTTTCTCCTAAGCAGTGTAAATATAGAGATAATTTTTATACCTAACTTAAGATGCAATAACTTCATCATAATTCTCTTTTAGGTAAAAGTAAACATTTTGTCATCAAAAAGATTCTTGATCTACAATAAAATTATCTTTCTCATTGAATTGTAAAAATTAGAAAAGAATGAAAAATAGCCATACAAGTCCATACACAATGATCATAGCTAATAAATATTTTCATTGACATCAAAAATATATGACTAGGAAAAACATATGAAACATTTAAAACAAAAGAATTTCAAAATATAACTTGACCTGAAAATCCCACTTTTAAGGATTTATTCTAAGGGAACGGATAAGGATATACACAAATATTTGGTTAACATGATATTCCTTACAGAATTGTTAATAATAATGAAAACTGTTTTTTTATACAGTAAATACTATAGATATTAATATCCTTTTGGATAATTATAGTTATATATTGTAAAGATGTCCATTTAACTGTGTTAAGAGTGGTATAATTGTGGGTTAGTTTTTCTTTCCTTTCTTTCTAATCATTAATATTTTCTTATTTTAAAAATTAAACAGGCCAAGCATGGTGGCTCATGCCTGTAATCCCAGCACTTTGGTAGGCCAAGGCCAGTGGATCACTTGAGGTCAGGAGTTTGAGACCAGCCTGTCCAACATAGTGAAGCTCCGTTTCTACTAGAAATACAAAAATTAGTTGGGTGTGGTGGTGGGCACCTGTAATCCGAGCTACTTGGGAGGCTGAGGCAGGAGGATTGCTTGAACCTGGGAGGCGGAGGTTGCAGTGAGCTAAGATTGTGCCAAGCATTCCAGCCTGGGCAACAGAGTGAGACTCTGTCTCAAACAAACAAAAACATTAAACATATATAATTTATATAATCCAGAATATATTTTTAAAAATTTATCAGAATAATATTTTTCTGAGCAGATATCTCATTGTTTTCAAAAAGCTGTGAGAAGTAGATTGACACTATTCACTTAATACAGAGTTACTCCAAGATGCTCTTGAATCATTTTTTTAGGAAGGATTCGAAAGAATTTTTTTAGTATTCTTTAAATGGATCACTTTTCTATTTATATGCTATCAATTAAGAAGGGGGACTTATAGCAGCTTCTGATATGAAGGCTGTATTTTTAAAAAAGCAACAACCAAACCACTTTCAGGTGAAATTTATTTTTCCAAGAGACTTGATGAATGTCAAATTTTGATTCTTGGAAAACTACTTTGTTAGCATGCTGAGCAGTTATGGTTTACTTTTGGTGTGTTTGTGAAATACAGTGGGTATTACATACAACAGTTCTAGAGTAATGTCACTTTGAGGCCTCTGGTTCCTAAGTTGAGAGGACGTGAAAGCTATTAATTGGAGCAAAGTACCCAGAATGTAGCTGTCCAGGAATGAATGTGGAGTAGATGGAGGCATTTATGCAAAGGTAACCCTGAAGAGATTTGGCAGTGCTCTTATCATTCATTCATTTGGATCACCTGAGGTCAGGAGTTCGAGACCAGCCTGGCCAACATGGTGAAATTCCATCTCTACTAAAAATACAAAAAATCGGCTGGGCATGGTGGTGAGCACCTGTAATCCCAGCTACTTGGGAGGCTGAGGCAGGAGAATCGCTTGAACCCAGGGGGCAGAAGTTGCAATGAGCCGAGATTGAACCGTTGCACCCCAGCCTGGGCAACAAGAGCGAAACTCCATCTCAAAAAAGAAAAAGTAAAGATATTAAGTAAGCACCTACTATGTAGGAAGGGTTGAGATACAGGTAGGAAAATATATTGTTCTGAAGGAGCTCCTGGTCTAGTGTGAGTCTGATCAAACCAGATTATCCTAATACAAATCAGATCATCCTATTATACATTTAGGAAGAACAGTTTTAGAAAGATATGTGCAAGGAGTTACAGGAAGATTGAGAAAGATGGGGCAGCTAATTTGTCCCCATTTGCCTAAGACTTTCTTGGTTTTATTTAGAATGGAAAATCCTGCATCCCAGAAACCCCCTCAGTTCCAGACAAACCACGATAGTTTGTCACCCTAGAAAGGCCATCTAACCCAGAAAAGGCTTTCTGGAGGAGATCAGTCTGGACTTCTGAACTCAGTCTTCAAGTCAAGAAGGGCTTGGGGCTGGGCATGGTGGCTCACGCCTGTAATCCCAGCACTTTGGGAGGCTGAGGTGGGCAGATCACGAGGTCAGGAGATCGAGACCATCTTGGCCAAAGTCTCTATTAAAAATACAAAAATTAGCTGGGCATGGCGGTGTGTGTCTGTAATCCCAGCTACTTGGGAGGCTGAGGCAGGAGAATCACTTGAACACAGGAGGCGGAGGTTGCAGTGAGCTGAGATCGTGCCATTGCACTCCAGCCTGGCGACAGAGCTAGACTTCGTCTCAAAAAAAAAAAAAAAAAAAAAAAAAAAAGGAGGTGGGCTTGAAGGGGCTTGGAGGTAAGAGATAGGTTGGCAAGGGTGGGTGGGTAAGATAGGTTGGTAAAAGTGAGTGGGTAAGGGTAGGTGGCAAGGGTGGGTTGGTAGGTTGTATGTATGGGGCATTAGGGTGGGAATGAGGGGGAGATTCCAGGCAGGGGAAACTTCCTCGATAGAGAAACAACACAGTGTGTGTGAAGAACCATGAGACAACTCTAATGTCACTTGAGCACTAGTTGACTTGAATGGAGCCAGAAGAGATGAGTTCTTATCCTTTAGCAGGGCAAGGTGTATCAGATTGTGAGAGATGCTGTAACAAAGCACCACAAACTGGGCAGCTTAAAGAACAGACGTTTATTATCTCACAGTTCTTGAGGCCCGAAGTCCAAGATCAAGGTGCTGGCAGCGTTGGTTTCTTCTTCAGGTTGTGAGAAACCGTGCCATGCTTCTCCCCTGGGTTTTAGTGGTTGTAGGCCGTCCTTGGACTTCCTTGGTGTGGAAAGGCATCACCCCCATCCCTGCCTGTGTCTTCGCATGACATTCTCCTCGTGTGGGTTTCTGTGCCCAAATTTCCCCTTTTCATAAGGATACCAGTTATACCTGATCAGGGGCCCACCCTACTCCATGATGACCTCATCTTAACAAAATTACAACTGTAACACTCTATTCCCAAACAAGGTCACATTCTGAGGTCCTGGAAGTTAGGACTTCAGTAAGAATTTCTGCGGATATAATTTGACCATAACAGTGGGGATGGGTGGTGGAGGTTCAGAAGGGATGCTAAGAGGCCTCACAATCCTACAGCCTGGGGAGCTTGTTGTCCCTATTTGTTCACAGTGGCAGAAACCCCGAAGGTATTGGGGAAAACCCTGCCTCAGTCCAGTGGATGCACACTGCGGAACACTGGGAGGGATCTTGAAGTCCACCAACTCTCCAGCTATGGGTCTGAGAGGGGTTGGACCATCCCCATGCAGGCAGGGAGAAAGGAGAGGAACAGGAGGCCACCTCCCCTGTCGGCAAATACTGGATCTGCTGAGATGTCTCTTGAATTAAGAATAAACAAGATCAAACACAGCCTACTAAAAATTGCTCTAGGTCAAGAGGAAAGAAATGTCCTTCTGAGGAATGCCATTCAGTGGAAGCCTTCTAAACATTATTTACCAAGGTAACAAGAAGAAAATAATTTGACAATAAGCATGCAAATATATATGATCTCTCTGGAACAGCTGCAGAAACTGTGAAGAGATGACAATGATGATTGGAAGAAGAAGGATCAAAAAGAAACCAAATGTCAAATAGAATCAAAGGCTTCATTCCTCACCTTGGCTGCGGAATGGACACCACAGACAATAGCATCAACATTTAGAGCTCTCCCAGGACACAGAAGTAAAAGACAAAAAGATGAGAATAATGGGAGAAAAAACAGAAGGCAAAAGCACCAAAAAAAAAAAACAAAAACAAAACAGATTTCACCTGCAATTATGGCTGCTTATAAAAAAAGCCCAGACTGATTGGAAAAGAAGTTGAAAAAAACATTCTTGATCTGAAAAAAAAAACCGTAACTGTGCCTACATTTAGACATTTAATAAGATATTATGATTATACATTTAATTTTCATAGTTGCAATCATATTTTATCATAGAATTGTGTTGCTTTTTTTAACCCCTTAGCATTATATTGTGAGCATTTTCCATGGCACTAGATACATTACACAAAAGACTTGTAATGGCCACATGTTATTTTATTACATGACTATATCATAATTTGAGGATTGCACAATCTTATTTTGAAATTTTGCTGTTTGCAAATAATGGTGCAGTGTATGTTTTTGCTTATAGATTGTTTTTTATGCCACATATTATTTCCAGAGGATAATTTCCTAGAAATTGAATTACTGGGTCAAAAGACATTCAAACCAGAGGTTCCCAGACTTTAGGATTCCACAGACCAAGACATTTCCAAATAAAATAAAACAAATAAAGGCCCAAAATAGTGTTGTTTATGCTTTACTTTTGTCAAGCAAGTACACTAAAGAAAAAAGCCTGAGGTATGGCATGATTATTCATAATGGAGACTATATTTTACACCAAAAATTTGAAAGGATATAATCTCACAATACAGGACTATCTTTAAGCTGAATAGTTAGTTCCATGAAAAACTAAGTACACTGTCTTTATTCTTTTTATTATTTTACTTTGTATCAGTGACAATTTGATCAGGAATGGTAGCAGCCCATTAGTTGGCACTTTGGTAACACTGAGTAGGACACTCAGCTTCTGAAATATTGCAATGCATTTTGAAGATACAACTTTAACTTTCTTCTTTTGCGTTGTTACACATTCTGTAGATGGATGGATTTATGTGAAATATATCATTTTAAGTTCTTTTTAATAGTCCTAAAGACACCAATACTTTTGTTGGCAGGGAGTTCCGAAGCAGATTGGTCCTTTCTGCATTGCCAAAACAGCTCTGTCTTTTGAGTGAAAGGTGGAGGAAGGTCCATGGTCTGGAGCAGAGGTAGAAGACAAGGGCTCTGCAGCTTGACCTGGAGTGAAATTCAGGTTCTGCCACTTTTTTGCAATGTGGCAAGCCTGAGGGTACCTGACATGGGCAAGCCTGAATTTCCTCATGCACGAAATTGGGGCTGATACTCCTACCTACTTCATAAGATGGTCATATTTTTAAAAATCACCCACATCACTTAGTACAGTACCTGTCATATTCTAAGTGCCTTACTATAAGTTACCTATTCTTTCTGCAGATTACCATTTGTTTTCAAACACTGTAAATCAAGAGGCAACAAACTTTTTCTGTACAGGGTCACACGGTAAATATTTTAGTCTCTGTTGCAACCACTCAGTACTGTTAATACATCGATGAATAAGTGTAGCTGGCTTTCAGTAAAACTTTATTGACACTAACATTAGAATTTCATATAATTTTCATGTGTCATGACATCTTCTTCTTCCGATTTTTTCCAACCATTTAAAAATATAAAAACTATTATTAGCTCAACGGCCATACAGAAACAGTTAGCTCTGGAGGCTGCAGTTTGCCAATACCTGCTGTAAACCATAAGGAGATGTTAGAAAAATTTTATCCAATAGTACTTTTGTGAATAACACATTTTCTTGTAACTAGGATTTAGAATCATTATTTTGAAAGGAAAGTTTTGAAAACATTGCACGGATCTATGGCAAGAAGAATTGTAGGATTGTTATACAAATCCCTGGTCCCGCCTCCTAATCCAGGGAACAGGGAGATGGGGCCCAGCCGGCTGAGTGGGCTCCTAGAGGTCCCACTAGAAGTTTGCCCCAGGTGAGAGTGAGGACTGACACGGAACATTCCTGAATCCAGGCCTGGTGTTCTTTCCATGGCACAGAATCACATGATTTTATATTGCATACTTTGTAGTTAACTAGACACTGAGATTTTTATTCGTCAATGAAAAGCTTATTCAAAACTTTGTTCCCCTGAGAAGAAAAGATAAACAATAATTTCACGTGGTAATTTTCCAAATTTCTGTACCATATCTACATATCCAAACACAGCTGTATGAAGGCACAAACTGGCTCCAGGCAAAGAATAAGCCTGCTCACCCTTGTTTCAAAGCAAGGCGTGCTGTTTGTTCAGTCAAATGTACTACAGGGCCCCCACCCCAAGCAGAATAAAACAATAAATCCAAACCCCAAAACAGCTGTTGACGATACCCGCCATTGGCCCTCTCTTTGCAAGAGAAGAGAGAGAGAAAGAGAGAAAGAGAGAGAGAGAGAGAGAGAGAGAGAGAGAGAGAGAGAGAGAGAGATTGATTTCACATTTCAAACAAAAATATACACATGTATTATTGGTTAGTGAAGTCCCTTACTTCACAATAATAATTTTAACTGAATGATATCTTGGGCAGCATTCTTAGACTTAGGAGTTTTGGGGTTGTTTGCTTTTGCTTGGGAAATGGTGGTTTTAATTATTTCATTTTTTTAAAGAAAAAAAACCAACCACTTTATTGAGGTCTAATTAACATACAAATGCTGTGCATGTTTAGTGTACACAACTTACTAAAGACCTATGCGTTTTTGACTGAAATGTATTTATATTATATACTTATTCCTTGAGGTTCAGAACTAGCTTTGTACTAAAACAGGACTATAGGTGATTAAAACTTTTTCTCTGTATTTTCTATCTTTTTATAATATGTGAACTTATAGGTATATGACTCTAACAATGTTTGGAACAGTAAGAACATGAAGAACAATGTATTTTGTATGAAAGGATTTTTAAAGAGATTCTTTGTACTTTTTTTCTTTTTAAAGATTCTTATACTTTATAGAACTTTATAGAACCATGCTGTCTACTACAGTGACCACTTTTTACATTGAAATGTGGCTGGTCTGAATTGAGATGTACTCTGAGTATAAACTACATGTAGGATTTCAAAATCTTAGTAGAGAAAAAGAATGTAAAATATCTCATTAATATTTTGGTCTTGCTTACATTTCAAGATAACATCTTGCCTCTATTAGTTTAAATAAAATAAAATATTACATTTAATTTTACTTGTTTCTTTTTACTTTTAAAATATAGCTACTAGAAAATTTTCACTTGCTTACGTGGATTGCATTTTCGTGGATTGCATTTTCTTTCTGCTGGGCTGTGCTGTAATAGCTGTTCAGCTGTCATCAAATATGTCTGGGATGATTTTCAAAAAAAGTTCACAGGAGTTAACTCTGGAGAAAGGAACTGGGAGACTTGAGGGTGAGAGATTCAACTTTTACCATTTATTCTCTTGTGCCTTTAACTTTTTTTTCCCCACATGCACATATTACCTATTTAAAAATAAAATATTTAAAATAATTAAAAAAAAAGAAATTCTTACAGAAAACACTGCAGTTAAATTAGTGTTATTTGTTAATAGGAAAGGTTTTCTTTTTTTTTTCCTGTTCAGAAAAAGGGCTATCAGGGCATGCTATTTGTTGTTGCTACTGAGTGTGTCTGTGTGTGTGTATGTGTGCATGTGTGTGTTCATGCCAGGGTATGTGTATTTAAAATATTCTCTTACGCACAGAATTAGATTTGATTGGCTCAGGGCCTTAGTCTCCCAATATACCAAGGAAAGTGTAGCTTTTATAAATTTTCAGTTAGAGAAATAAATAATATTTTGTGGGAAAAATGAAAATACATTCCCAAAATATCTTGTATTAAAAGACAGCCAGTACATAGAGTTTTAAAATCCTGGCCTGGGACCCTTCTTCCACAAAGGATGTAACTTAATGATCCTGTGGTTATTTAAAACAACAATTTTTTTTTCAAGGGGCATAAAAATACAATTGTCTACTTTTAATATAAATTGAGTTTACTTTCCTCTTAAAAGGAAATCAATTACAAAGCAATAACCTTGAAATTAAATACTTTATTTCAACTAATACTTAATTATCTTTTATGAGAAAGTATTCCCTAAAATATAGCCAAAGATCAAATTGTTAATTTCATAATTATCAGTTTTATTACTAGTGATCTGGTTTATCACAGTCTTAAGCAAACAAATTCTAAGAAGCTACTTTAAGTACTAATTTGTGTTCAGTTAAGAACTTATTTTTCTAACACTATAACGTGATAAATTACATAAAACTCATATGTTAAGAATTAATTACTGCAACGTCACTATTTAGTATTATCTTAAACCATATGAAACTGCTTTTATGAGATCAGCTTTGCCTACCAAAATGTTACTTTTAATATGATTCAACCCAATACTGAGTGAAGTGTCATCACTTCCCTTTTACTGTCTATTGGAAAATTACAGCTATGTTCTAAGAAATATGGGTCATTGTTTCTTTATATATTTTGGTCCATTTATTTAGCCACATGTCTCAAGCATCTACTTTATAGTTAAACAAAAATTGGTGTCCTCTTTTAGTAAGTTTATTCTTCCTGTAAATGGTTTTCCAAGCTATCAAGCAATATGATCTCCTATCCTATGATTTTCAGAAAAGCTGTTGTTTCATTGTTGAAATATTATAGCTGTTTAGCAACTTTCCTCCCCACATTGTCAGTACAAAATCACTATTATCAATTTCAAAATATGGTTAACAAAATAGTGCTACTGTCTTAGTCTGCTCGAGCTGCCATGGACAAAATATTGTATATTGGGTAGCTGAAACAACAAAAATTTTCTCACAGTTCCAGAGGCTGGGATGTTGAAGATCAAGGCACTGGCAGAATCAGTTCCTGGTGAGGGCTCTTTTCCTGTCTTGTAGACAGCCACCTTCTTGCTGTGTCCTCATGTTAGAAAGAAAAAGAGGGAGAGCACATCCTACAGCGTCTCTTCTTACAAGGGCATTCATCCCTTTATGGGAGCCCCATCCTTATGATCTCATCTAACACAAATTATCTCCCAAGGCCCTGTCTCCAAATACCATCACACTGGGGGTTAGGATTTCAACATCAGAATTTTGGGGAGACATAACACCCTCAACACTCACAAGAATAATTAGCCATCTCTTTTATACCACTAAACATTCCTTTCTAAATACTTCCAAGAGGGAAGAATCTTTTTAAAAAAGTATTTAATTTATTTGCAAAATATCTAAATTACCATTTGCTTACTCCAACCTATCTTTCCTGGGATCAGTTACGTTTCTGCCTGTTCACTGCACCCTTAGCTCCAGGCTCTAAAGAGTATTTCCTTGTCTTTGAGTAGTTCAAGGATTAGACCTTCAGGCTTTCCATCAGGATGGGTGGCATGTTCTTCCACATTCCTTTGCCTACTTGCCTTCTATGCCAGCTGCTTTGTTGCTCATCCTTTAAGGTCCAACTCAAAGGGTAGCTTTTCTACGAAGCTCTTTCCACCTCTCTGAGCAAAACTAGCCCTCCCTGCCACTCATTCCACATGCTGCCTCACTCTCCCCTCTATCCTTAGGTTCTCTGGTTATTGTTGCCATGTCTTCAACATGTAAAGGATTGTGTCCAGCACAGTGTCTTACACATGGTAGGAGCTCAATGAATGCAGGTAGCATGAATGGTTACTATAATTGTTATAGTTACAAGGGCCGTGGGTTCAGTCACATGGGTTCAAGGGCTTACTATGCAGGAGGTAAAAAGTTCCTTAAATGCATTGCAGCTCTTGGGGAATAGGAGATGAGAGCATTTGGAAGTCTCAGAAGACCCCATCCTAAAGATTTGAAGTTTCATGTAAGTCCAAGGATTTCAGGGAGGAAATCCCTGAAATTTCATTCTTCAGTGCAAGGCCAGCCTGTGAGCTGTTGCTAATTCTAGATTCAGGCAGACATATGAGAGATCTCTGCTCCAGGTGGGGGTCCTGATGCTCACAGGTACCAATCTTAGCTGTTCGTTGGCTTTTGCAATTTCCTTACCACCCCAACCCCTACATCTCCAGTTGTCTTTTTCTTCTGTTGGGCCAACATCCTTTGGAATTATATCAGTCTTATCATAATTTAATGAGCTTTCCTGGGAGGTTTTTTTCCCCACTGTGGACACATAGCTATGATTTTATGAAAGCCAATGAGATAATTGAGTGATTTTTTTCAAATCCAGGCTTGCTGGGTTACATGTATGTATTATATTATGGTTAGAAAAAGAAATATTGGTGTTTAAAGGGAAAGAAAAATCCTATACTTAACACTGAAATAAAATATAGAAATAAAAGAATCAAGTCTGTCACAGGTAAGGAAAGGTGCATCTGATCAGAGGCAGATGGAAAATGAGCATTTACTAAAATGCAATGCTGATGATAATTCAGGCCCGCTTAACAATGTGAACTTGAGAAGCTTCAAAGGATACATTTTAGGGATAAAAAGATTGCGAAGTCCCTCCCCTTGCTTAGAGGGAAAATCTCATGATTCCTTAATGTTCAGCTTCCAGGATTTGCACGCTACATTGAAATGATAGCTTTTAATGCATTAATGTTTATATAACTACTATTTTTGCAGACATTTAAATTATAGAGAACAGCAATTGTTGAGGGGAAAAAACAAATATAAATAAATAGAAGCTAGAATTTTTCCCCTTCAGAGGTAAGTGTTTGCTATTCCTAGCAGAGAATACTCGTACTATTTGTGTGAGATTGTTCCTCAGGCCAGCAAAAACTAGTTTCTCCCAAAATAAAAATGCCACAAGGAGAAGAACATACAATAGGCTAATAAAACAATTTTTGATTCTTGACAAGTAATATAATGAACAATATTATTTTTTATAGGTATGTTGACTCACATTAGCTATTTCTGTCATTTTCATAGGAAAAAGCCAGGAAGAATGCATAATTAGAGTACATTTCACATTATACATCCTTAGCTTGGGCACAATGTTTATCTCATGTTACTTAATAGCTTGGGATTTTATGTCACTAAATACATGTTTGGAGATATGGTATCCTATTTGTGAATTCCCAGGTTGAGGAAACCTAAATGCTGCATGAGTCCTTCAGGCAGGGACAAGGGTCTCGGGGTGAGGTGTAGAAGTGAGCCTTGGCAGGTGAGCACACATCTCTTTGCCCAGACAATCCCCAGTTTGGGCTAGTTGTCTTTGGGGATAACTGTACACCTCTCCACTCTCACTCTCAAAAGTATCCTCATTTATTGGATGATACATTGTATGGTTATCTTTGACTTGGGATACACATGATGGATGGAGGGGAAGCATCAAGCTTAAGCCTCTTGTAACACTGTAAGACCACTCAGGCCTCCTTCAGGAAAGGTAGTGGTAATAGTCTTTGACATGGGCAGTTGATGCTTTCTGGGTCTGTTTTAGTCTGTTTTCACACTGCTAATAAAGACATACCCAAGAGTGGGTAATTATAAAGAACAAGAAATTTAATGGACTCATAGTTCCATATGGCTGGGGAGGTCTCACAATCATGGCGGAAGGCATCTCTTCACAGGGTGACAGGAGAGAAAATGAGAGCCAAGCAAAAGGGGAGACCCCTTATACAAAAACATCAGATCTCGTGAGACTTACTACCATGAGAATAGTATGGGGGAAACCACCCCATGATTCAATTATCTCCCACCACATCCCTCCAACAACACATGGGAGTCATGATAGCTACAATTCAAGATGAGATTTGGGTGGGGACGCAGCCAAACCATGGCAGGGTCTTATATAAAATGTGAGGACTAGCCCCCTTTAAAAGACTTAGCTATTTTTATTGATCTGTAATTTCATTTATTAGCAGAAACATTGTGTTTGCTGTGTAAATTCATCATCAACAAAATCCCCTAGCCCCTGCTCACTGCCTGCCTCCACCAGCCATTGGCTTCTGTCCCCAAATCCCACTTAAATATTGACACCGACACTCTGCAGTCCTCACTGCCAAGAGCTATCCTGAAAAGGGCATTGCTGAGGGTGGAAAGTATAAAAATCGGTGAAAGGGTGGAGGTTTTAGGAAGATAAGAGGGAACCTGGACCAGGGATCATTCCAGCTAGAGGGAAGGAAGAGATGAAGCAGTTCAAGAGATGTCAACAATAAATATTTTGAGAATGAGGAGATATCTGTATACCTGTGTTACAGCAGCATTATCCATAAGAGCCAAAAGATGGAAGGAACCCTAGCATTGGCTGACAGAGGAATGGATAAGTAAAATGTGGTCTATCCATACAATGGAGTATTATTCAGCCATAGAAAGGAATGAAGTGCTGGCACATGTTACCACATGGCTGAGCCTTGAGGACACGTTGCCCAAGTGGAAAGAAGAAGCCAGATGCACAAGGACAAATACTGAATGCACCACTTTTATGAGGCACCTAGATTAGTCAGATTTATAAGACAGAAAATAGAACCGTGGATGCCCAGGGGCTGAGGGGAAGGAAAGTGGGGAGTTAGTGTTTCATGGGGACAAAGTTTCTGTTTGGGAAGATGATAAAGTTCTGGAGATGGATGGTAGTGATGGTTGTACAGCAGTTAGTAGACTTAATGCCACTGAACTGTAGGCTTTAAAATAGCCAAGATGGTGAGTTTTATGTTATATATATTTTACTACAATTAAAATACTCTGAGTAAAGGGCGGGATGAGCACAGGGATAGGATCATGATTCAGTGTTTCTTGTTTGGTGTATTAGTTTTCTAGCTCTGGTTCTGTAATAAATTACTATGCATTTGGTGGCTTCTAACAACAGAAGTTAGTTTTCTTACAGTTCTGGAGATCACCAAAATCCAGGTGCCAGTTGTTTCCTTCTGGAGGTGCTGAAGAATCTATTCCTTGCCTCATCCTGGCTTTGGGTGGCTGTTGGCAATCATTGCCATACTTTGGCTTGAAGCTGCATCACCCTGTTCTCTGCCTCCCATGTCACATATCCCTGAATCTCTGCATGTCAAATCTCTCTCTGTCATCTTCTTATAAGGACACCTAGCATTGGATTTAGGGCCCACCCTAAATCCAGGATGACGTTATCTTGATATCGTTAACTTAATTACATGTGCACAGTTTCTTCTTCCAAATAAGGTCACATTCACAGGCTCTGAGGCCACATATCTTCTAGAGGTGGCCACAATTCAACCCACCACCTTTGGGAAGAACTGGCTTTACTCGGAATTATAAAGCAAAGCAAACTTCTTACTGGTGAACTGCACCCACACCTTCCAGTAGGTTCATAAAATCCTCTTCCAGTCTCCCTACCTGACCGCCTTCCCCTTTGGGCCTGCTTCACCAGTTCTGGAAGACGCCTGAGCTTAGAAGCTGCACAGGTGAATTTTAAATTCATGTGTTGTGTGTCATTTCCGTGTCTGGTGAGAGACCAAGGAGACTGGTATCACAGGAGTGAGGGAAGATTCCATTTGTTACCCCTCCAGCCACAGACTGCGATTTAACGAGTCTCCTTAGGCAATACAGTGACTCCAGGGGTCATTATAATAGTGGAAATAGTATATAAAACGCACACTAGAGCCTTGGAGCTGTCCTTAAAGGCATGCTGTATCAACACCCACCCTCTTGCCAAGCTCGATTGTCTGCCTGTTACTCCCGTCTATGCCTTTTCCTTGGCCAAACAAACTTCTTCCAGATCCCTTTGATCATTTTCTCTTTCCTTGCCAGAAATAAACTTTGTTATCCACTGCGTCTGGAACATCCTCCTACTTTCCAAACCATACTGTTTTTCATTTCTGCATTGATTTCAGTCTCCCTCCTTCGGGTGGGGTTAAGGGTGTCATGACATCGTTGCCCATATGCTTCGTTAAGATGGTGGTTTTTAAAAACAAATGTGTCATTTTGAAAAAGCCAGAGAACCATATAGTCATCCACTTTATTGTAACCTGTGCATTGGACCAGGCTGCAGAAAAGACCTCTCCGGAGAGATTCCTGGAACTCCTTGATCAGAATGGTTTTGGTTAAGCCAACCCATCTGGGTAGGAATGATTTGCAGAGGTAATACTGGAGGGACCTGGGCAAGATGCATCCCTAGCGAATGAAGCGAGCAAAATGCCACAGGGTTCCTTGCCCCAGAATACAGAAAAGTATGGGCTACATTAACATAATTTTTTTCTTAGCTTCAAGACTCTCATATTGCATTTGAATTATAAAAAAACTGCTCAGTTCACTGGATGGTTTGATTAAGTAAGCATTCTCTACTTACATGGTGAAAATAAATATCAGGAGAATAATCACACATGCCAAGTGTGTCCAGTGAAGCAATACGTGTAGGCAGCTTTGGAAACAGTGACACAGTGATTATCTGTGCATAACTTGGTCATAATATCATCACTGTCTAGACTACTAGACAATTAGCATCCAGACATACTATAGCTCAGATTGAGGAAGGTTATTTAGAAAATGAAAGAGTAGTCTTATTTGAGAAAGAAAGACTGTTCATTTTTCTCTAGAAAGGTATATATTGGAATTTGACTCTGGATTGAGATTATGCTTTCATGTTCCCCTTCCTTTTATGAGTCTCCGGTTGGTTGGTCCATGTTCCCATTGGTGGAGGTGATAAGCTATTACTTCTAATCATCTGGTTTAATAATTGTAAATATATTTGGTGCAAGGCATATTTTGTTTGCTGGGATAATTCTCCCCAGTTTCTACCTCTTTATCCTTCTCCCTCTACATTGCTTTAAAGGACAGACTTTTGCTTTTAAAGAAATACCAGTGTTGTGGAAGTGCCTATGTAGAGGCTACCCTCTGCAGCATCCTTAGAGAAGACTACCAAATCTAAACAGGGGGTATGTGTGCGAAAAGAATAGCATGCATCTTCCAAGTCATTTTATCATGTTTTTAATCTTCTGGAAACTTGGTATGACATAAATTCATAGAGTGGCAGAGGCTGCTATGTGTTCACAAAGTCTCTTTCTTTCTCCTTCTCCTACAATAGCTAGACCACATTTCCCAGTCTCTCTTGCAACAGGGTGGGTCAGGTGACTGAGTACTGGCCAATGAAACATGGGCAGAAGTAATTCATGCCACTTCTAGATCTGACCTGAAAAATCTCCAACTGAGCTCTTCATGCCTGCTTTATTCTCTTGTCCCCTAACTAATACAAATGAGCACCAGAAAGCTTTGGGAGATAATAGGTTTAGAAAAAGCTGGAATGCCATGACACCACTGTAAAGAGAATACCCCCACCTAGAAATCCTGTGTTTATGGTATGAGAGAGAAATACATTTTCATTTTATTAAGTCACTGAATGTTTTAGGTTGTTAATTACAGCAGATAACTAACCTATAACTGAACAATATATACAGCTAACACTATGCTTATTTATTTAGTGTACTGAAACAGGGAAACTTTGAGATGTACCTAGGGTAACTGAAGTCTGCTTTCCATCTGAGTCTGAGAAACCACATGCAGTGTAATTTACTGTGAGTCACTCTTTGCATGAACATGTCCCATGTAATCAACGTGTTCCCTGTGGAGCATCTATTGGTTTTCAGTGCCCAAACTTCATAGAGCATACATAGCTTTCAAAACAACACGTTTGGCCTATGTAGGAAACATTTATGCTTACATTCCCAAATGTGTATACATCATCTAGTCTAGCTACAAGAATAAAGATTGGACAAATCTAAATTGACAGGCATTTTACAAAATATCTGACCAGTACTCAGTCTAGGAAACTTAGTACAGGGTCTAGGAAACTGTCATGGCATCACGGCCAAGAGGAGCTTAAGGAGATGTGATGACTGAATGTGAAGTGGTGTCCTGAGGGGATGCCAGAAAAAGGACAAGAGGTAACTCCAGGGAAATGTGAAGTATGGACTTCCACTTACGATAGTGTATTAATATTGGTTCATTAGCTGTAACACATGTACATAGCAATGTAAGATGTTAACACTAGGGAAACTGAATATGGAACCTATAGGAACTCTTTATACCGTCTTTTCAACTTCCCTGTAAATCTAAAGCTGTTCGAAGATTAAACAATAACATTTGAAAAAGTAAATACACCATTTCTCACAAAACGTCGTGGTGGAAAGATCTCTCATTACTTTCCAAATACCATCAGGTGACCATCCGTGGTCAGGTGAAAGAGGGGAGTGCATTCATTGGGCATTCCCAGCTCTGAGAGACGCCATGACCTGCACACCCACAGCAGCTGTTGCTAACAACCATGCTCATTTCTACAGTGATCATGAAGCAAATTTGTAAGCATCTCTCATGTTAGCCTAACATTGATGCATGAAAGTCAGCAGGAGGTGGAGGGGCCTGATGTTGAGTGTGAGGAGACCCAAGATAGCCTGGCACCATCATGACCCTCTGAAATCCATTTAATCATAACTGCCCTCCATTGTGCTTTTGCTTTTCATCTGTTCTGTTCCACCTCAGCATCTGAATTATAAATTCCTGAAAGGACTGGCTGTGTTTTCTTCGTCTTGCCCTCAGGATCTCTGCAGTTGACATGAACACACCTGCACATGCCCACACCTGCGCCCAGGGCCTCACATGCAGGAGGACTTCGTAAACTCTGGTACACAGGAAGAAAATTATTGCAGGGTCGTTGGACCCAGAAAAGCATCACGGGCGGAGGATGTTGAAGCTTCTGACCAGGACAGAGTTCTTCAGTTGATAGCTGTCCAGAAGTTTCGGCAAGACGTTTGAAGGAACCACAACCCAGTCTAACCAAAGGGGTGGTTGGTGGAAGGTGAAGGAGTCACACACAAGTGGAAACTCCAGCAGAGATCCAAGAAAGCAGGAGTGATGCATTTTCCCCCATTACGTTTTTTTTTTTTTGGTTTTTGTATTAAATATCCACCCTCCCTCAAACTGTTGAAAGAGTTAATGTTTTACTTTTGTCCCTACAATGAAAACATCACACCAGAGATAGAAAAGCCAGCTTTCAAAGCACATGCTGAAATAACAAAGTTGCTTTTAAAATGAGTACTTAAGAAAATGGCCATTTGCACTGGCGTGGCACCAACGTGGTTACAGCAGTATTTATTTTTCTATGGAATGTGTGAGCATGTTGTGGGTTGTAAGTGGAACCCTGGCCAATCCCAGCCAGGCATAAAGGAATCATTTAGGTTCCCTTCAAAATCATTAGAACTATTAGTCCTGACTTGAAATGAGTGAAATGCACAAACTCCTGCCAAAGAGAGAACCAGTGAGTTCTGCTACTTTTGAAAGTCATCAAAGCCAACTTCTCCAGGATGAAATATTTCAGAGCAGAGTGCCTTCCTGTGCGACTGTGCAATGTATATGCCAGGCTGGGACCTTGGCTGTCTCATAGTTCTCTACCTTGTTGCACAGAGAAACTGTCATTAGCCACCATCCTAGTGTCCAGCAAGTATGCTTCATGAGGCATCATAAATACCTGTGTTACCTGGGGGTGAAAGACATACACACAGGAGGTCATCCTTCCTGAATAAGTGAGCCCTCGATTCCAAAGAGCTCTTCCTGTATGGGAGGGCATGACCTCAGCTCTCCACTGTACTGAAGTTGTCCCCCTTTCACAGTATGGTGAGGACTATTTATTTTACTGATGGTTAAATAGAGGCTTTCTTGACACCTACAATACTAAAATCCTTTCAAAACATGCTGATATGCATGTGGTTTGGAAGAGAACATTTGGATAGATGAAATAAGTTTTTTCTTTACAATGAGTGTACACACCCACGTCATTCCAATGATTACATATACTTTAAATTTGGACAAGCCAGTTAACCCTGTAAGATCTAAGTGATCTTATCTTTTAAATGGAGGGATTGGCCTTAGCCAGAGATGTTTAAACTGTGGGTTGTGAAATCAGTTTAATGGGTTGCAACCAGCATAGAAAGATAAAGAATAGAATAGAATAGAATAGAATAGAATAGAATAGAATAGAATAGAATAGAATAGAATAGAATAGAATAGAATAGAATAGAATAGAATGGGAATTTTTATTCGTTTGCTTTTTGCAAGTGGCAAGTGGCGGTTTTTAGAAGTGGATTATTAAAAACACTTAAGTATATGTCCACTGTGTTGCAATGGAAAATGTATTTAAAATTCTGAAATCCACCTGTAGGGTTGATACACATAGTCCCTTACTATAGATCAGAGCTTTTTTTGGGTGCTTATCTTCCCTTGCCCCTGCAGCCTGCTTCTCCATCCTTCTCCATGCTGCTCTCTGCCCTAGGGGGATAATCTCTGAGGACTGCCTCAAAGGGCCTTCCTGTTATCTAGTCCTCAGTTGGGCCCAGCAGGAAATGGAGAGGGGGTGGAAAGTGAAGTCAGGCTTCATTTCTTCAGCTCCCATTCTGTGGAGTCACTCGAAGCAAGCTGTGTTTCTCCTTTGAGAAATATACTTGGCCCATCCCATTTCATCCTTAGATCATCTTAGTTTGAATGGGTCGTCTGTTTCTTCTAGAATTGGGACGAATCAGTGAGGTAGCCTTAAATTGTAGTAGTATATGGGTTGTATCCAAAATATTTTTACATCTAAATTTTAGGGAAGAGGTAAGGGATCATTGTGGTCTATAAAGTGCTTATCTGGTGATCGGGAGGCTACTATATTTTTAAAATGTGAGAGGTAGCATATGTGCATTTTTGATGCAATCGGTACAAATGTATTTCAGAGATTAGCTAAAATCCCATTTTCTTGACTGAGGGCATTCCTCGATCATTGCCAGGCAATTTAGAAGATGAATCATAGAAAAAAGCCTAAATGAACACATTTTAGTTTATCGTAGTCAATCAAGATTTATTGTTCAATTTGACTTTTTCAACCGACATGAGTGTGAGATGAAATTTCATTTGGATGCTTTCATTTATCTGGCATTCTTCTAGGTGTTTAGGATGCATCAGAAAACAAAACATAGATCCCTTCCCTCATAGAGCTTGCATTCTAGCAGGAGATAGAAATTAAACATTCATTATCACTGAATGCATCATACTGAAGTTGCTAAATGCTATGAACAAGAGAAGATCAGGATAAGGAGGGTTTGGGTTTCTGGGGGGTGAGGGACAAGTTGCAGTATTACACAGAAAGATCAGGTGAAGCCTTACAGAGATGACAAAGAGAGTGGAATAATAGACATTGGGGACTCAGAAAGGTGAGGGGCTGAGAGGGGGGTGAGGGATGATAAGTTACTCAATGGGTACAATGGACATTTATTGTACACTCTTTAGGGGATGGCTACACAGAAAGCCCAGACTTCTCCACTAAGCAATATATCCATGAACTAACCTTCACTGTACCCCCTAAATCTATGCAAATTTAATAAAGATGAAATTGGAGCAAACACTTGAAGGGGTGAAGTAGTTGGCCAAGAGAGCATCAGAGAAGAGCATTCCAAGATGAGGGGACACCCCAGCACCCAGGAGCTTGGCTGGACTGCACAGGCTCAACTGGTGTCCAGTGGGAGAGAGGACAGAGAAGGTTGTAGAGGAAATGAGGGACTCTCTATAAACTTTGACTGCTATTCTGTGTAAAAAGAACCACCAAAGGATCTGGGCAGAAGAGTGACATGAACCGACATAAGTGATCAACACTGTAGCTGATGTGTTGGGAATAGACCGTGAGGAGCCAAATTAGAGGCAGGGAGAACTTTTTGGGGGCTCATGCTCATCAGGGAGAGACCTTGTTGGCTCAGACCATGGCTGGAGCAGGAGGTGGTGAGAGGTGGTTGGATTGTGGTTATCTTTTGAAGACAGCGCCAAGAAGAATGCAGGAAGTTGAAGAAAAGAGTCAAAGATGACTCCAAGAGTTTTAGCCTGATTAAGCTGAAAAATGTCATTCATTCAGCTGATACCTAAGGAAATGGCGGCTCTGAATCAGCCACAATGCTCTTTTCAAATAATGTGACAAATCACCTTCCAAAGATTCCTCTTCCAAAGGACTATCTGTTTGGGAGAGGACTATCTTCCTCTTCCAAAGAACTATCTAATCCAAAGAATTCACAGTGAACTATGAACAGTTAGATACCTCCAACAAAACACAGGTAATAAAGTTCTAGCCTGACTTTCTGTCTTCCCATGTTGATTACTTCATAAATGTTTTTTGAAGGTTATCATTTACATGGTTGACCATGAAATATTTTTGAATGAGCCAGATAGCAAGTTTGGTGCCACATTTCAAATTCAGTTTGTTTGGGTGGACAGCATCTTATTAAAATAACATTTTGTAGCTTATTCCCATGTGCATGTAGCTGTTGCTTCACATGCAAGCAGCTAACTACTGATGTATGTAGTTTTGTTACAGCTGGTGCTAAAAGAAGACATATTCAATGAATTATTTTTTAAGATTTGAATATTTTATAGTGCTGATTGGGCAGTAACTGTAGAAAAAGAAAAGAATATGAAAAGGCTGCTGTGTACTGTTATTAATCCTAGAGAGTGGCTCTTTAATATAGTCCAGATCACAAAATGTCCTCATGAGATAAGAATGTATAGCCAGAAGGGGCTCCATAAATCAGAGAGCTCAACTTCCAGCATTCAACTGATGAGGAAAACAAGGCACTAGATGTTAAGTAGCTAAGCCAAGAGTGCCCAGCTGGTTAAGAGATAGAGGTACCCAGACTCAAACCAGGGTGAATGAGCTCCTGGTTGGTCTGGGCTCCTCTTTCAGGACTCAACAGGATGCCTAGAAAGCATGAAGACCAGGATTCCTGGAGCAGTGAGACCCATCAGAAGAGCCCCTGTCAGTTTTGCATGGACTCTCCTCCTCTCAGCATCTGCCTCTTTTCCCACTTCAGGCCATTTCACCTCCAAGCACCTTACCCTTTGTGATACTGAGGTCTGCCATCAAGATTCTGTCACCCAGCCCAGCCTCCCCCATCAATGCTCAGACTTGGACCCTGGAAGGCTCTGCTTTCCCACCCTCCTCCTCGTTCACTGATGCCTCAATCAGCTTCAAGCGACGGGAAAATGGCAAAGGACCAGCCACTCATTTTAGGACTGCCGCTCCATACAGGATTTGGGATGCAACCTCCATACCTAGCAGATAATTGGGCTGCGGCCACCTACGGAGTCATTTCACCAGTGACAACTGCCCACTGTGTGACTACCAGTGATATGATTCATCTGGTTTTAAATCTTCTGCTGAGGTCTCCCGCCCCTTGCCAGATCACAGAAGTGGGTTCTTGGCAAGGACTCAGTTACAGCAGAGGAGCCAGTGCCCACAGCCCCAAGCGGCCCTGGTTCATGGGTCTTCTGCGGGGTTCCATGCTCTCCTGTGTCTCTTCTTCATGTTGTTACAATGTCACCAAAGAGTTTGTCCAAGGTAACCTTAAAGAAACTGTAATTTCTTGTCGTGAAAAGAGCACTGGGCAAGAAGTTAAGGGATCAGAGTTCTGGAGAGCAGGAATCATAAGCCTTGCCCTTGGACTTGCCTTACAGAGTTGCCGTGAGCAACGAACAGGTGATTAACATGAGGACGGGCTCTTTGCAGGTGATGGACAGGATTACAGCAAAGCTATGCTGCCTCTCACTTGAGGAGATAATTCCAGTGAGGGGCCAGAAGTTTTCATTTCTTTTCTCATTTATTCAACACTTAGTAAATAGTTTTCCGATGCTTATGGCAAGCAGAATTTCAATACGGCTCCCACGATTTCTGCCTGCTGGTGTGTGGCCCAGCACATATCTAGCCGCTCCTGTCAAGGGATTCTGTAGATGTAATTCAGGTCTCAGATCAGCTGCTGGGATCTTCCTCATGAGAGAGATTCACAGCGTGACAGACATTCAACATGAGGGAGACTTCTTGATTGCTTGTTTTAGAAATGGAGGGGGCTGTGTAGTAAGGAATGTGGGTGGCCTCTACAGGCTGAGGGTGGCCCACAGCGGACAACAAGAAAGGCAGTGGGAATGTCCGTCCTACAGCCTCAAAGAAATGAATTCTGACAACACCCTGAATAAGTGTGAAAACAGATTTTCCCCCAGTCTCCAGAGGAAAACCCAGTTGGCTAACACCTTAATGTCAGCCTCCTGAGACACTATGGAGAACCCAGTCACAGACTTCTAATCTACAGAGCTGTGAACAGATAAAGGGATTGTTTAAAGCTGCTGAGTGTGTGGAAGCGTGCTACAGAGCAATAGAAAACTAGCAAAATGCTTCTAAAGGCAAGAGCCATGATACCTAGAGTCTTGCATCTTCCTAGAGTTGTGAACACAGGGGCCTTGTAGGTTCTCAAATAATAATGAATCAGGCGAAGGCATTACATGGGTTTCCCAAAGCAGGTACAGGTTTAGGCTTCTCTGATTCCCTGTTATATCATCACACCTCTCTCAAGGCTTATAGAAGGTACTGGTGACAGGGCTTGATGTTTTCAAGCGTCTTTTTGGCTGTGCAGAATCCAATGGAGGCACTCAGGGGCGCTTTGGTCCCTGAACTTGAACTGCTTGTGAATTGCCCTGGTCAGCTGGCCATCAGTGCTAGAACATGAACTTGATTTCTAATCTAATGAGCTTCCTGCTTGTCTGCACTTTCTTCCTATTGACTTCTTAGTTCTATGAAGTTCAGCCATCAGGGGTGTAGGTTTATATGTCTGTGTTTGTTTTCTTTGAGCAAACATATTTTCTTTCTTTTCTCCTTAGGCTATTGGGTTATGTTTTTCCCCAGTCTACATAGTATCAGAAATTATAGTTAGGGCTATTATTATTCTGCTACTCTATTTTTATACAACTTTATAAGACTTTTTTTCTTCTTTTTTAATAAGTGCGGTTACATGAAAGCATCTGAGTAAACTTACTTTAATTTCCTCTCATCGTTACGGTCCTCTTGAACATTTTCTCTTGTTTCTTGCCATTCCTCACTTGCTGTGTTCACTTTATTGATTTATTAAAGTATTCCTTGAGTGTTTTTGAACTTGAAAGGAAAAAGGAACCAGTTAAAGAATGGGGGATCCACCTGGTTCCTCTGAAACTTGAAACAAGTGAGGACGGTGCATTTAGAAGTTTTCCAGTTTGTCATATTGAAATTGCCTGAGCGACACCAACACCACTTGCCCTCCTTTTCTGACAACATGAGCACCTACCTCTTTGTCAGGCATGCTGGCTAGGACATAAGATCCTCAGTTTCCCCACCTAAGAAAAGACGCAACAATTATGCCTGTCTCATAGTCGTATCAGTATTACACCTGTTTATTGTGATGGGGATCAGAAGATGCCACTCTAAACTATGCCACTTTGGCATAAAGATTATTTGGGGCTAAAGGCAGTTGAGAATCAGCAGGTGCAGGAAGAGTTCCTCAACCCACCATTAACAGCCTAAAGACAAGGCATACAGTTTTAGTTTCTCTTTGAGGAGGACCTCACCTCCTACACAAGGAGGGAAGAGTGACTCTTTTCATTGAAGAAAGGGAGTTGATGCCAACATGTGTTTGCACAAGCGACCTTACTAAAATAACCCTTATCTTCCCTGAGTCACTGGATTTCCTAGTCACTTCCCCACTATTTATCATACCTTGAGACCCAAACTCTTTTCCCTTTGTTGAACGGCTGTATAAGCCCCTGAGTCTGCTTCTTTGAGTTTCACTCTTTTTCTGGGAACTCTTGTGCATGTAAATATCAAGAAAAATTGTGTACCCTTCCCCCTGTTAATCTATCTTTTGTTAGTTTAATTCACAGGCTCTCAGTTACCAAACTTAAGAGAATAGAGGAAACGTTTTTTCTCCCTGATAATGGATTAAAAAAAAAAAATCTTAGCCCCATATCTGGCATATGACTGGATAAATGTTAGGTATTACATTATTACTTTTCCATCTCAATTCCTTCCAGTTTTTTCAGAAATGGACTACTCACCTGTCTTCTTCACTCAGCTTCATCTATCCTGCAAACCCTGCATTTCAAGGGGAAGCTTGGCCACCCCCAGTTCTGGAGGAACTGGTTTGTGCCTCTCTTGTCACTGATTGCATTTGCATAGCGCTTCACCTCAACACGGCTTAATCATATCTTTCTTACTGAACTACACATTTTTGAGGACAAGAAACCTGTCCAAAACATATATCTCCCCTTACATCTAACTCAGAAACTAACACGTAATAAGGAAACAAGTGGGGACTTCCTCTTTTACCTTCCTCTGTTCTAGTGTCTTACCTTCTTTTTGGAAATGTAACATATTCGTCATCTAAAATGAATTTCTGACTTGCCTTCTTCATCATTCACTTTTCAGAATTGAAATGGATACTTATTTTAGTTCCTGTTTTTTAGTGGAAAATTCCATTTTTGGTAAAAATCTTTTTCCTAATATTAAAGACCTTTCAGAATTTGAAAGCACACTTACCTATCAAATAGATACTTTTTTTCTTGCACATTATACACATCTCTCCTCCTTTTTTTGGCAGGTAGAGTCATCTGTTAGGGCATCTTCATCTCTGTTTTTTTCTTGGATTTTTCTAAATTATATATTTGTTCTATAATATCCAACCTAGTATTTGATAAAAATCAATCATATCGTATGCCTCTATTTTTTAAACATAGTTTAAAGTCTTGAATATTGAACAAGGTTTTTAATACTCTAAAGGGAAAATACAGTTTTCATGTTGGTACTTTTGTTTATTTCTTTTTTGGCTCTTAGGCAGAAATACGAGGTCGTGTACAAAGTAGAAATTCATACTTTGTCTGGTATAATCTACTTAAAATAAATCCCCCTTACTAAAGTTACCCAATACTTACTCTAAGAAAGAACAGAAAGACATAAGAAAAACATATCTTTTAATGATTAGGAAAACAGCAGATGAAATAATGATGCTCCAAAAATAACAGGTCTGAGTCCTTGAAACCTATAAATGTGACCTTACAATGTAAAAGCGACTTACAGATGTGATGAAGTTAATGATTTTGACATGAGGGATTTTCCTGGTGGGTATTAAATCCAAGCACAAGGGTCCTTATAAGAGAGAGACTAAGGGAGATCAGACACACGAAGAGACAGAGGCAGAGATTGGAGTGATGCAGCTACAAGCCAAGGACGCCAGAACCACAGAAGCTGGAAGAGGCAAGGAAGGGTTATCTCCTAGAGCCTTCAGAGAGAGTGCAGCCCTGCCCATACTTTGATTTTGGCCCAGTGAAACTGCTAAACTCCTGTCCTCATAACTGTCAGAAAATTAACTCTGTTGTTTTAAGCCACAATATTTGCAGAAAATGGTTCCAGGAGCCCCAGGAAACTAATATAATGTATAAACTTAAATATTTCCCTATGTGTGTTTATATATTAAATAAAAATGGCATTATACCATGCATATTATTTTTGTAACATGCTTTGAAATAACCTTAAATAACTTCCTGGTAGTATTTTAGTGGCTACTTGAAATTTGTTGTATGGATGTTACAATTTATTGAAACAATGTTCTTCAGTTGCAGATCCTAAGAGTTGCCAGTTCTTTGTCATTATAAGTTACAATTAACATTATACTTATATAATTGTTATTCAATAATAATCATTTTATAATTTATATTATATATCATGCATAATTTTATGATATATTATTTATATAATTGTATTAAAATAATATATTTCAATACAATCTCTATACACATCCATGAACTTTTTTAGGATAAAAATACTAAAAGTAGAATTTCTAGGTTAAAAATATGTATAGTTTAGAAAACTTTTAATATGCATCTGGTATGTCCAGGCATTGCCTTTATTCTAATATTTAAATTTCAAGAACTTAAGCCTCCCACCTGAATGACAGTTTTAAACTCCCACTCGGACCCCCAGAACACATACAGTATTTTCTGTGGTCCCCGTGTGTGCTGTCTTCCCTGTTCTTTTCTCTGTCTGGCTACCATGTGGCCGCAGGCATCCCCCTGACAACACTTGGAGAAACTCACTCAGCTTCCCTTGCAGGTACGCATTTTGAGTTGTCAGTGCTCATTTCTAGCCTACTGTTTCCAGAAGCTTCCAAAGTTTCCAACGCTCAGCATACCTGAGCCATGCTGGATTTTACACTGGAGCTCATTATGTAGGGGACAAATGGTCTCCTCCCCAGAGGCATTCTCTGTTTGGACACAGAGGTCACTCGTAGTTCTGCCAGTGCCCAGAGATTGTCCCTCAACAGCTATGTTGACAGCTGGTCATCTTCTCTCTAGTCCATGGGGCCAAGGTAAATGCAAACCAGCCCAGGCCTGTGAATGAGTGGAGCAGGCTGTGTGTGACCACAGGGAGGTGGCAGTGAGGTGGCACCGAGGCCAGCTGGAGAGGTCACCTGATTCTCTCCTCCATACCTGGTCTTGGTAACTTGTGAGAATAAGAGCCTGGCATGGCCAGACCTTCAGGGTTTGCAAAAGAGTGTACAATCAATTTCTCTAAGTAAAATATCTGTATTCTTAAGTGACTCTTAGGCAGAAATACTCACAAGGTCATGTACAAAGTAGAAAGCTGGAGAGGTCATCTGATTCTCTCCTCCATACCTGCTCTTGCTGACTTGTGAGAATGAGAAACTGGCATGGCCAGACCTTCAGGGTTTGCAAAAGGAGTGTAAAATCAATTTCTCTATGTAAAATATCCATATTCTTAAGTGAGGAAGCTTTCAATATGTCCTAATGCTACAGGGACAAACAAGGCATATTGGAAGCTGAATCCAGCCCAGGATCCGGGTAGAAGCTCTGCACCTGCTTCTCTAGGCTTCCCCTCTCCTCACTCCTAAGTCATCTCCCCTCAAACCTCTCTTTCAGTTCATTAGAACTAAGTCTCCAAATATCTCTACATTAGTGGGACCTTTTCTTTACCTTTGCATAATTCAAAATCTCGTCATGGTACTCTGAAGGGGTTTTTCCCCATCCTAATGCCCACAAGAGCATAAATCAAGAACTGTCTTCTTTAAACTCAATTTCAAGGCACCAATACTTGTTAAATACAGAAATGTTTGAAACTTTAAAAACACTGATATTTGTGGTGTTATTTTTTAAATTTCTACTTTCTCCTAAGATTCTGGACATGTCAGTACCAATTTTTAAATTTTTTTCTCATTTTAATGTATTTTATTTGATTTTTAATGTTAGATTCTGTGAGTGCTTGCTCAGGTTTGCTACATGAGTATACTGCATAATGCTGAAGTTTGGGTTTCTAATGATCCTATCACTCAGGTAGCAAACAGTGTCCAATAGTTAGTTTTCAACACTTCCCCCACCCTTCCGCCTACCTTTTGGAATCTCCAGTGTTTATTGTTCTCAATGTGCAGCTCCCACTTATGAGAACATGTGGTATTTAGTTGACATTTGGGTTCCTGTTTCTGTGTTGATTCACTTAGGATAATGGCTTCCTACCAAAAAGACACCTCCACTCATATGTTTATCACAATACTATTCACAATAGCACAGACATAAAATCAACACAGATGCTCATCAATGGCAGATTGGATAAAGAAATTGTTACATACACACACACACACACACATATCACATATATGTGTATATTCGTGATACCTATGTCTTTATATAATAATGATATATATGTCTATATAGATACACACACCACGGAATACTACGCAGCCATGAAAAAGAAAATGCCCTTTGTAGCAACATGGATGCAGCTGGAGACCATTGTTCTAAGCACCAGTTTTTAGGTAGAAGGCAAGCTCTGCAGTTCTGTGCTTCTCTTTCTTCTAAACTCTCTGTAGGGAGGAAGCTGATACTTCCCTATTAAGGACAATCAACTTTCCGCACCTCGCATTTCACAGTGTGTGCAGTGTAAAAAAGAGGGCTTCCTTTCAATTATTTCACCTGGATGCTTTATGGTAGGTGCTCAAGAGCCTACCATTCCACTTTCTCTGCCCGTTATTTCATCCATAGTGAATTAGCCTTGTACCTTGTGTGGCTTCACTAATTTTGAGCTTCAAGGAGGCAGGCTTGTAATGTAGGCTACTGAGGCCTCTTAGCTGCTGAAAGTGTGCACTTTCCTTATGTTGATATATGTTTTTTACCTTTTGCCTTAGGAAAGAACATTGAGATTCATTTAACTAATTTTTAAAACGCTTTTTGCTCCTTGGGGGGATAATTAATATAATAGAACATAAAGCTTCCAGAATGTGTTCCTTAGCTGATATTCTAAAGTAGTTAATGGTTGGAGCCCTTAAATTCCTGAATTGCTTAATCTGCATCATTGCCTGGGATGTTATCTCACCATGAGATAACATGAGTTATCTTGAGTGTTCTTTAAACACACTCAAGATGTTTAGAGGAAGCCTCTCCAAAGTATCAAAGAAATTTAGCTGTGTTCCAATTTAAATTATCTAGAAAGTTTAATTTAATGAGACATCCTTGATCTCTTCCCTCCTGTACTCTCTATGTCCAGTGGGTCTGCATGCTTTCAGGACTACCTTTTTGTTATCCTTTGACTATTTTCTCTACCTTTTGTTTTCATTGCTACTATCTTGGTCCCATCCTTGGCCAGTTGTCTCGGTCTTTACATCTACCTCTTACTCCCGGCAGATCTTTGTAGATTCCAATCCTGTCTCCTCATGGCCACATGTACCCATTCATGGCACCCTGATCCGCATCTTTCTCTGAATCCTCAAGGCTGTGAAAGAAGGGCCAATTCATGGCACAGTGCAGAGCAAGTCCTCTGGGACCTGGTTCTTGGCTCCAGGTTCAAGTCTCATCTCTTGCCTCTCCAGTATTTCAAGTCTCATCTCTCGCCTCTCCAGTATTTCTCTGACTCCAGAAAAATTAGAGATCCTCAAGGAAGTTAGAAGTAAGATCACTCTCTAAGAGCGAAGCTGTACATTGGAACATGAGGGATTGTGACAGAATCTTCAGAGTCACCCTTAGGAGATGGACTGGGTCATCAGAGAGTGAGCTTTGCTTGTAAGATAATTGAATGTCGCAACACGTGGAGTACAATGGTCAGTCAGAAGGGATTTGGTCAATCTTAATTTTAACCATAATGATAGAGGGTCCCAGAGGTAAACTGGGTTATATCCAGCAGATTTCCACACATTCTAGTTTTGCCATCAGTAAGTAATTTTTACTGTGATCACGAATCCATCAGGGCATCGTAGCCCAGAGACGTTAATGCTGAGGTTCATCTGCCAGTGCTCTCAACCAGGGCCATTCAGCTCCCCCTACGGGACACTGGAAAATACTTGGTGTTTTCATCTGTCACAATGACTGGGGGCCAAGCACCGATATTTTAGTGGCAGGGACAGGAGCGCTGTTGGCCCTGCAATGCACAGAATGGTGGCCACAGCATGAGGGACCACATCCGGCACCAACTGTGCTCCCACTGAGAACGTAGAGCCTTGGTTGTGATCTCAGCTTCCCACTGAGACTGTGGGTCTCTGTGACTGTGACCTGGGTCTGTCTCTAGAAGAGAGGTTAAAGCAGATGGGGTACTATGTAAACACAAACAGTAGCCACTGCAGCCATTTTCTCTCCCAGTAAACTCCATATAAAATTTATATTCCTAATCCCAGCACTTTGGGAGGCCGAGGTGGGTGTATCACGAAGTCAGGAGTTCAAGACCAGCGTGGCCAGGTTGGTGAAACCCCGTCTATACTAAAAATGCAAAAAAAAAAAAATTAGCCAGGCACGGTGGCGGGCCCCTGTAGTCCCAGCTACTCGGGAGGCTGAGGCAGGAGAATTGCTTGAAGCGGAGGCAGAGGTTGCAATGAGCCGAGACCGCGCCATTGCACCCCACCCTGGTGACAGAGCTAGACTCCATCTCAAAACAAAACAAAACAAAACAATAAAAACTTACATTCCTATCTGGCACTGGGTCACATCCCTCACTACTCCAAGAAATTAAATGACCCTTAACTATTATTCTTTCATTTCATGTTAAAGATTCAAACCAAGTGCATTAGATCCCTAGGGCTGCTGTATCAAAATGTTACAAAGTTGCTATCTTCAAACAACAGAGACTTACTCTGTCACAACTGTGAAGGCCAGAGATCTGAAATCAATGAGTCAGCAGGGTTGGCTCCTGAAGGCTCTGGGGAGAATCTGTTTCGTGCATCTCTCTGAGCTTCTGGTGTCTGCTGGCAATCCTTGGCATTGCATGGCATCGCTTGGCATTCATTGGCAATCCTTGACTTGATGCTGAATGACTCCATCTCTGCCTTTGTCTTCACATGGCTTTATCATTTGTGTCTCTGTGTCTCAAACCTCCCTCTCCTTTCTCTTCGAAGGATGCTTGTGATTAGGTTCAGAGCCCATCCTAATCCAGGATGATTTTATCCTGAGCTCCTTACCTTAATTACATCTTCAAAGACCTGATTTCCAAACAAGGTCACATTCACAGGCATCGGAGGTGAGGACATGTACACATCTTTTAGGGGAACACTCTTCAACCCACTGCACTGAGTGCTATGGTTCTATCTCCCAGAAGCTAAGGTAGCTTTCCCTTTCCTGGGTGACTTGGTTCTCTAAACTCATAATCCTCACCTGTAGAACATGAATCATTCATGATAGACACACTTTCCAAAAGTAAGCCTATGGAACAACTGGGCGGATGGAAAAAATGAGCCCCAATTAAGCTCCCTTTTGTGACAAACCTCTTAGAAAAGCATTAACTCTAATCTTCAGTGAAAAGCATTGTAAAATCAAGATTGGATGGGAAGATGGTGTTTGAAATGGCCTGGGTTCCCTCTAATGGAATAAAGAGAGGTAGAATTTACCGTGATTATGACATGCTTTTAGCTACACAAGGAGTCAGGGGTCAGGGAATTAAGTGAAACCAACAAAACCATAGTCAACTGTGGTTTCTGTTTTTTAGGAGAATTTGTGAATTATAGTGATCAATGGGAGATGGAAATGTTCTCTTTCCATTCACGATAGCTCCAGAGTTCGTGGCAACTAGCCTCTTCTTACCTTTCAGAAGAGCTTTTTTTTTTTCTTTTCCATCTGCATTTTCAGATTTTCTTCTCTTGTTGTTAGAGTTTTGAGAAAGAGTAAGAAATTATGCCCTTGGTTGGGGAGGAGGACAAGAACTCTCTGTGGTTAAACTAAGAAATTAGTACATAATTAATTTTATTATACAAATAAAAAATAATGTCCCCCAGATCTTCACATGGCTTCGTTCCCTGTCAGTCAGGGCCTGGCTCAAAGGTAATGTCTTCACAGAGTTCTTCTCTCTAC
This sequence comes from Homo sapiens, assembly GCF_000001405.40. Classification (NCBI taxonomy): domain Eukaryota; kingdom Metazoa; phylum Chordata; class Mammalia; order Primates; family Hominidae; genus Homo; species Homo sapiens. The sequence goes on along the minus strand of NC_000021.9, from coordinate 35,335,523 downwards.
TGGAAGCATCCTCTGTTCCCCTATCCATCTGGGCTCCCTCTCCTCCCCCAACACTGTCACTTTCTGCCCCTGCTTTCTTTTGCTTCGCGGCACTACTGATGTGTTATTAAAGACATATTTATCTGGCTGTGGTCTGTCTTATTTCTAGGCTACGAGCTCCAGGAGGGCAATCACTCTGATCGTCTTACATACTCAGGACCTAGAACGCTGCCTGACACACAAGGGGCCATCCATCAACATTTGCCGAATCCACATGTGAATTCGTTAGCTGTGCACTGTGTGCACTGGCTTATCTCCTCCTCAGAATAATACTGTGAGGCAGATGCTGGTGTGAGTCAAAATAATTTCCTGGTGAGAAGCAAAGCGGTACTGAAATTAGAGAGGGGCAGTGTCAGACACTTGTGAGAGCACAGGCCTTGGCCAGACCTCCTGGCTACCAGTGCCTGCTCTGCCACTTTCCACTGGGGTGCTGGACCTCTGTTTCTTTATCTATAAAATGGCGTGATAATGGTACTTGTCTTGCAGGGTTGCTGTTATAAGAATTAGATGACGTACTGCATTTACTAACAATAGGACCCAGCACACACTAAGTACTCAATCAATATTCTAGTATCATGCCCTGTAATGGATGAGGGAACTAGACACAGGGTTAGGTAACCTGAGCAAGGACATGTTGGAGGTCGAAGAGGAAAAACTGAAGCCAGATCTGACTCCTCTAGAGTTTAAGTCAAATCTTGGCCACAACATTAACTCACTTGATGAATTTTAGGGATACACTTGAATGAAATTAGGCTATCAAGGGAGTGCTGTGCCAATCCAAAGCGTGAAGCACCTAATACGACAAAGGGCACTGCTCCCAGTTGGGTCACCAGAGCATGTTGGTCATTTTGGGGAAATAACACTGGCTAGTGTGGGAACACACTTCATGGCTACGCAAAACAGTCTAATGAATTTCATGTTGACTTCCTGGAAATGGTGAATACAACAGGAGCAGGCCAGCCTATGCCAATTTGCCAATAAGCAAGGTTCATCAGACCCACTGCAAAAGATGAGTTTAATTCAAGCTGTGGTATTGTATGACAAAAAGCAGAAGCCAACCAGCACGGCCAGCCCTTCTCAACTGCATCTGCGGCAGCCCAGATCCCGACCTCGCCTTAACCACATGCATGTGTATCTGCTGAGATCTTCTGATGTGACTTCCTGATTGTTTGTTTCTTAGTCCATGGATCAGCTGAGTCCATAGATAATCCAACATCCAGACACATTGTTCTGTCTCTTCAGCTTCATCTTACCTTCCTACCTATGCTTCATTTCACCATTATTATCATGTGTATTACTGGAGCACGAAGCAGCTGCACAATTTTAGGACATTCTTAGGCATATGTTGGGAAAAAGGGAATGATATTTTAATTTTTTCCCATGAACCACGTGCAACGCAATTGTGATTCAAAACCAAGAGCTCTGCTATGCTATGCTTCATTCATTAGGTATCTTGGTCATCAAGGCTTAAGGACATCTGAAATACTGCCAACCGGGTCTTGAAATTCAAGCCAAAATGCTGGATCTGTTGACCTTCCTTTCTTATGTGTGGCTTTTAGAAAGAAAACTTATTGAAGATAATTGACCAGCTGCTTAACTATAATAGGAAGAGATAAAATTAATTTGCTTACATATTTATTTATTTAGCTAATCACTGACAGTTCTGAAACTACCAAACTGAAAAGTAAACAACTTTCTTCTCATTGGCAACATGATTAAAGAACTGCTCTAATACAGCCAATGTAATTATAATAATTGGAATGTGTCAGTTTCTCATGTTGGTTTTCTGATATTCTGCAGCAACATTAATGAATTTCCAAGATGATTTATTCTTATTTCATTTCTCTCTGCCTTTAGTGTCTCCAGAGAAAATTCACATAGTTTTCTTATGAAAATTTTTCACTATGAAAAGAATTACCCATTTCTTTCCACTCTGGTTATTGGGCATTAACACTGTGCTCTAAAATACAGTAAAATTCCATATTAATGAAACATTAATTTACACTCTCCCCTAACTTACACCTCTTTTCTGCATACATTGCCTGTCCTATGTCATGAATACATTAAATTATTAACTTACATTGTACTTAAAATTTGTTTTTTTAATCCAGCAAATTATCTACTATGAAGACTTCATTTTTGTACTGTGCCTTAGAGAATATAGCAGGTGAAAGTTTTTATGAAAACTCGTAGCAATCATTTCAGTACATCCTTGAAAGATATAAGCCTCATCTCACAAGCCCGTGGTCAGGGTTTCCTCTACCAAGTGCTAAATGCTTCACATCTTTAGGGAGACCTCCTATGCAGTTACCCAAACCAATGGTGAATGCTGAGCTGGGAGAACCTCTGTTAGAAAGCCCTTTGTTTGCCAGGAGTGAGGGAAGTCCGTATTGACTACTTTATTCTGCTCTTCTGACGCATTTTGTTATTGTTGATGGCAGAGCAGAGGAAACTGCCATTTATCAATTTCCTCCAATCTCCTCTTTCCCAGGATCTGTAGCATGTCCTGGGCATGATCTATAGCATGTTTGGTCAAGGGGATTTGTTGACTCCGGTAAGTATTTTGTGGCCTAGATTTTGGTGTGTTAGAAAGAAAGTGTCCATGCTCAAGTATATGAAAAGTAAAAGGAGACTCAATTTTGAAAGGAATTAAGAGAAGACAAGGCTAAAAGCAATAGCTCCACACACACAGGGTAAAATAAAAGGTTATGCTACATCCACATTATGTCAGAATTTCAAAATAATTTCTCAGGTTATTTACTGAGAAGCAGCTCTCTCTAAATCATATAGAATTGCTGTGATAGAGACTAAGATACCTCTCATCCAAGAGATGTTTGTCTTTCAATAGTTGAGTCTGAGTGAATCTCTAATTCAATGCTTCTCAACCTTCGTACTACTGACACTTGGGGCTGGGTAATTCTTTGTTAATGGGAGACTGTCCTGTGCCTTATAGGATGTTTAGCAGCTTCTCTGATCTCTTCCCACTAGAAGCCAACAGCACTCCCTCTCCCCCATTTGTGACAACAGAAATGTCTCTGGACAATGCCAAACATCCCCTGGCGGGCAAAATCACCCTCTCCCTCTTGAGAACCATTGCTCTCGTGCAAGGATAGCAAGGATGTTTCAACTTGCTTATTGACAGGCCATGGATATCTGGAGGACTGAGTGGAGGAGGATTCTGAAGGCTCATCTGGAAAGAGTGTCTTGGCCAATAAACAAGGTCTTCCATGGGCTTGGGAGTGGGTAGAAGTGCTGTATTAGTCAGAGTTCTGCAGAGATATAGAACCAACAGGATGTGCATATGTAGAGAGAGGACAAAAGAGAGATTAATTTGAAGGAATTGGTCCATGGGACAGTAGAGGCTAGCAAGTGCAAAATCTGCAGGATAGGGTGGTAGGCAGGAAACCCAAGAAGGATTGCAGTTTAAATCCAAAGGCAATATGCTGGCAGAATTCCTTCTTGCTTGGGTGAGGTCAGTCTTTTTTCTATTAAGAACTTCAAGTGACTGGATAAGGCCCACCCCCATTATGGAGGAAAATCTGCCTTACTCAAAGTCTGCCTGTTTAAATGTTAATCTCATCGAAAAAAATCTTCACAGAAACATCTAGAATAACGTTTGACCAAATATCTGGGCACCATACCCTAGCCAAGTTGACACATAAAATTAACCATCACAGATGCCGACATCCTCTCTTGTAAAAGCACTTTAGACGGGGCCTTTCATAGTATCATAGATCGCCTGCATATGTGGCCAGCTGCAGGTGTATCCATTGGGTGGATCCTGGAGGAGAGGTATTCACCTGCACATTTCAGGAACAGTGTGCTGTCTCCACTGCTCTAGTCCAAATGACATGTCTGACTCGGCAAAGAAAATAAGTCAGAATAGGGCAATAAAATCTAAGACACAAAGGAGAAGAGGAGTAGTACCAGTCAGAAAGATGGAGGTAAATTTACCCCAGATGGGGAGGGAATGGATTTTAAAATGGAAAAAAAAAACAATACATGCTACAACAGATGAATCTCACTAGCATAAGCGTGAGGGACAGAAGTCAGACACAAAAGCTGTACATTAGAAGATTCCATTTCTATCAAAAGAAAAACAGGAAAAGCGATCTATGGTGTTATGGCTGCCCCAGTGGGCTTTTGTGGGTGCTGCTCATGTTGTTTTCTTGAGCTGTGTGCTTTATCTGCATGTATATCATACATGAACAAAAATGTAAAATGAAAAGGCAAAAGTAGCAAGGAAATGAGAATGGGAGTGGGAGGGAAGGAAAGAGAGAGGCAGAGGAAATGGTGAGACTGTTAAATCACAGGACAGTCATACTCTTGCAGAAATACTGCTACTGTTAAGTTATAGGCCAGTCTTGCTCTTGCTTTTATCTACAATACAATATTTTCATAGTAATTATGAAAACATTACTGAATTATTATTTCTTATTAAGGAAATGAGAAGACCCTTGAAAAGAGCAACAATAACCATTTTTGATGACTGATGAGGTAACAGGACCTCAGGACCTCAGGAGGGCCTAAACTACCAAAGCTCTGGCTTTTAAAGCCATCAGCAAACCCAAACCTTCCTGTGACAGGTGCATAAATTCCTTAAAATTCCAGAAAAACTCAGCTAAGCTGGATAGATTTCTTTTTAAGTGGAAAAATAGAGTGTTTCAACATGAGCAGAGTACTATGCTAGCAAGAGTAAAAAATGTGGGCTGAAGGTGGCTGTGATCTTCAGCAAGACTCAGTAGTGAGAGACTCGGTTTCCACCTGGGGTTGAGTGGTGACTTCAAAGGTCTTTACCGCTCATTGTATTCTATAATTTCTATATCTCACCATAATGTATGAAATATCCACACAAATCATTGCCATAATACAGGTTTATAACTTAGTACATTTCTTCCATTCTTAGCTTCCCTTTTAACAAGGGAAACAGAGACCTCAATGCTCATAAGCAAATCACTGTTTTGCTTGGTCTCAAGTCAGATGGGAGGCCTCCAAGGAAAACTCCCTTTTAGCCTTTTCCAATTAGAAAGTGCTGCACACTGCACTAAGAAACCATGTTCTTTCCCACTTTCCATTTACTTTTATTGCCATTATTTATCTGAGAGGATCATATTTCAAGAAAAACTTTTTCTCTAACCAGAAGGGAAAAAATACATTTCTTCTTTAAAATTAAAAAAAAAAAAGAAAATCCAGAAAATTCAGATTCAATAGATGTCTATCATTTTTTAAGAAGTTTTGAATAAATAGATATTAGGAAGAGTGGTAGCTTATAAAAGCAGCTTGCTGGATAAAGGCCTATTTGGAAAGGCTTTTAAAAAGTGCATTATTTACCCACTGGAGCTGTCAGGTTACCGTGTTTACTCAAGGGAAGGCAGATTTTCTTTTTTTTTAAATCTGGCCTAAGCTTTTCTTAAAACAGGCTATTGACCGGAATCAACGCAGAGAATAACCTAAAAAGACATAGGACAGCCTGGCCTTGCTGGTTCCTAAATAAATTGTCAGCCCAAGGTCATGCCTTCCATTGGTAGCTATTTTTGAGTGGCGTATATCAAATGTGAACATTTGGAGGGCCAAAGTATAGCTACAAAAACATCTCTGGGATGAGAAATCACTCCAAGAAGCCCCCGAATTCATCTGGCATCCCCCAAGTAAGCACTTAAAGAAACAGAAACACATTTTGAATGACCAGTGGCACAGACTTTGATTATCAAAACATTTGCCATTGCAATTCCATTTATGTAACTGATTGTTTATATAATTTAAGCACAATTTGATATGAAATACGATCAATCTGCACTCTTCTCTTTTCCTTCTTAATTACAGACCATTGCTGTGGTCTATGACTTGCTCTTCTGCGAGAACGGTCCAGAAAATATTCTGGAGGGCTTATATGCAACTTAGAACCTTGTTTTCTCAGTGGATGCACTAGCTAGAGTAAACCTGGGCATGCTGTTATAAATAAACACATCCACCATCTCAGTGGCTTGATACCACAAAGGTTTATTTCTCACTCAGGCTGAGTCTGTTACAGCTTTAAGAAACTCCTCGAGGCAACTTTCTTCTGAGTTACAACCTAGTAATACAGGTTGCTTCGATCTTGGGGCTTGGCCATGTCAACACAAGACCTTTTCTATAACTGCTGCAGCAAGGGATTGGAAGGACTAGCCGCATGGCTCCAACCCATTGGAAATGGCAAGAAGATGGAATTCACCACGTGTCTGGGAGGGCAAGAGAGCCCTTGGAAGTTTAACTACAGTGAGAAAAAGGAAGTAATCTAAGTATTCTCCTTCTAGGAGTGCAGACTGCTGGGCTTAAGGGCTCATTGTGGGCTGATTGGTGGAAACTTCCATCTGATGGCTTGGTTTCCTTGAGTATTGCCAGCTTTACCTTGAGTGCCCCATCCACCACTGTATTCCCAGCTCCTGGCACAGTGCCCAGCACATAGCCAGCGCTCAGTACATATTAGTTGAATGAAGGAGGGGATGAGTGGATGGATCTCAGTGCAAGGAGGTCAGGGGCAACTTAATAGGCCTGGGAGGTTTGGTGAAAGCAGGAGGAGAGGCAGATCATAGGAATGACCACACTTGTTGAGGACGTGGACTCAGCCTGTTGCCTTAGGGAAGAGGGTAAAATAAGGAAGGAGGGATGACTTCCACAAGCTCCTGAGATCCTCACAAACTGGAGCTCAGAGAGATGGGAGAGGAGGGAGAGGATAGAGGGGACACCACAGGCTCTGAGAACAGAGGAGATCTAGTTGAAATTAGATTATGGGTCTTTGTGCTGAGGAAGCTCAGAACTTCAGCAAACTGTGACTGGCTTCAAACTAGGGTCCTTGATACCCCTCAACCCCCAACTCCCACAGAACATAGAACAGGAATTTGAATCTGGCTTTACATTACCCAGGGATGTGTCTCCTCAGAAGAAGAAAAGATACTCATGTAAATCAGCTTTAACTCCAGCGCTAAATCTACCATAAAAATTTTAGGAAGGTGTTTGTGAAACTTACGAGACACAGCATTCTACTGTGGTTGTCCCCAAAATGAGAGTAGGAGTCATTCCCTGCTGGGATGCAGAATCATCCCATGCTTTTTGATTTATTGAGATAGAATTCACATTCCATAAATTTATCCTTATATAATCCAGTGTTTTTTGGTATATTTTCAAAGTTGTTCAATGACCACAATTATTTAATTCCAGAATATTTTTGTCACCTTTGAAACAGACCCCATACTATGAGCGGTCATTCCCATCCCTGCCTTGCACCTGATAAGCATTGATCTACTTCCTTTTTCTATAGGTTGGCCTATTCTAGACATTTCACATGCACAGAATTATATAATATGCAAATCCTTTGTTTCTGATTTCTTTCATCGAGCATCACATTTTCCAGATTTATCCATGTTGTAGCATAAAATAGTCCTACTTTCCTTTATTGCTAAATACTATTCCACTGCATTGATAGACTGCATTTGTGTATTCATTAATCAATTAGACTGCATTTGTGTATTCATTAATCAATTGATAAACATTTGAGGGTCAGATGCTTTTTTTCAGGTGTATTCCATTAGGTTCTGATCTGCCAGCTCCATTTCAGTATGTCTTGAGGGAGGCCCTCTCTGTTGGACCAGGGGCTGCAGGACATCCTAGGGTGTATCAGTATGGTGGTCTGGTTTCTAATCCTGCTTTCTCCAGGATCAAAATATCTTGACTGGCCATGAGAATGGTTACTGTGATTTCCAGGCCCTGGAAGTCCCACCTGCACACAAGTATTTTTCTCACTGCCTTGGCAAGGTGAAACTTACATTCTTGACTGTAATTTCCCCCCAGAAAAGGCTCTGATAAAAAAGAGTAATGCCTGGGATATGTATGGGTTTATAGAAAGCCTCCCCAAAAGCACATGTTACCACCTGCCCTGTGATTGTGTTCTGGAGTGAGTGCATGGTCTCTTCCCAGCACAGATCACAGTCAAGTTGATTACCAGATGTAAAGGTTTACCCGGTCTAGCCAAGGTAAGATAAACCAGAAGGCTGACCTTGGGGAGGTCATGGCACTTGGAGGCAGAGACTTGGCCTCAGGGCACTGAAATGGGCACCAGGAGGTTTAACATGGAGGAGGGCAGCCAGGTCAGCCCAGACCTGATGGGTGTGTAGAGCAAGAAACTACAATGTCAAATTCTCAGCTACAGCTTCATGATTTGCTTTTGTGATTTGCATACAGTGTCTACATGCATGCAAGAGCATACCTAGGATTGAACATGGACAGTAAAGTGTATTGTGCTCATTCTCAATTTATTATAATGAGAGAAAAAAGGCATCCAGATTGTAAAGGGATTTTCTCCTGTTCTCTTGACCTGAGATAAAAACCAAGTTCCCCAGGCTTCAATACAATGATGCCAGCTGCCTACACTCCTTGTATTGTTAAAGTTCTCCTATGAGGAAACTCCCCTAGGCCACTAAGTGATGGAGAAAGTGCAAGCATCTCTGTTTAGGGCTGTGACTGTGCTTCTTGGCAGGCCAGCCTAGACTTAGAATCGTAGCCCAGTGGAAGGGCAACAGGTAAGATAACAATTGCACAGTTCACATTGGGATGTGGAAATCATACGTGCTCAGCCAATCCTGCACTTTCACCCCAGCCACTCTTTTATGGGATCTTGGATGCTCAGGGCTGTTTGTGTAATTGCTTCTTGTAAATGAGCTCCTACTCCATAACACTTTACAGTAAACCACTCTCCTTTGCCATCTGGTATCCAGTTGTTTTAACTGGGTTTCCAGTATTTGCATCAGTCATTTACAAGAACCTTTTTAACCTTTACAAAATAAAATAATTGAAATCTATCCTTTCAACTTCACATTTGTTTCAGAAAGGCTTTGAAATCAAGGCACAGAGGGGATGAAAGACAGGAGGATGTGAAAAGAAAAGGGCTTGGCTTTTCTCCCTCTGAGATGATCAGAAAGGGTGCCTTGGAGGTGCAGAGTCCTGCGCTGGAGAGGGTTATTGCCTCCATTATGGGCTCGTCTCTGTGGAAAATCTCTCCCCTGCCATGGTGAGTGGAGAGGCAGAAGAGCTGGGGAAAGACGTGCTCTTCCTTGACCCTGGGTCCTGGGTCTGCAAATCTTCTCTGTGTATAAACTGCATCCCTCCACACCTGCCCCACACTGCCCATGATTCTTCATTTCTCACTTTGTTTCTTTCTCTTGCTTAAACCATGAGTTCCTGCCTTGCTCAGATGGAGAGGAAAGGAAGAGAAATCCACACGTGTGTATGGTGCTGATTCTTTTCAGCCATGAAGAGGACTGGGACCTCTTACCAGATAAAGTGGGTGGATTTTATCTGCATCCTCCAAGCAGCACAGAAGTGAAAATATCTCAGTTGCAGATAACGGCATAGTTCAAAAGAATTTGACATTTTGACTATCTGGCCACTTTGTGTCTTTCTCTCTCCAGTTCTAATCACTTTAAATGACATGGAGGCTTCTAGAAGCCCAAGTAAAGGGGAGCTTTAATTTAAGAAATCCTCTCCATGGCTTCCCTTGCTCCTGTCTCTGTATGCAGGTTTCCCATCCTCCACTCTTTTCACCTTGAGTGGTTCTCTCTCCCATTCATCCCTTACCCACTCCCTTTTTCTGAGCAAAACTTGGGAGCTCCATCAGCCCCCTCCCCACACGTCATGATGAAGGTCTAGTTGCTGGCTCAGCAGATGAAGTGTCCCACCTCCTTAGAAGGCTGGGGTAGGGGTAGTGATACAGATACACAGAACTGAATACTCTTCAACCTAGTGGAAGAGAACAGGACCAAGACAAAGATCTGGTTGTTGCGAGGGGTCTGTGGTCTAGCGGGTTGCTGCCAGAACTCTACCTGGGGCGTGTATGGTCACGTTCACATCATACTATATTTGAGACTTTAGTTCAGAGCTGCCCCTATAACTTTCTCAGTGCTGATGGGCCACTTATTAACCCTGTTCCGTTAGGTGAGAGGTGAGGATACGCTTCCTCAAAAACCTTGGTTTTCAATTTGTTTCCTCATCTCTTGCTTTTCAGTGTCTTTCTTTGTCATATACATATTCCTGGCTTTTTAAAGCCACACAAGAAAATATATCTTTATGCCCAAAGAGAAACTTTGGGTGGGAACTGTTGATGGGTTTGAGTAAGAGTTTGTGTTGTTGTGTTGCTGTTGATTTCTGTTACCGTAACTAAACAATGCTTCACTCACGGTATTTCCTAGTGGTATTTTCTAAACCAAGAAGGTAGAGACTGGTTCTTAAGTTTGAAACCATGGGTTTCGTGGGTGGGACCCTGCTGAGGGTTAACTAAATATTGTATTCTAAAGAAAACACAGGGTTCATGTAGAAAGAGGATTCTATCACTGAAGCAAACACAGAGAAGAGCCACCCAGGAGGACTGGGTCCCCTCAGAGACTGCGGTTTAAGCCAATAGTCTCTGGCAAATGCATTCCTAAGTAATGAGTTTCATCCACATTAGTGCCCAGAACATTCAGAATATTCTGTGAGGCAGGCAAGGCAGTTCTGGAGAAAAGTTGCATAGCTTTCATCCGCTCACCAAAGGGGCCTGTAAGGACGACTGTGGCACGAAAGAGTTTCATTAGTTCTCAGTTTGAGTCACATAATCATAAAGTGGCATCAGGGAAAATTAGGATTAGTAGCCCTGATGGCAAAGGCTGATCTAGAAAAACTGTGTTTACGGAAGAGTTGTGGGATTCGACAGCATATTCATCTGGCACTTTCACAGGGTGCCGTATCTTTATTCAGTCAAGCACCTACTGTGTTATAGCCGTGCACTTATTTGAGGAAACAGCTTTCTGTGCACATGCTTGGCAGTTCGCCTGCTGAGGCACCTTCCTGCTGTAGGCTGGGTGTGACTCCCCTTTAAGGAGGGAATAGATCCGAAATGAATCGGAGCCTGTGCTGAAGCCGATGTCCAGTGTAAGCAGAGCAGGCCTGGATTTTTACCGCTTGGTGTTCCAAGGCTACATTTTGCTGAGAAATATTAAGTGTAACCAAATATTACAGGGAACACACTGTTCCTGCTATATTTCCAGGGCATCTGATCAATGGGAAAAATGAGAAGTAGAAATAAACAGAAGGGACAGGGAACTGAGCAGGCAATTGGGCTCAAAGGCAAACCGAGTAAAACAGAGGAAATGATTTTCAAAGTAAATACAGATAACTGGGGAAAGAAAGATGAATACTAAGCAGAGAAGAAATGTCTGACTGTCTTACTCCAGCCTGGGTTGGGCCAGGGAGCATGGTGGGGCCGTGCTGAGAATTTTCATCTGGGGCCTGGTCTCTCAGTAAGTCCAGCTGTCAGAGGCAATGCCAGGAACAGGCGAGATGAAACACAGTCACGGCAAGGGGTGCAACCTCCAAGAGAAAACCCAGTGCAGCGGGAGCTAAGAGGCTGCTGCCAGCAGCCCAGGCAGCCACGTGGGCCTGCAGGACTTTATTTGAAGAAAACACGGGGTTCATGGAGGACGTGGATCTTGTCATTGAAGTAAACTCGAAGAAGATCCACCCAAGAGGATCGAGTCCCCCTGGGAACTTTGCAGTTTCAGCCAATAGTTTCTGCCACGGGAGTTTTGTGCACGTTAGCTCCTGGAACACTTAGAATAGTCAGTGATGTGGGGTGCATGTGTGGGTCTTAAGCCTCCTCCATAAAGCAGATGTTCTCAGCCTCAGTGCTGTTGATACTGGGGTCAGATCATTCTTTGTGGTGGGGGCCCTGTTGCTATCCATTGCACAATGTTGAGCAGCATCCTTGGCTTCTGCCCACTGGTTGTATAGCGCTCCCCCACCCCACCTCCACTATATCCATCCAAAATGTATCCTGATATTGCCAAATGTGCCCCGGGGCGGGGGGCAGGGTACAATCACTCCCTGTTGGGAAACACGGCTATAGATGAAGAAACTAAAACCGAGAAAGTGTCCGTGGCACAAGTAACTGATGCAAAGCCACACCTGGAACCCACTAACTACAGAACTTTGAAGGCACCTTGGCCTTTTTCTGTAACTGCATTCTCAGCTGAAGAGGAATAGCTATGTAGAGTTCAGTTTTTGTAGTCAGATTCCTGGGTTCAAAGCTGGGCTCCACACTTAACTTGCTATCTGTGTGAACCTGGCTGTTACTCCATTTCTTTGTGTCTCAGTGTCTTCATCTGTAAAACAGCTTCGATGCTAACAGTATCCACCTTACAGGGTATGAGGTGAGTCAAACAAGGTAGGCCAAGCAAAGAGTGTGGTGCCAAGCCTTCTTGCTATGTGGGAAGTTCTTGATAATGGCTTGGGCCCGTCTTGACTGCATACTATGTTCTCTAATGAACACTTTTTAGTTTCCTTTGCTGATGTGGTTCCCTTTATCTGCAATACCCTTCCACCAACTTCTTTATATGGCCAACTTTTTCCTGCCCAGCAAGAAGCTGTTTAAATGTCATCTCTACAAAGGCTAAGGGCTCCTATGCTCTGTCCCCTTAGCAGCCCCCAAAGCACTGTATGCATTCAAATGTCTGTGTTTATGTCTCTCTTCCCAGCTAGACCTACTATGAGCAAGTAGGCCAAGGACCCTATGTAATAAACTACAATTCTCCTGTGACGCTCAGTGAATGGATAGGATCTTGACAGGTAGAAATGCGAACGGAGGGTAGCCTGCTGGGTTGAGAGAGTCTTAAGAGGTGAATGGTGGAGACACCAGAGAGCAAAAGAGATGCTCGGAAAATTCCGAGAGCTCGGCGTAAGGCATGAGTATCAGTGGGTCTCCTAGAGAGATCTCGCTCAGGTCACTTACCAGCCATATACCTTTGATGGGGGTAGGGTGTTTGGAGTGGGATGGGTTGGGGAGTGGCTTGATCAGAACTGTCATAGAGAGATTAGACTGGCAATACTTTGCAGTATACACTGGACTAGACAAAGTCTGGGGCAGGGAAAGATTAGTTAAGCAACTGCAGGAGAGAGTTCATGGAAGCAGAACTATAAACACAACTGTAAAACGCCTTTGAGTTAATCAAATTGTGACTATCAGAAGAATGGTGGCAAATGATCCATCGTTGATTGATTGGGAGAGATGAAAGAGAGGAAGAGCTCTCAAAAGTGGTCTGAGTGTTTTGGGGTATAAGAAGTTTGTGTTGCTGTTGAGGATCATTGCATGAGAGAGTGGAGATATCAAGGAACGTTCTTGAGTCTTCTCTGGATATTTTTGAAAATAGAGATGACCCTCCCCAGTCAGAGGTTACAAGTGACCCGGCTGAAGGTAGGAGTGGGGCATGTAGGGCTGGGGGTGGAAAGGGTGGCAGAGATGGACAAATGTACTTGTGCCTTTATCCTGGCAGTAGGAGTCATTTCTCACATTTTGAACTAGAAATCCCAAATAATGTCTCAGACCAGTTAGGTTTTATTTTCAAGGAGACATTTTGAACTTAAGGAGAGATGTTTGAGGACTTCTTGGAGAAACCAGACTCAATTGCAGAACAAAGAGACCCAGCACCTTGAATCATTTCAGGAGGAAGAGGCTATAAATACCTGTTTACGTAGATCCCTGCAGTCCTGAAACTTACACATATCCCAGATGTGAGACCATGTCTCGGTCGCCTTCTGACCTTAGGTATAAAGAAAGTATAGCTCAGGCTTTAATTCTGCCTCTCTTAAGTCACAGCCACATTTTCATCTTTGAGTCTCATAAACATTTGTCAGATTAAGGAATAAATTCAAATTCTCCTTACCTGGTCTGGTTTCAGAAGCCTGGGTCTGAGGCTGGGATCAGAGGCTGCTCTGGGTGGCATGCTGCAGCTCAAAACCAACAGAGAGGCCTCACTCCAGAGACGGCCTCTGGCATCTTCATAGGTTCAGGGAAACTGGTAAGTAGCTAAGGAAAGAAAACAAAGGAGATCTGAACTCTGAAGTCAATGCTTACCGTCTTCCCCTCTTCAAGTGTGGCTGAGGTCTGGCCGGGCAGGAGCCTGGTGCAATCTCTGTGGAGTCCTGCAGGAGTGAGTAAATGAGCCGCTGGCCTGGTGCTAAGCCCTTTGCCCTCACCTGGGCTTTCAGAAATGGAGCTGATGTCCTGAATTATTGATGCCTGCTTAAGTAAACAGTTGCAGAAAATAGGAGGAACCCCCTCCCCTCCCCTCACCACGAGGAAAAAAAGAGGAGGAAGGAAGCACTTATTTCAGGGATGGTAGCAAACGTAGAATACTCATGGAAGACCTGGGCCAAACATGTACTGCACATGGAGCCTCGTTTACAGCTTCCTGCCTAGAGATCCTCTCATTTTTGCTCCTGAAATTAAGACTATAAGTAATGAACTGGAAGATATCACAAATTAGATACTCTAAGCTAATGCCAAAAAACACATAGTACTGATATTTACAAATAACATGCATGGAAACTCTTTACAAAAGAAAACAAAGAAGAAAAAGGGAAAAGAGCAACTCACGCTGTCTTCTGGCCTGATCGGATGAGGGAAGGAGGGTGGCCCCTTGCCAGGAACCCTGAAAAACGGCTCCAGGGCAAGGAAAAAGATGAATGAAAGCAGTAGACAGAAAACAATGACTCTCCGTGGTGGCAGGTGATGGGTAAGACAGAAACAATTGATCAGGTTTATCTTTGCATTTTTACCTACTTGCTGCACACTTTTAACGCATAAATTTGGGAAGACTGTGCAGTAAAATGGTAGTGCTACCTTCTCCATGGTGGTGAGACCTGCCTCTCAGAGGACTCCGTAATTCCGGGGTGAGCTACCACTATGCGGTTTATTGCCTTCCAAGTGGGCCCAGCAGAAGGCTCAATGCTCATATTATGATTTATCCATTCAACCAACATGTCTGGAGAGCCTACTGTGCACCAGGCACATGCCGTGTTGCACGAACTGAGATGAATAAATCGTGTTTAAGGAGTTCACAGTCTGGTCATAAGAGCAATTGAGAATATACGGCTGTTGGCTTAAGTACCTCCATTTACTTTGAGTAAGGAGAGTTAATTGAACACTCTTTGCACTTCCCCACAGCTCTTACCAAGTCTTTGGAGGTTTCAGACCATTGCTGCTGCCAAGTGCAGCCCACCAGGGACAGATCCTATGTTTAAAAGAATAGTTTTGTATTTCCTCCATAGAGTTGGTTAGCAAATGATATTCAAAGAGGTGGGGTTATGCAAATAAAAATGAGATGTTAAATGAAGAGAACGATACACACCAGCAAGCACAGAGACAGTCCTTTGTTCCTTCAACAAATAGTTTTGAGTACTCATATGTAAGATAGTGGACTAGGTGCTAACCCTGAAAGAGGGTACAAGAAGATGTTTATGAGGCCCAAGTCATCTAGTGGTTCTCCATGCAATACAGAAGACCAAGTTCAATCAGATTTCAGGCAGTGTGCTAAATGCTGCATATGCAGATGGCATGTAGAGTCAGTGCTGTAAGGTTTCCAAGCCTAGGCAAATTATATCCGGCCACAACAATCAGGGAAGACTTTGCCAAGGGGGACGATAACTTCTGAGAGCACTGAAGGGTAAGGTGGAATTTTGAAAGTGAAAATGAGAGGGAAGAGCATCCCAAGCCGAGGCAGGAGAAGTGGGGAGGGACGTGGGAAGCCGAACAGGAAGGACAGCAGGAATAGCCTTGGAGACACTAATTCCAATTTCACTGACACATAGTGGGGCGTGGCCACATCTCCATGCCGACAGCTCTCAGCCTGCTCCAAGCTGGCATCACCATCATCTCTTCGCTGGGCGCTGCCCAAGGTTGCTTGCGGAACTCCCTGCTTCTGCTTTTGCTACCTGTTCCCCATCCCAATGCAGTCTCCGTGGAGTGGCCAGAGTGGTCTTATTTAAACATACATCAGATCATGTCATGCACCCCTAAGCAAGAGGCCCCCATATTGCTTCAAATCCCAACTCACCTCTCTCTCCCACCTGCTGATTCTGCTCCAGCCTTAGTGGTATTCTTTCTGCTATTCACACCGATCAAGCTCAGTCTCACATTAAAGGTTTCAGACCCAATTTGCCAACAATGCCCTTCCCCGATCCTTTGAATACCTGGCTCCTTCTCAGTGATTCATCCACCGACTATTGACTGAGTGCTTTTAGGTACCACCCACTGTGGCAGACTGGGAAGAGGGATTCAAGGAGCTTCTGGTCTTGGCTGGAGTGTCCCCTGCTCGAAGACACCTTCCCCAACTATTCTATTGGCAGCAGCTGCTTGTGGCCTTTTCCATCATGTTTCTTTCCTTTATAGTGTTTTTCTCCACCTGTAATTATTGGGTGGACCAGTTGTCTAGTCGATTTGCTGTCTTCCCAGTAGAAGTGAGCTCTGTGAGGATGGAGATTATGTCTCATTTTTCATCCTCAGCATCTAGCAGAGCACCCGGCACATCAGTAAATATAAATCTATGTTTAATGAATGAATAAATAATGAAAAACAAAGCCTGGACAGGTTGATGAGGACCATATTTTAAAGAGCTGAACTTTAGGAAAATTCTTGACCGTATTTCACTTATGTGCTGGGCTCTCTCTAGATGCCTGCAAATACTGTGGTGAATAAGACAGAGAAGAGGCCTGCTATCCTGGGCTTGTGTTTTAGACCAGCATTGTCCAGTGATACTTTCTGTGATGATGGAAATGGCCCATATCTGCTCTGTCTAACATGGTAGCCAAGAGCCACATGTGGCTATGAGCACTTGAAATGTGATTGGTGCCACTGAAGAACTGAATCTTTTATTTTATTTAGTTTTAGCTGATTGAAATCTAAATTGTCACATGCAACTGTGGGCTGTTATATTGGGCAGCATCATTCTAGATGGCCACAACTGCCTAATAATGTACATCATTTAAAACATAGTCTTACTTTGGATTAATGTCACCTCTTTTGGGAAAATGTCAATTTTTTTCAAGGTTTTTTAACTTTTTTTTTTTTCTAATACCTTCCCTTTTGCCCCATACCCCCTGGCCAGCCAAGTTCTTCTTTTCAAGATAGCATCTAGACACAGCGGGTGGCCTATGTTGTCATTAGGGCAGAGGTGGAATGGGGTCCTCATATCTGGATACAGGTACCCTTTTCTTCTCTGGGTCCTCTTGACTCCTTGAACATATCCTTATCCTAATTGATCACAGGATGCCCTGTTGGCACTAACTGCTGATGTTCACAGCTGCCAAAGCCTGCCACTGCGTGTCCCAACATAGACAAGACCCAGTGACCTTTCCTGGAGCCCTGCTGGATCTCACTGGCACTGTAGCCCTGCTGCTCCCCAGCTTGCAGCCATCCTACCTCTGCCCTAGAATGTCCCTTGTACAGCCTCGCCCACAGGGCACCATTACCTTGCTCCTCCTGAGTTCCCCATTGGAAACATAATGTGTATGATGTAGGAACCAAGGGTCAGTGGGAGTCCTGTCTGCTCTAGGCTTAAACTTAAACCCCATGCTTCTTCTGCTTAGCCCTGCATAGGGTAATGGTGCCTGCCTCTAGCTGGCATAGGTGGGCTTATGCCCTGAGCAAGTTCCCAACTGTAACATGGTGAGTTTGAACCGCCGTGTATTCCTGCAGAAGCCCAGTTGCCTTATGCTCTCACTTCCATAGCATCATCACTTCTACTTTAGGAGTGCTTGGGATGTCTGGCCAAGAGTAGGAGTGTCCCCATGAGGCAGTTCTCACTCGGCTCAGCAACTCTTATGGCGTGGGTGGGCCTCACTTCTACTGGGTGACACACAAAGGCCAGGCAGCCCAAATCCAATGGACAAGCCCCCCCTGGCAGTTGTGCTCTGTGATGTGCTGAGTGGTCTGCAGGTGTCGGCTGGACTTCCACATCGGTGGTGGCTGGGTGAGACAATTGATGACTTAAAAAGACCACGTTCTAATGAGATCTGCTAATTGACTGACTTCTAGTCATCTATTAATTACCCTTGCAGGCTCTTAGCCCTGCTAGAATTTGCTTCTTAAAACCCATGGACTCCAAAGACATCAAGAATGGGTTTTCTGTAACAATGCATTGTCCATAAACTCCAGTGACTGAAGGAAGAATGGGATGGGAATGGTCTAGATGACTTCAAAGGTGCACACAGAGGTCTTCTGTACAGTCTGTGGCATTAAGTGACTAGACACCAAGAACACTGCACAGAGAGGCCAAGGAGGCAGAGGACCACAGGGATACTCCCAGGAAGAGGAAGACTCTGAGGTAAAATGGTCACCTGTAGTCTTGGATAATGGCAGCCAAAGTGAGTTTGGGGAGCAGGGGCTCCCAAAACAAGGCCAGGCAGTAGGCTACATCAACAGGCATCATGCCATCCTAGAATCATAACCCCAGACTGGGGAATACCCCAGATTGCATCTAATCTACTAGACTCTCGCCCCTCCTTGACGCATGGTTCTCTGAGTCAGCCGGGTTGATAAGATAACAACATAGCCTTTCAGAGAGTCAGCAGCAAATGTTTGCCAACAGTGATGGTTCTGCTGAATTTCAAAATGTCGGGGGTGGGTGGCAGGAACCAGCTTCTTTTGAAAAATAGCATCCCAAAGGCACTGGAACAGTGCAGTTCTTCCTGATGTCTTTGCTTCTTTCAAGCCGTCATGCCTTCCCCCACATTGTGCAGTAAGTGCTTCCTCCTAACCGCATCCGAAGCTCAGCACCATGGGAGCAGGAGGGTCCTTGCTGTGAAGCCTGGGACAACCCCAGTCCTGCCTACTGCTTCTGCATTTGCACTCTGCTGACCATTTTCATTTCTGAGATGCACCCAAAACTTGAGGCTCCCAGAAGTTCATACATGAGCTTCACCAGGCTCTGATCCTCATTCTCCTAACTATGGCTGTGATGCTGCTGCTGTAATGCCCCATGGCTGTGCATCTCTGAGAACTCTGCTTAGCCCTGAAATAATTTATCTGACCCAACCATTCCAACCAAAGTCAGCTCCTCCACAAAGTGTCTGAAGCCAGAACAAAGAAGCAAGAAATACACAGCTGTTGATTCTTGGACCACATCAGAGCTCTTTATGCACATCAGAACTCTTCATGCAATAAAAGTTGAGTATACCTTCCTTGATTATCCCATACAGCTAGAGAGAAGCAGATTTCTGTGGTTAGAGGTGGGCTCTGAAGTTATAGAGAACAAGATTCATGTCCCAGTTTTCCCAAGTACCATAGCTTCTGTGAGCCTTGGTTTCCTTATTTGTAATGTAATGATGATAATAGTTTATTCCTGGACTCTGGTGGAGATGTGTAGCCCTTACTAAAGTGCCTCTCCTTGGTAAGTGCTGCAAATGGGTGCTCTTTCTAGTTTTCTGGCAAGCTTGCACTTATGGGCACCCTGAGACCCTCTGAAGAATGTGAAAGGCATGGCGTGGGCCTCTCACTCTTCAGAACTCTCTACCACAAAGTAATCAGAAAAGAAGTCAAAAATGGCAAATAACACACAATAGACAACTGATAAATGGAAATACGGTAGCTGAGATTTCCTGAACCTCCTGCTCTTCTGACTGTCCTCCATCTGCTCCATGGTTGGTTGAGCCATTTGGGTCCAGATATCTTATGAGTCTCTGCAGCTTGTGGCCGGTTTCTATGGCTCTGACTTTCCCTGAGCCTCAGTCTTGGCCAGCACTTCAGACTTTCTGAAAGCTCTCCCCGCCCTGGATATGTCTTAATTACCTGATTCCATTTCAAATCTGCCTCACATATTCACAGCTCCAATCTAAGGGAAGGCAGAAACCTCAGTCCTTTTTAAGAGATGCCATCTTTGTGTATTTTTTCAACAATGTCACCTTTCCTTCCCCAATCCTTGTCCCTTGCTCAGTAACAGGGAGGTATCTCTGGAAAAAGACCCCTGGAATTACTCTACCTAATCAGTTTGTGGTGCTTCCCTCTCTCTGGTGTCATTTCTGTCATCCTTGCTTGTGC
Source organism: Homo sapiens (assembly GCF_000001405.40). Taxonomy (NCBI): domain Eukaryota; kingdom Metazoa; phylum Chordata; class Mammalia; order Primates; family Hominidae; genus Homo; species Homo sapiens. The sequence goes on along the minus strand of NC_000021.9, from coordinate 35,315,608 downwards.
AAGCTAAGGACGGACCATCACATTTTTTAAAAATTGTACTTTAAGTTCTGGGATACATGTGCAGAACGTGCAGCTTTGTTACACAGGTATACGTGTGCCATGGTGGTTTGCTGCACTGATCAACCCATCTTCTGGGTTTTAAGCCCCGCGTGCATTAGGTATTTGTCCTAATGGTCTCCCTCCCCTTGCCACCCGCCCTCTGACAGGCTCCAGTGTGTGATGTTCCCCTCCCTATGTCCATGTGTTCTCATTGTTCAACTCACACTTATGAGTGAGAACATGTGGTGTTTGGTTTTCTGTCCCCGTGTTAGTTTGCTGAGAAGGGCCGTCACATTTTATATTAGCAATTTTTCATGGCAACCATCTCACTCTTGTTATCATCCTCAGTTATCTGGCACCAGTGATTCAATAGAAATTACTTACTGAAAATGACAGTTTATGTCTCTGAAAAGGGAGCACTAAGTGTGTTGGGAAACAACAGCTCATACTCTTCTGAGAGATAAACAGCTTCTGCTGATTGGCCCCTAATGTAGCAAAGCAATCCAGCTGGGGAGTTGGAGGCAGATTCCCACTGAGAGCTGAAGTATAAAATCATTCCAACAGGGAGCTCGAGAGTAAACCCAGGAGATATCCACTTTCCAAAGCTTAAAACATAGCATTGTTCAGCATTAAGACAGCATCAGTGTGTTGCAAACACTCTGCATGAATCCTGCTACCTGGAAATAATGAGATAGGTTTCTGACAAATTGTTCTTATCTAAACGTCAAGGCCAGTAGGAGATTTCAAGTATTTTAACAAAACATTCCACCTTGTATCCGAGTGAAGTTCAACAGCACAAAACTAAAATTTGTTGATGGATGATATAGTGATACATGTTGCTTCAACAGCCTAGAATATAACATCTTAATAATTTAGATACAATTCCAAGGGATATCAAGGGTGCACCGTTGTGTAAACTATGAACTTTGGGTGATAATAATATGTCAAGTTAGATTCATCAGTTGTAACAAATGCACCACTTCGGTAGGGGATATTGATAAAGTGGAATGTTATGCACATTGCAGGGTAGGGAGTATATGGAAAATCTCTGTCCCCTCCCCTCAATTTTGCTGTGAACCTAATACTATTCTTAAAAACATAAAATCTATTTTAAAAAATACAATATAGTTTTAATTATAATAGACAAGTAAAGGGAAGACTCTTCCACTAAATTTTTTTTTAATCAATTGATGGGCAAGTTGTAAAAACCAAGGACTACTTACAAAGTAAAATGGGAAGTGTTGGTCTCACTGACACCTACCCCAGAGAGTTAAACAGGAGTTCTGTCTAATCCCACTAATGTTCCTAGGGACACTTTGGGGGTCCTCTTCTTTTTTTTTTTTTTTTTTTCCACTCTGTCGCCCAGGCTGGAGTACAGTGGCGTGATCTCGGCTCACTGCAAGCTCTGCCTCCTGGGTTCACACCATTATCCTGCCTCAGCCTCCCGAGTAGCTGGGACTACAGGCACCTGCCACCACGCCTGGCTAATTTTTTTTTGTATTTTTAGTAGAAACGGGGTTTCACCACGTTAGCCAGGATGGTCTTGATCTCCTGACCTCGTGTTCTGCCCGCCTCGGCCTCCCGAAGTGCTGGGATTACAGGCGTGAGCCACCGCGCCCAGCCAAGGGGGGTCCCCTTCTTTCTATGGGAACTGACTGTTGTGCAAGGTGGCTCTGCCCTTTAGTCACAGCTGGTTCGACCAGGGAGTACATTTTGGCTCAGCTTGAGCCAATCATCTCTGAGAGGGTCTCTAGGGCAACCTGAGAAGCAAAGAAAGCCAATCTGTAGGCAGAAAGAAAGAAATAAAGAGCACGCAGAAAACCAGAAATAAGCCTCCATATACTGCCAGGGAGACGGAAGGAGTAACTTATGTTGATAGCTTTACAGTTTGTGGTTCCTGTCTGTCATGAAAACTGACTGTACCTTGTTCCTAGGATTCTTGAGATACATCTGTATACTTCCAACTATATTGCCCAAATCTTTGATAATTCAAGTGAGTTTGTTTCTTTAGAAAAAAAAAATGACCAAGAAAATTTCTTTAAGATTCCATTTTAATGTCTGTATTAATTAGGATACATATTATTTGTCCCTCAAATAACAAAACTCTCGACATCTCAGTGATTTAAAATAATAAAAATATAATTCCAGCTCATGCACTAGATGTGGATGCTCAGTGACTGGCCTTTCACAGGTACGCACAAAGACTCGGGACCTTTCCAATTTGTGGCTCCTGATTCCTTAGGGTCCCCAAGTTCTCTTTAGATTTTTTGTGTCATCCAGCTGGCAGACCAAGAAGGAGAAAAAGTGTGGAGAGGATCACAGAGAAGTTTTCCTGGGTCAGGCCTACAAATGGTTTGTGTCATTTCTTCTCACATTCCTTCAGCCAGAAGTCAGTCACATGATCACACCTAACCTCGTGGCAGGGAAGGGATGTGTTAGATTTAATAATAATACTAAAAATAACAACAACAACAATACTCATTGTAGTAGCTGATGGTTTTTGAGACTTTCCACTTGCCAGGTATCGCATTATGCGGTTTGTATCTGTTCTCCTTTTATTATCATAGCAAAGGTTTAGAGCAGTTAAGTTACTTGTCCGAAAGCACAAGCCTGTATGTGACTTGTGGTCTGAATCCAGAGATGAAAAACATTGACCCTGAAAGCACAAAACTCAAAAGTTAAATATATACTGGGGGCAAGAAGCCCAGGCTGGCCTCCTTGAGGATGAGAGACCATGTGGAGGGAGGGCCTCACTGACAGTCGGAACACAGCGGCAGACATGTGCGTGAGGCAAGACCAGGCTGCTGCACTCCACTCACCTACCAGCTGACTGCTGTCACGCCGCTGAGCCCAGGAGAGACCAGCAGAAGAACCTTCCAGTGGAGGCCCGCTCAGATTGCCAACAGACAGAACTGTGAATCAATAACTGATTGCTGTTTTCATTCCATTAACAGATTGGGTAATGCCAGGGAGACAGCGTCCAATGCCACCTCTGCTGGATGAGCAGCAATTGTGTTTTTATTATTTTAAATCACCGGGATGTCGAATTTTGTTATTAGAAGGACAGATAATACATATTCTAATTAATACAGACATTAAAATAGAATCTTAAAGAAACTTTTCTTGGTCATTGTTTTGTCTAAAGGAACAGAAACTCACTTGAATTATCAAAGATTCAGGCAATATAGTTGGAAGTATACAGATGCATTTCGAGAATCCTAGGAACAAGGTATGGTCAGTTCTTATAACAGACTGGAAACACAAACTGTAAAGCTATCAACACAAGTTACTCCTTCCGTCTCCCTGGCATTGGATGATCACATGGCTGAGCCCAGGAGAGACCAGCAGAAGAACCTCCCAGGGGAGGCCCGCCCAGATTGCCAACATACAGAACTGTGACTCAATAAGTGATTGTTGTTTTCAGTTCCTAAACAGATTGAATGATGCTCACTTGTATTGAGGAGGGCAATTGACTTTACTGAGTCCACTGAGTCAAATGCTAATCTCATCCTGAAACACCCTTACAGGCATAACCCAACTAATATTTCAACTGAAACCCCTTTCATTCAAGACAATGCAAATTTCTCTCTGGTAGGAGCTATCCCAGCTGAGACCTATTCTTCGGTTTGGCAGGAGAATACCTAATTTCACCTACATATAAATGCAGATGTTTTGGCTAGAAGTTTGTCACTAAAATATTCGGAGTTGCAAAAACGGATCAATCATCCAACCAGATTCTAAATTTTAATGACTCTTATAATACCTGATATCATTAGCTCCATTAGGAGAGATAATGCCTCTTCAGAAAAATGCTCCTCAAAATAGCCACTTCATTGATCTCTAACAAATCTAAACACAAGTGATATTTTGAGATATCTGTGAATTTGCCCATTTTTAGGTTAAAGGGAATAATTTTCTTTCATTCTTAAAAATAGATGAAAACATGATAGATTCTAGGACTGGGACAGGAAAAATTCAAGATGCTCCTGGAGTAATTTCTAATTACAGAAAGTAAGGAAGTGCTAGAAAAACAAAAGGTTGAGGACACAGAAAAGGGCATAGGAGCCAACCTGAACAAACTCTCCGTGGCCAAAGCTGGAGCAATTTCAGCAAGAAAATAAATAACATAGAATTGGACTATAACCCAAAGCATACATTTCCATGATCCATACTGATATAAATTATGAGTCTATATTGATATAAACAAATAATTGAATAAACAAATACACAAATGGGAAACGGGGAATCTCCCTTACAGAAGAGTTGTGAATAGATGTCTCTATTTCCAGGAGGTGGAGTCAAATCTTCTCCCTGCCCCTTTGAGTGTGGGCTGGGCTTAGTGACTTGCGTCTAAAAAGTCAATATGGAAAGATGGAGAAAAGTCACTGCTGCTCTACCTTTAAAGTGGAGAAACCTGGAAAAACTTACCTTGGCCAGGTGATCAAGATTGACAACATCAGTGATAAGCCGTGTTGATACCATGTGCCCCAGATATGGTGTGATGAGAAGGGCACTTCCTCTCTGTGACATTCTTTCCCAAGACCCATAACCCCCAGCTAGTCATGAGAAAAGCACGAGGCAAAGCAAATGGAGGGGTTTTTACAAAACACTTTAGTGTGGTACTTCTCAAAACTGTCAAGGTCATGAACAGCAAGGAATGTCTTAGAAAAGTAACAGACCAGAGGAGACTAAGGAGCAATGATGACCAAATGGAATGTGGGATGGCATCCTGGAACAGAAAGAGGATGTCAGGAAGAAAACTAATTAAATCCAAATAAAAGGTAGGACTCAGTTCATAGAAATTACCAATGCTGCATACTTAGTTGTAACAAACGTACCACAGTTATGTAAGATATTAACAATAGAAGAAAGTGGGTAAGGGTATAGGAAACTATGTATTATCTTTGCAACTTTTCTATAAATCAAAATTATTCTAAAATACAAAGTTTTTTTTTAAGAAAGTATGCTCTCATGGTCATTAACAATCTGAGCAGGTCATTGGACTCCTTCGGATAAATCTAAGTTGACATAGTTGAATGGGTTTTGTCTGCCTAATGCTGTTTCGCTCAGCCTGTCCATTGCATATGGCAAATAGTAAATTATTCCTGTTCTTTGTCCATTTGAGCTATTGCATAACTTGAAATTATTTGCAATATCACTTTGAGGGCCCTCCTATTTGAGTGATCTTGGTTTGAAATTAATATTTATAGCCTCTTCGAATCTTCATGTTACATATAAAAGGATTTTGCTGGCTTCTTTTTACATGGTTTATTTCTTTCCAAATGAGACAGTGAATATTTTAGTTTTTCCTAACAGGACCTGAGAATATGTGCAGTAAACTATTAGAAGATAAATAAAACCTAACAATTCTCATTGATTATTTTTTAAAACTTATTTCCATACATTGAGAGCTCATTAATCTCAGCTTTAGAAATAATGTTTTACTAAATTCTGCTAATTAAGTATTTGCATCACCTTATACATGATGATAATGGTTTTCTTTTTAATACACGGCTTTAAAACAAACAAAAATCTACATGATTATTCCATCTAAAGTTTTACAATTAAGTGTCGATCTTGAAATTCTTCTAGGTCTGGCTAGGTTGCTAGGATACAAAATAACATAATCAGAATACATATTGCCTGAATAAAATCATCTTCCAAACTTTCAGATCTAGAGAAAGCTTTAGGTGAATTTATCAGGATAGAAGGATAAACTAAACCCATTCTTGCTTTTCTCTCAGGATTTCCCTATTGACTCAGAATAATACAAATAAAGCCCATTTTGTGCCTGGAACTGTGCTATATTAGTTATGTTCCATGAAATTCTCACATCACCATCGCAAGGTAGGCTTATTATCTTGTTTCATAGATGAGTAAACAGAGGCTCAGAGTTACTCGCCCATAACCACACTGCTAAGTATTTGTTGAGCTCTGATTTGTACTCAGAACTGTTTCCAAAGTCTATGCTGTTTTCTGATGGATGACAAAAACTGCTCTCACTGTGCTCCTTAGTGGTCCATTTTTCTTAGGGCTCAACCTTTGGCCACAGGCCTGGACCACAAAATCCTGCTCCCCTGGAGCTCCTTCTGTGGACTGGCCAGCTTGAGCGTGAGATGAGTAGGAGTGGAAGATTCCCAGAGAAATCCTGGCCTCGTATCAGCCCAGGAAAGAACAATAGCCTTTGACCAAAATGATCCTCTTCACTTAAAGAATTGTTTAAAATAGGTCTACCTGTCTCATTTGTCCACATTTTTCATTGTTATTGTTATGTGTTTTCTTGTTTTTGCTTCCATTCATTCATTCAATTCCATTCAAAAATGTATTGTTTTAGGCTCTCTATTAATGGCTGGAGATTTAAAGGCAAGGGAGACATTATTTCTGCAAATGCATATTAATTATATCTATTGGAATGGAAAGTCCAGCTAGTCTAGCCTTGTAGTTTTGCTACAAAGCTAAAACAAACCTGAACAAATTATTAACCATCACCATGGTAGTTAGAATGATTGATGGTAGCTGTCACACAGAATAACCCCCAAATCTCACAGCATGGACATTTATAAAAAAGTTTACGTCTTGTTGTTCAGAGTTGAACATGGGTGCATAATGGCTGTTCTCCATGTGGTGATTCAGAGATCCAGGCCCCCTTTACCTTGCATCCCAGCATCTTCCCATATGGCTTCTATGGAGGCAGAATAAGGGTCCTGAAAGATGGCCACACTTCCTTCCCAGAGCCTGTGCATATATTACCTTACATGGCAAAATGGACATTGCAGATGTGATTACGTTTACAAACATTGAGATGGTAATCAGCCTGGATTATCCAGGTGAGCCCAATCCTATTATATAAATCCTTGAAAACGGAGAACCTCTCCCAGATGCATCAGAGAGAACAGTGACTACAGAAGAAATGTGAGAAGTACCTGATCTGCCATTACCGGCTTTGAGGATGGAGGAAGGGGCCACAAGCAAAGGAAAGCAGATGTCCTCTAGAGGCTGAAAACAATGGAGGAAATAGATTCTCCTTTAGGGCCTTCAGAAGGAGCACAACCCTGCTGCCACTTTGATTTTAGCTGGGGGAGTCCCATGTTGACCTTCTGACCTCCAGAACTGTAACATAATACGTTTGCATTGTTTAAGACAGTAAGCTGGTGATAATTTGTTATAACAGCAATAGAAAAGATAGAGAATTTCCAAGTCTCCCTGGCAGGGAAATTAAGGACAGAGGAGGCACACTGACTACTGAGTGCCCCAGAACAAAAGTGCTCACATTTTCTTTTGCCAGACCTTGAAGAACTCAGACACTTCAAGGAATGGTGGAACTACTGGGAAATATGGAGGAGCTATGGATATTCAGTGGGCACCAGTGGTCTCTGCCAAAAACATTTCTAATGCCATTTTTGGCACTTGGCGGACATTAATATTGAATAAAAGAATAAACAATGATAAAATGAACTGAATCTCAATTGCTTGTGCTTACCTGGAAGATCTTATCTGGATTACGAATAGTGCGCATGCACACACACACGCGCACACAGACACACACACACACACAAGCACACACGTATGAGTACTGCTTCTCTTTCTGTTTGCTTGTCTTCAGTCCTAGGCCTGGAGTAACTAAGAGAAGAATGCATGACTGGGTTTACAGCCATGTACATATTTCTCAAACCTACTGTTTCTGGCCCCTAATATTTTCTACCCTCTGAAGCCAAATTAAACTATTCATTATTCACACACTGTAATTTAGATAAATGATGATTCTAGAATGTGATTATTTGAAGCATGTGTGTATGTATATGTTGCTAGTTTGGACCTGATTTGAAGGAGATCTAACAATTGGCTATACAATTGAATTTCCTTGAACTTGACTTTGCACTAAGTAAAATGGGAAAATGAAAATGTAATTGCATTAATGGATCAGATTGAAGAAGTCCATTTGAAAGTTTCTGAGGAAGATATAAGAATCCACTTTGGAAAAATATCTTCCAGCATCTAGGAGGTGCTTGGTTAATGCTCACAAATAACTCATATATTCTTTGGTCTGCTACAATTACAGGTTCTAGATATATTCATCCAAACAATTACAACTTGGTATTTAACGTCACTCATTTCAAAAAATTGAATGACAAAAGAGCACTATTTTTTTTTTTTTTTTTTTTGAGACAGAGTCTCACTCTGTTGCCCAGCCTGGAGTGCAATGGTGTGATCATGGCTCACTGCAACCTTCACCTCCTGGGTTCAAGTGATTCTTATGCCTCAGCCTCCCGTGGGACTACAGGTGTACACCACCACGCCCGACTAATTTTTGTATTTTTGGTAGGGACAGGGTTTCACCATTTTGGCCAGGCTGGTCTCAAACTCCTGACTTCAGGTGATCTGCCTGCCTCTGCCTCCTAAAGTGCTGGGATTACAGGTGTGAGCCACCACACCCGGCCAACACTAACATTTTTAAATTAGATTTTTTTCTCTTATGTTTTAAATTAAGACTCCAAGGTTTCAAAATCATATCTGAAAAGTTTTATTATATGATTTAATATTTCACTTCACTTTCTCAATTTTTTGTGTCCTTTCTTTGTTGGAAGTTAGCCAATGCAGTATCTGATTTGTCTTCATTTTATAGAATCTGTTCCTGTCATACTTTGAAATATTGATTTTTTCATCCCAAATTTAAATCTGTAATGCAGTTTGTCCCTGGTATTTATACATGTCCCAGGATATTTGCTAAAGATAAAAATAAGATCCTGTTGTTAAGTGAAATTTAGCAACAGATTCAGGTTTTTGGGAACCCAAAGCTTTAATTGTTAAAAAGCATCATTATTATTTCATAGTCTGAGCAGGAGAAAGGGTCTTGCCAGCATCAGAATGGGCCTGAGATTTGAGGATTTCATCCTTTGAACCACATTTAAAACTCTGTATTCAAGTTCATTTATTCTTGGCAAAAGTCAACTTCCTGATTTTGACAGAAATAGAATTGAGAGACTCAGAAGTCTTTTGAATATCAAGCAACTCATTACAAAAGAACATTTGCTGAGTAAAGTGAAAATGAATTATAAATGCAAGGATTTTTATAAGAATAAATGAAAAGAGTCTAAGGGAATAAATGTTTGGTTAAAAGCCTTGGAGTTTAATTAAATATTTGGAGTCTAGTTTGATGGGAATAACTATTTATCCATCCTTTAATTTCATTTTGATCATAATCAAATTTTGGCTGGTTTGGTCTTCAAATTAATAATATCACCCAATTTCAAACTTATAAAAACTATATTATAGGATGGATGTTTAAACAAAAATAAACTCTGTAAACTGTTAATAGCAGGCATACTACATCACCAAAAATATTTCTCCTAATTTCTTTCTTTGTTAATTAATTAATTGAATGAATCTACAAAAATATATGAAGCAACCCTGGTTCACAAAATACACCCATGTGTTTTAAAAGAGAGAACTTATTCCTATGTCTTCTTTATGAGTCTTGTGGCAGATTAAAGATGCCCAGAAATTTTCTAATCTGTCTTCTATGAGAGTGTTATGTTCCCAACCCTTAAGTATGGGTGGGCTCTGTGACTTGCTTGACCAATAGAAGGTGTCAAAAGTGACACAGTGTAGTTCTCATGCAAGGTTACAACAGCCTTGCAGCTTCTCCCTGAGTGTCTTGGAAAACTTGCTCTTAGAGTCCTAAATTGCTGTCTGAGAAGTTCAGGAATGCACAGACTGAGGCTTCCATGCTGTGAGAAGCCCAAGTCAGAAGGAGAGACTCTATAGAGTGAAATGTCACAAGGAGAGGGAGAAAAAGGAAAGGAGAGGGGAGGGGAGGAAGAAAGGGGAGGAGAAGAGAGGAGAGCCAAGAGCACAAGGAGTAGGCATGTGAGTAAAGAGACCATCTCAGAAGTGACCCCTCCAGCCCCAGCGTCCCTGTGGCTAAAGCTACGTGGAAAAGAGGTGGATCATCTAGCCAAGACCTTCTCAAATTCTTGACTCCCCAAAATTATGAGAAAAATAAAATGGTTGATTTAAGTTACTAAGCTCTGGGGTACTTTGTTACACAGCAGTAGATAACAGAAACGATGCAATCATATGACGTTATTAAAGGAATAAAGACTTGCTAGTAGAAAAAAAAAAAAGCATTTTCCTTGGGAATGTCAAGAAAACCAGGAAGAGCTTTAGTATTTTTATCTTCCGAATGCAAACAGTTTAAAGTTTTGTACCATGAAGACATCCTTCAAAACCCTGAATCCTGTGACTGTATCCTATGTGAGTGTATATGGCATATGTTTTATTATGTCAAAGACTGAAAACATGTTGAAACTGAAGTTCCTAAGTGCCTTTCCAGCTTGTGAAATTGTAAGTTAGCAGAACCTCCTTCCAGTGCTTGCCCCAGGCAATATTCCTGTGAATGGCTACAGGCACACACACACATACACACACACACACACACAAATTTTGGAGGCTGTGCACACTTTTTTAGATGTGCAGGATAATTAAAGTGGGCAAAATCCTATGTGATTCAGGGTTTTGAATCAGTGTATGATTATTGATCAATCTGGAACCACTCCTTGCTTCTTTTCCAAACACTTCATCCACACTTATTGGATCTGAGGCACTGTATCAATAACTGGGGATTCAGCAGTCAAATAAATCACAGGTTCTGTTTTCATGGAATGAGCAGTCAAGAGAGAAAGACAAATATTTAAAAAGAAAGTGGTAGTACAATAAGTCAGAACTAATGTAATGGTATACAGAAGATGCTATGGGACCCCAGAAGAGGGAGTTGGTGGATATATAGATCTAGATATAGTTATAAATATATACAGTACCCATTTAATATAAAACAATGATACATGTATATATTTTATATTTATATTATATACACATACATTCAAGTATGTGACTGTTTATAAAGATATTTCAAGACTCCCCTAAAAACCATCTCTTTGATATTACATATTATTATTTAAATTTAATAAAATAGTCATCCCCTGCTTACTTTTAAAATTATTACATTGTAACATAATAGCTAATGTTTAGTAACAAGGAAGCAAAATATGTGATTTTTAATTATTTCTTGACTCAATACCTACATTTTCTGATAAATGACACACAAACGTATTACCTCTAAAAAAAAAAAAACTATACACCTTATTCCCAAAACATGGCATATCCCTGATTCTTTTTTAGATTTGGAAAGAGCTGATGGATTTGTCAAGAAGCAGGGAGAAGTAATCACCTTAGAGACTTGAGACTTAGAGACTTGAGAACAAATTCTGTGTTCCTTCTCCACTTCTCCAGCTTCAAACTTCACTCCCTGGAGGAGTTGAGAACCATGACCCAGGAGAGCTACACAGAGCTGCAGAATATTAATGGAAACATAATAAATACTAAGACCTACGCCCTTCCCACCTCATCCCTATTATTTTTGTGGGGGTGTCGATTGTTAAATGGGTTGACCTCACTTTAGACTTTATTGCATATTGATTTAAGAAACATGCCTGATGAAATCACCCCTTCTAATAACATGTAGGAAGATTTTTAACTGATTTGAGTGCTAAACTTCATTTGTATGTGGCGTATGTTTTATTATGTCAAAGACTGAAAACATATTGTAACTGAAGTTCCTAAGTGCCTCTCCAGCTTGTGAAATTGTAAGTTAGCAGAAAACACACACACATATTTTGGTGGCTGTGCGTACCTTTTTAGATGTGCAGGATAATTAAAGTGGGCAAAAAGGTATAGAAATATAAAAACAGGCAACCCAGAAAGAAGTTAAGTCTGGGCAAGGAACAATTGTTAAAAAGGAATTATGGAAGAGAAATGGCAAGACTTGTCCCATGTACCAGGATGATATGGCTAGGCTTTGTGTCCCCACCCAAATCTCATATTGAATTATAATCCCCATAATCCCCACATGTCAAGGAAGACACCATGGGGAGGTAATTGAATCATGGGGGAGGTTTCCCCCATGCTGTTCTCCTGATAGTGAGTGAGTTCTCACGAGATCTGATGGTTTTATAAGGGGCTCTTCCCCCTTTGCTCTGCACTTCTCCTTCCTTCCACCATGTGAAGGAGATGCCTTGTTTCCCCTTTGCCTTCCACCATGATTGTAAGTTTCCTGAGGCCTCCCCAGCTGTGCTGAACTGTGAGTCAATTAAACCTCTTTCCTTTATAAATTACCCTGTCTGGGTCAGTTCTTTATGGCAGTATGAAAATGGACTAATACACTGGCAAAGTGCCTGGGCTTATTCTGGGAAATGACTCACAAGGAATTATATGAAGAGGACTGAACTCATCTGTGGAGTACCTGCTCAATGAGCTGGCAACATCGTGGAATGTGGAGATTCCCATCTCTCTCTACACTGACCAGATATGATTTGGGAACATCATCCAGGCAGCAGTGGCCAAGATCTCAAAGTCCAAGGTTCATAAAACAGACAGTTCATGAGCAATGCAGCATGTGCCCAGATCCCTTCTAGGGGCTATCTCAACACCCCAAACAGCATCAGGAGCTGATCAAAAAGGGGGCACACTGTGGCTCATGGGTTAATTTTTGCAGGTTGTTTATTCCATTGAGCGCATTCAAATGGCTGGTTTCTTTATGTCTCCTTAACCACCCAGTCATTGACTCTATCATTCTTTTTTTCATTGGCCTTAAGCTCCATCAGTCGGGCATGTCTTGACTTTTGAAGTCAAGTTCTGTTTCTCAAGGTCAACAATGAGGTTGTGATATTATTCACGCCTTATTTTTGCTGGCCGTTGGAATACAATGACATTGAAGGAATAATTATGGGAAAATTTTCCTACATATAATTTTTCTTACTTCTCAATTCTGTTCTGTGCTCAGACATGAAAATTAAGAAAACAAACTGTATTAGTTCATTCTCACACTGCTATAAAGAAAAACCTGAGACTGGGTAATTTATAAAGAAAGGAGGTTTAATTGACTCACAGTTCTGCATGGCTGGGGAGGCCTCAGGAAACTTACAATCATGGCAGAAGGGGAAGCAGGCACATCTTACATGGTGGCAGGTGAGAGAGAGCATTCAAGAGCAGGGAAAACTGCCTTGTAGAACCATCAGCTCTGAGAACTCACCCACTAGCAAGAGAACAGCATGGGGGGAACCTCACCCATGATCCAGTCACCTCCCACTGGGTCCCTCCCTTGACACCTAGGGTTTATGGGGATTACAATTAAAGATGAGACTTGGATGGGGACACAGCCAAACCATATCACAAACACTACAAGTTCTAAGAAAATTGGGGAAGGATGTACTTTCAGAACTGCCCTGGCTGTTACCAAGGAGGAAATGGCCAGAGGACATTTGATATTGGATTCCAAAGTGACAGCAACAACAAAATCAGCATGATTTGGGGTTCTGTGTATTACTGTGCGGGGACTTTAAAATAGTTAACTAAAATATTTAGCCTAAAAAGCTGCTCTCTACTTACCTATATTACCTGATGAATAAATTGCTGGCAATTTTGCCTCTTAGGACGTTAACACATAGATACTGTGACTATATGATTTAAATATGACAAAGACTTGAGTGAACTTCTATTTTTATTGCTTTTAATTCAATTAAGCCAAAAATACTCATTAGAATTTTTTGTAGTTTGGCCACTTTTTTCAAAATTATTTATAATTATTATTATTTGCATAGAGGTAAAATATTTGACTGTTGGGGCAAAAGCTTTTTTACAATCATTGTTCTTTTTCCCTTCCGTTTGTAAACACAGGAGAGATTCAAATTTTAAAATATCAGTGATACAGCTTTGTGTACATGAATCATACTTCAGTACAGTAGTTTTCTGGGTTTTTTTGGTTTGTTTGTTTTCTTTTTTTTTTTTTTTTTTGAGATGGAGTCTCACTCTGTCACCCAGGCTGGAGTGCAGTGGCATGATCTTGGCTCACTGCAACCTCCACCTCCCAGGTTCACGGCATTCTCCTGCCTCAGCCTCCCGAGTAGCTGGGACTACAGGCGCCTGCCACTACGCCCGGCTAATTTTTTGTGTTTTTAGTAGAGATGGGGTTTCACCGTGTTGGCCAGGATGGTCTCGATCTCCTGACCTTGTGATCCGCCCACCTCAGCCTCCCAAAGTGCTGGGATTACAGGCATGAGCCACCGTGCCCAGCCTCAGTACAGCAGTTTTTAAAAAATCAGTGGACTGCGTCACACATGTGTTGGTTGGCGAAGTGATTCTCAGTCATTCCTGTGCAACAGTTTGCTGTCATTTCCCAGGCATATCTTGACATCGTCCTTAGGTTTAGTAGTTCAGCAGCACAGCCCTTCTTCACTTATGTGGACTCTCCTGGAAGCCACTCCATCCTGAGGTTGTGGCATCCCGCACCTGCACAAGCCTCCATATTTGGGCGCTACACACTCATTGCATTGAGGGAAAAGGTAGTTTTTGAGAGAGCTTTCACAGGGACATGGGTTCTATTAGGGCATGAGTCAAGGACCAGAGTGGGGCATTTGTAGGAAAGAAGCATCATCTGTTTTATCAATAGGTAGCATCTAGCTAGGCCTCTGCAGAACACAGGACTAGGGGGCAATGAGAGTGAGAATAACAAACTGTTGTCTGAGAGTATGTGTGTGACAAAATGGAGATTGTTGCCACCTAGAAGGGTTAGAATAAAAATAGTAGAGAATGACTGCATGAAATGTATTGATCTGCATTAGTTAACTATTGCTACTCAACAAATTATGCTAAAACTGAGTGTCTTCATACAACAATGTTCACTATCTCTGAGTTTCTGCAGGTCAGGAATCCAGATGCCTTAGTGGGGTGCCTCTGGCTCAGGGTCTTCCACAAAGATGCAATCAAGGTATAAACTGAAGCTTCAGTTCTCTGAAGGCTCAGCTAGGGAGGGATCCACTTCAAGCTCGTTTACATGGTTGTCGACAAGAGGCCACGCTCCGTTCCCTGCCACATGGGCCTTCCCATGGGGCAGCTCACAGTGTGGTGGCTGAACAAGTGAGAGAGAAAGAGAGGCTGTGCAAAATGAAAGCCATAGTCTTTTTGTAACCCAACCTCAGAGTGAACTCCCATCCCTTTTGCTGAATTCTGTTCCTTCGGAGCAAGTCACCAGGGCCAGTGCACACCCAAGGGAAGACAATTGCATAAGACTGTGACTGCCAGAAGGCAGGGGTCACTGGGAGACATTTCAGAAGCTACCTTCCACATGATTCAGGAAAAACAAAACAAAACAGATAACATTACCAACAAGCAAAGACTGTGTTTTTTCTTGAATTCATGGAAATTTATTCAAAAGTTACGAGAAATATAAAGGGAGGAGAAGCAGGAAGCTAGGCACTTACTGCATTAAAGACCCTGTGATAGTCCCTCATAGGATATCCAGTCTCCACAGTAGTCCGGAGAGGTACACCCTTGTTAGCATCATTTTCAAATAAGGAAACCGAGGCTCATCTAGAAACAGATTGTGGGCACAGCATTTTGTAGCTTAATACTACATTCCTACAAATGTACATCAGAAATATGATTTTTCCTTTATATTTTTCTATCAGACTCTATTCTACTTGAAAGTAGCATTGAATATGAAAAAACATATCTTATGTGTTTAAATTATTACAATAATGCATGTTTATTTTAGAAAATTTAAAAATCATAGAGAATAAGAAGTATAGGGAAGGAAACATTATATTCTATCCATTAAACATCTTAGCTGTGGGGTTGTCAGAGCCGGGCTTGGTCCATAGCATCAAGGCAAAAGTCAACTTTCATGGTTACAGAATCCAGAGAAACGGGAAGGCAGCAGATCTTACAGGAGGCTCAGGTCTTACTGATCAAGGAAGGTTCCCTTTAACAATTTTCTGGGTAGTGAAGAGGATATCAAGGTAATGCCCAATGGCTCAGATTAATAGCTCATTCCTTACAATTCAATGGTTTTTATAACTATTTATGGAACGTTTCTTAGGAAATGTTTGTAGCCCTAAATTAATAAGTACAAAATTACAATCAGTTGTATAGCTAGAGATATTAAAGTAGACATGTTCTAGAAATGGTTGGCATCTTGGGTGGATGGATGAGACCCCTAACGTTATAACTGCCTGGAGTGCAGGGACCTCAGCTGTTTATGTCTGATAATAACTAACATTTGTTAATAAAAGCAACATGTACTGAGCATCTAATAAGTGCCGGATACTGTGCAAAGAATGTGACATATGTCTGCCTGAGGAATCCTCATAATACACTCGTTAGGGAAGCACTACTATCAGCATTGTGATTTGCATTTTACACAGATGGAGATTATGAGATTTACAGTATTAGTTCCCTGGAACTGCCATACCACAGCACAAACGGGGTGCAATGATATCCCAGAGTACCACAAACTGGGTGAAACTGGGGGACTGAAAACAACATAAATGTATTCTGTTATAGTTCTAGAAACTAGATACCCTAAGGTGAGGTGTCAGCAAGGCCATGCTCCCGCTGAGAATTTGGGAGGAATCTTCCCTTGCCTCTTCCTAGCTCCTGGTGTGGCCAGCAATGCGTGGCCTTCCTTGGTTTGTGCTGCATCACTCCAGGCTCTGCCTCTGTGGTCACTGAGACTTCTTCTCCGTGTGCACATCTCTGTTCAAACTTCCCTCTTCTTATAAGGACATTTGTCATCTTGAATGAGGGCCCACCCAAATGACCTCATCTTAATTTCATGGTGTCTGCAAATATTTTATTTCCAAATAAAGTCACAGTCACAGGGGCTGTCACAGGGGTTTGGACTTCAGTATATCTTTTTTTGGGAGGACACAGTTCAACCCATAACAGTTGCACAGGTAGTAAGTGACCAGGCTAGGATCCACACCCACGTTTGCTGGACTTACCAGCCCAGCCTATGTGCTAACCACCATGCTACATTGCCCTAGCTAGCCTAAGACAGCCAGGGTATGAGTTATGATTTTGACATGTCCTCTTTGGTAAGCATCTTAGCTGAAATTGAGAGAAAATATCACTTGAATTAACTGCCAAGTGATGGAAAGGGACTGAAAAGTATTATCAAAAAAGTTACCAGTTTTTAAAAGTTGCTAACAAGCTGATTATCTTATCTTTTATCTATTTAGGCTAATGTTTTCAATGAAACCATAATACAGTTTCACCTGATCAGATTGGATCAAGCTGCAAGCTTACTAAAGATTCCTTAATAGGATAAAGACCACTTATTTATTTTTCTAGAATAATCTACAGATTTGCATTTGCATTTATAATTGATTAATTCTCATTATCAAGATTGCAGATTTGTTTGATATCATTGTACTATGTTTTATAATTGTGCAAGTTCTTTTTATTTTTTGAAAATGTGAATATAAATGAAACTTTGTACTTCCTAAAGCTGCCAGGAATAAAAGGGAAGACCCTGGAAGCAGAAGACAGAGGAACAAAAAGCCAACTAGCTGCTCTCTGCTGGATACGAAGCGGGTATTAAGGGAGGTGAGGGAGAAACGAAGAGAAAGGAAGGAAAAGAGGGAGAGCACAGAAGAATCACAGAAAGTGCAAAAGACTTTTATAAATGAGAATCTAACGTTTAAATTTAAGTAGTTAAGGGTGTGACATAAGACACTCTTCAACTTCCCCAAAGCCATACCTGTGGTGTATAAGAATATTATATATAAAGGGTTTTTTGTGTGTGTAGGTTTCTCAGATGCGTATGTGAAAGAGAAAGAGGAAGGGTGTGTGTGTGTAAGAGTGAGAATGCATGTGTGAGCATGTGTGTCTGTGTGAACATGTGTGTCTGTGAATGTGTATGAGAATGAAAGTGAATGTGTATCCAAGAAAAAGAAAGAGAGGACAGAGAGGTGAACCTATGTGTGTGTCTGTGTGTGTGCATGTGTGTGAGGGGGACGATCGTGTGTGTGTGTGTGGTGAGGGATGAGCATGTGTGTCCCTGTCTGAGTGAGCTCTGGCTGTCACAACAAAATACTGTAAACTGGGTGGCTCACACAGCAGACACTCATTTTTCCCAGTTCTGGTGCCTGGTGAAGGCCCAATTCCTGGTTCATTGCTGTCTTTTTGCTGTGTCCTCACCTGGTAAGGAGGGGAAGCAAGCTCTCTCAGGACTCATAAGGATGTGAATCCCATTCATGAGGGCTCCACCTTCATGAGCTCATCTATTCCTAATTACCTCTCAAAGACCCCACCTCCTAATACTGTCACATTAGTGGGTGGGGTTTTTAACATATGAATTTGAGGGAGGCACAAGCATTCAGTCCATAATTCGTGTGTGTGTGTGTGTGTGTGTGTGTGTGGCAGAGGGGGTGGGGTGGGGTGGGGCTAATAAGAGCTAAAGTCCTCTGTCTGGACCCAAGGAGCATGAAAGGGACAACATGGATGGGGTGCAGGAAAACATGTGACCCACAACTGTTGCAGCAGAAGCGGGAGATGGAGGGAACCAGAGAAGACCTGGTACCTTGATCGTCTGCTCCAGGGCCCCCATCCCACCCTATCCCTATCCTTCCTGTATTAGTTCGTTCTCATGCCGCTATAAGGATATACCCAAGACTGGTTAATGAAGGAAAAATGTTTAATGGACTCACAGTTCCACATGGCTGGAGAGGCCTCACAATCATGGCGGAAGGCAAAGGAGGAGCAAAGCCATGTCTTACATGGTGGCAGGCAAGAGAGCGTGTGCAGGGGAACTGCCTTTTATAAAACCATCAGATCTCATGAGACTTATTCACTATCACGAGAACAGCGCAGGAACAACCTGCCCCCATGATTCAATTACCTCCCACGGGGTTCTTCCATGACACATGGGGATTGTGGGAGCTACAATTCAAGATGAGATTTGGGTGGGAACACAGCCAAACCGTATCACCTCCAAACCAAAAGAGTCTGAAAACCTCTTGGGGACTGGTCTGTTCTACTTTACACAAGTCACAGAAAAGGCACTGGAGCTCATCTCTGGATCTTCAGTGACTGGGGGACTCCAGTTGGCACCAGAGTTGAACACAAAAAAAATGAATGTATGCACTTAGTTTTCAGCAAAATAAAATGACCATCTGCACCTGCAGAAGCTGCAGAAGCCGTGTTCAAATATGGGAACAGGCCTCCTGACACGTCCATATGGTTGGGGTTTGTCAACCATGAAGTTTATGCGATCCTATCTACTAGATCCCAGAGACTAGCTAAAAGAAATGGGTGTACTCATGACAATTTCTAGCAGTCTGCAGGTTAACACTACAGGCTAGCAAAGTTCTTTGCTTGAAACACCTGGTGTATTAGAGTTCTCCCAAAGAAGCAGAACCAATAGGACATATGTACAGATACCTAGATGTGTGAGTGTATCTATAGGTGTGTGTGTGTGTTGGTGTGTGTGTTTGTGTGTGTGTATATATGTGTAAAATACATATATGAAAGGAGATTTGAGGAATTGGTTCATGTGATTATGGAGGCTGAGAAGACCCACGATCTGCTGTCAAGAAGCTGGGGACCAAGGAAGGCTGTTGGTTTAATTTAGTCCAAGTCTCAGGACTTGAGAGGCAGGGATGCTGATGGTATAAATTTCAGTCCAAGAGCTGGAGAAGATGAGGTGAGATGTACCAGCTCAAGCAGGCAGGAAGTAGAAGAATGAATTCCTCCTCCCTCTGCCTTTTGTTTCATTCAGTCTCTCAGTGGGTTGGGTGATGCCCACCCATCCTGGGGAGGGAATTCTAATTTACTGAGTCCATTGGTTCAAATACGAATCTTACCCTGAAACGCCCGCACAGACACACCCTGAAATCACGTTTCATTTGAGCTTCCTGTGGCTCATCTAGTTGACACACAAAACTAACACACCTGATAAAATAGTGGCACTCTCAAAAAACTAAGGTTGTTTGATGCTCAACTAGGCAAGTAAAGCAATAAAGGACCTGCAGTGAGGATGTGGTGGGAGTTCCTAGACCCTCAGCAATGTGCGTTTTTTTCTGAAGTGCCTTGTGGCTGTCGGGTCGCTGGTTCCCCTTAAGTAGCCCAGTGGAGGTGAGAGGTTCCCCTTAGAGCAGTGTAGTTGAGATTTGAGCTTTGGTATGAAATAGACCTATCTTCTGTCACTTCTTAGCTTTGTAACACTGTAATGCTAATCTTTCCAAGCTTCAAGATCACCTTCTGTAAAATGGAAAGTAAAATACTACCTTGTTAGGGTTGTTGAGGTGACCGAGGAGAAAGCATGTGTGCTTAAGATGATGTCTGGCATATTAAAGGTATTTCTGAAATGTTGGTTATAATTATTAGCATCAGCTGCAAATAAAAGCATGTGGGGTGGTGGATAAACATTTCACAGCACACATCTGTCCCCAGACAAGAAGTACTATTCTGCAGCCAGGACTTAATGCCATTCACTTGTGTTTTGCTTGTTTGTTTGTTTCCTTGATAGGTTTTCACCAAACTAATGGAGAAGGCCAGTGGGGAGTTTCCAGATGTGTCACTCAAAAGACAAAAAGCTCCATTACTGTCCTCACTTTCTTCTTATTAAAATCATGCTCACCTTCTCCAAGCCAATCAGTTCTCTTTATAGTCACTGTCACTCCATCTCAGCTGATGAGGGATGAAAACAGTTTGGGTTTGGTTGGATAAATGGAAACTGTGGGGCAGCAGCTCCCTCCTTTCTGAAGCTGTTTTCCCCTTGCTCATTGGCTCTGATAAGGAGATATAAACATAATGAGATGCCAGGTTGGGAGAGAGTGAAAGACAATGGAACCCACGTTCAAAACAAAGCTAGACGCCCTGTGTCGATAGCAGGGCTCAGGGCCAGTGTCTGGCAACATGACAGTAAAGGCTTAAAAAAAACACAACACAGATTTTAAAAACAGAGCTTCAGCTGTTTTACCACCACACAGTAATTGGCCACAGGGAAACTTGCTACTGGCACCTGGCCGTGGAGGTAATTATCCTTCTTCTCCCAGGAGCATAATAACTGCATTGTTTGACTGGTGAGTCGTGCAGGGGTGCAATCTGAAAGTGAGAGAAGGCCGACTGAGAGCATGAAAAGAAGGAAAGGTGTGGCCTTTGATGTGTTTCCAGGCCTGGGTCGGGGACCTGAACTGTGAGAAATAAGCATGTCAGAGATCTTTGTCTTCTCACCTGTGAAGACACTTTTAACATTGCAAATCCCCGCCTTTATCTGCACAGAACCCATTAAATCAACTCGGCACAGCTGTCATCAGCTGAGGCCCGAAATCAAAGCTCAAACTTGGGTTTGACTTTATTGACACGCCTCACTAGCAAAAGCGAGATCGGATAACTTTAGGCTGAGATAATTCAGGTAGATCCGGGGGTTGTGTGTTGTTTCTTACCATGGCTTATCAGACGTTTTCCAGACAAGCTCTTCTGGCGCAAGTGAAACAATACTGAACATTTTTTTGATGCAGAGGATGCCAAGCAAGTTATGCTCAAAGGCCTGAGTTCCAAGAAGCAGCAGCGTTCATTCACCCATCTGTCCCACACACATTCCCTAGGTGTTGATCCTTGCTGGGACAGGGGAGTGTTGAAGATGACCTAAAAGTGGGCTTGAATGTCAAGGAATGCATTGTCTAGTCTGGCATCTCATATATACAATAATATAGCCATGGTAGAAATAGTGCATGCCATAAAATAAATAGAAGTTAGATGTGAAGGAACTATGAAAGAGACTTGATTTTTTTTTCTTGGAGAAGATCGGACAAGGCACGATAAAGGAGGAACCAGTAGAAATGGACCTTAAAAAACGGGATGGGGTTTGAAATTCTGACGAAGAGGTAAATGTCATTAAAGGTAAAGATATGCAACGTTTTTATCTGTGTTTTTTTCTTATATTATAATTCAGGTTTATTTGTATTGTAATAGTACATTCTAAATTCTGAGTGTGGAATTCAGGAAGGCTTCATATTTAGAGGACAGGAAAACATTTCTTTTTCATGTATCCACTTGGGCCTTAGTGTTTATAGTCATAAAACATAATCAACATTTACGATTATTTTTAAATTTTAAAAGTCTTACTTATTAGGTTCTTAGCCCTTTAGTTACCAAACACTGCATTTGATATTGAGAGATGAACAGAATATGTAAATATAGCAGAAAACTTCACAAGAAATTAATAGGAGTCTAAAAAATCCAGGTGTTATTTTTGATACTCTTCAAAATTAGGTGGAGAAGGAGAAAGTTCCATTTTCTAGGAGTTTATTTTCACTTCCAATTTACTTTTGAGTTATTTGTTATATCCCCTACTCCACGTGTTACACAATATTCTAAATCGATTTTCTCACTGAATAGAGTCTACTTATCAGATAGGTTTAAGTGTATGCTGATTAAGTGTAAAAACTAGAGTGCCCTGCCTGTGTCACAAAAAGTCCATATTATTTTTGTCTTAATTGTTTTGTGTTCACATACAATTAAGTTCAATAGACGTCGGTGTACTGATTAATAGTCTCTTTAAAGTCACTATAATGTAGTTTCAAAATTGGTTCTGTTATTCAAATGCAAACTTTTATGCTCAATCATTGTGTATTAAATATACCACTCTGGTTTCTTCTCTTTCAACTACTTACCCTGAACAGGTGGAGGAAACAAAGCTCAAATGCTACCTTTTTGGTGACCAAGTGGTTACACAAATAAATAATATGAGTAACATCTGGTGAATATGATGGTACAATAAATATGGAAGTCAAATGATCACATTTAACAGATCCTTTATAAAAATTAACTTTTTAATTTGGAATAATTTTATAGGTAAGCAAAAGTTTCAAAGATAGTTCAGAGAGTTCTCCTGTACCTTTCACCCAGATTCCTCCATTGTCAACATCTTGCATTATGATGGTACATTTGTCACAGCTAAGAAAACAACTTTGAGGCATTACTGTCGGCTAAACTGCAGATACTAATTGTATTTCACCCGCTTTCCCATTACATCCTCACTGGGCTCCAAGATCTAATCCAAGGCACCACATTGCATTTAGTTGTCATATCTCTTTGGTCTCCTACAGTTTGTGAGAATTTCTTGGTCTTTCCTTGTTTTTAATGATCTTGAGAGCCTTGAAGAGTCCTGGCCAAGTATCCTGTAGGATGAGCCCCTGCTCTATTTTTTTCTGTTTGCTTTCCTCATAGGGTCATGGGATGTTGGAAAGAATAGGACAGAGAGGTTAAGTGCCCTTCTCCTCACATTGTATTAGGAGAGACATGCTATCCACATGACATCACTTGGTAGAGTGGTAAGCATTGTGGTTACGCATGGCTTAACTGCTCAGTCGAAGGAGTGTTTGTTAGATTTCTGCACTGTAAAAATTTATTAAATTGCTAATATTTTCTTTTACTTTTCCATACTCTATTCTTGGAAAATGAGTCACCAAGTCTATCCCACCCTGAAGGTTGAGGAGGGTGGCAATTGAGGCCGACCTCCTGGAAGGGGAAGTACCTACACATATTACTCAAAATTCTTGTAGAAGAAAGATTTGTTCCTTTTTCTCCATTTGTGTGTATATGTATGTGTGCATGTATGCATGTATGAACTCATGGGTATTTATCTGGTTCCTCAGGTTATAGTTAGTAATTTTGTGGTTTTTTTGGCTGTAACTGTGTTAGAAACAGCCATTGGAACTGCTTTCAGGTTTGTTCTTTATCCCTTTGATATGTCCCTTTTACTTTATTTATTTCAACACTTCCTTACCTTTGGCCACTGCAAAATGCTCCTGACACACCTTGTACTTTCACTGCCTTAGCCCTAAATTCAGCAGTTTTCCCAAGATGCTCTAATTCTTTTAAACATATTTATGGAAGTAAAAGTAGATTCTCCTTTCAGTAAATATGGTACCATCATTTGATAGGCATATTATTTTAAAACTTACCTTTAGTTAAAGGATTTTCCAAGATTTGTAAAGGTTAATTTGCATTTGTTGAGATACTATAACATTTTATCAATACACACATTTATTAGGCCATAATGATTTACATTATAAAACATTTTTTAACTTCTAAAGGGATTTTTTGGCAATATGTTCTTCTGAAGAATTTGTTAAATAATGCATATAAGATATTTGGCTTGCCATATTTTAGTTTCTGTCTGTACAATTTTTTCTTAATACATCTATCTCAAAAAGTGAATGTATCAGCCAGGATACAGGAGGTTAGGCTGCAGTAACACAAATCCCCAATGTCACTGACTTCAGGCATTTATTCTCACTCGGGCTCCATGTCCACCTTGGGTGAGAAAGAGGCACCACTTAGTGCTCCAGGCCGAACGAGCCTCCACTCTGGATTAAGATCTGTCATCTTGACAGGAGGAAAAAAACATGCTTGTGACCAGAAGTGTGACATCTTACTTCTCAAAGCAAGTCACATGGCCATCCCTGACTTCAAGGTTTACCATCCTGCTAGGTGCCCTAATGGAGGAGAGCTAGAAACATGGATGGACAGCTCTAATGATTAACACACTTTGGTATGTGTCTATCATTAGGGAATCTGGCTTGCCCCAAGTTTTCCAACCTTCAGATAACTCTTTCCTTGAATGCACAAGTAAAATTTATGCAGAGTTTCCATACTGCAAGATGGAAAGGAGCCCTGTATCTTTTCCCAGTATTTCTAAAGCCCTCCAAGAAGCTTCTTTAACTCCACAGCCACTACTTGCCTTTAAAATTCCCCTACTACCCATACAACAATCTCTGAGAAGAGTGTAGCTCAGGAAAGGCTTCACTGCCCTTATTAACTTTTCCTGGGTCTAGACACTGGCCAGAACCTAATTCTTCACAGTAAATTTATGACTGAGCTAAAGTGACTAGGAACCCATCATTTTTAATTACCCATGATTTTTCCAATGGACAAGCACTATTAACATGGGACTGTATTTCCTTTTCATATTTCTTCCTTCAGTAATTATTTTAATAAGAGTTTCAGATTTCACTTTCTCCTCTTAGCAATAAAATATTTTGTCATCCCATAATTTTCAAAAATTTCACTAATAATTGTATAATATCCTATCATACAGAGGTTCCACTACTTATTTTCTAAAATGCTCATATCCTATACTATCAATTTCTATCTTTATAAAACAATAAAAGTACTCTGCAATGGACACTTTTGTATATATGTCTTTATATGTTCTCACTCAATCCCATATCATAAATTCCTGGAAGAACTACTGAGTCAAAGAGAATCAGTGTTTTATGCTATTAATTCTTGCTATTAAATTAAATTTATTGAAGAGATTAATTCCAATGTAACTGATCCCTTGAACGACAAATTAATAAGCCCTATTAAGAGAAATAAAAATATAGAAACAGGAATAGATTTTGAATTAACATGATATCATCATATGTTTTAATTGGAGAACAGTAGTACATCTATTTAAGTAAGAAGTAACTGATTATAGGTTAAACAACTTTTGGTTATAATAGGCTCAATGTGAAAATAGCAATCTGTGGTTATAGACTCCGTAATCTCATCACCTGTTCACTGGCTTGCTAGTTTTAACACCTACCTTTTCTCATACCCACAAAAATCTTATTCGTATGATTTTATTTGTAGAGGAAACTATACTTTTATGAAACCCAAAACTGGGAAACATACAACAAAGTGACATAAAAACAACATAAATTAGTAATGTAGAATCATATAAAAAGTTTTGGATTTGGAAAAATAATGTTTAGGATAACGGAACTGCACTTCTCAGTTTTCTAGAAAATATATATTCTTATTAATGCATTAAAAAAATCAGAGTTCATGTAGAAGAGTTAAATTTTATTCTTTCTGTGGAGGAGGGGAATTCTACTCTACAATTGTCATCATGGAAGACATCTCTAAAAAATTAAAAGGCTTTCACTCTCTGCTGATGAGACTTGGAAGCAATTTCAAATTCCCTATGAATGGTTATGATTTGCAGGACAACATTAAAAACAGAAATTGGAGTGACTTGTGAGGTCATTCCACACACAGGGTAGTATCATAGGTTTCTGTGGCTTAGTTACAATGACCTATAACTTGTGTAAAAATCACCTACAGATATACAAACACATATATATACACACAGAGTTGTTAAAACTAGACAACGTAATTTAACCACAAAATCCACAGTTGCTTAAAACCAAGACAGCTCCAATTATTTAGCCACAGAAATGCAGAATCATTTAACCGCCGTATACAACGCATATTGCCAGAAATACTAATTTCATATTCATATCTGGAATAGTTTGTATCATTAAAAATATTTTTCGTATCTCCAACCTAGCTCTCTGGAAGATTACATGCTACCTTGACCCCAAAACTGACGAACAACAACATAGTTTGCTGTAGTTGTATATGTCTAGCCAGCTTGGTTGGTCCCTATCCCTGTTCTTCTGTAATGTGACAGTTTTCAAATTTCTTGCAGAAATTTTGATAATTCAATAATTTTATTAAAATATGATAATTTCATTGTGAAATACCAAATAAGTTTGTTTTGCCATGAGCATTTAATCTTGCCTAAAGGGAAATAATGGGGGAAAACACTAAGTAAGGTCAGTAGTGCCAGTGTTGTGTTATCTCAGATTGTGGTTGTATCATTGTTTTGGGGTTTATAAAACAACTGCATATAGAATTGGAATGGCTTTCAGGCTGGTCACATTTGATTGAATAATAACTAAATGATGTCCTATATCTGGTGTCCAATATTGTGCTTGGCCTACAGTATGCTTTTTAGGGTTATTATTATATTTTAGTCATTCCTTTTTTATTTTATTTTTATTTTTAGTTGACGCTTAATTGTGCATATTTGTGGGCTACACTGTGATGTTTTGATATACGTATACCTTGTGTAATGATCAAATCAGGATAATTAGCGTGTCCATCACCTCAAACATTTACCATTTCTCTGTGGTAGGAACATACAAAATTCTCTCTTCTAGCTATTTTGAGATGTGTAATACCTTATTGTTGACTATGGTCACCCTACTGTGCAACAGAACATCAGCACTTATTCTTCCTTCCTAATTGTGACTTTTTATCCACTGACCTATCTCTCTCCTTTCTCTTCTTCTTCCCACCCTCTTCAGCTGCCAGGAACCACTGTTCTATTCACTACTTCTATGAGATCAACTTTTTAACATTCTGCTATAAATGGGAACATGTAATATTTGTCCTTCTGTCACTGGCTTATTTCACTTAATTTCATTCAGATTCATCCATGTTGTTGTGAATGACAGGATTTTATTCTTTTTTATGGCTGAATAGTATTCCGTTGTATATATACATCACATTTTCTTTTTCCATTTGTCTGTTATTGAACACTGAAGTTAATTCCATATCTTGGCTATTATGAATAGTGCCGCAACAAACATGGGAGTGAAGATATCTCTTTGACATACAGATTTTATTTTCTTCAGATATATACCCACTAACAGGATTACTGGATCAAACTAAAGAGCTTCTGCACAGCAAAGAAAACAATCAACAAAGTATAGAAACAACCTACAAAATGGGAGAAAATATTTGCAAACTATACATATGACAAGGGGTGAATATCCAGAATATATAAGAAACTCAAACAACTCAATAGCAAAAAAAAAAAAAAAATCTTATTTAAAAATGGGCAAAATACCTTAATAGGCATTTCTCCAAATAAAACACACAAATGACCAACAGGTATAGGAAAAACTACTCAATATCACTAATCATCAGAAAAATGCAGATCAAAACTACAATGAGATATCACCTCACATCTGTTAGGATGGCTATTATCAAAAAGACAAAAAAAAAAAAAAACAAGTGTTGTAGAGGATGTGGAGAAAAGGGAACCCTTGTGCACTGTTGGTGAGAATGTAAATTAGTACAGCTATTATGAAAAACAGCATACAGGTTTCTTAATAAAGATAGAACTATCTTATGAGCAAGTATGCTCTTAATAGATGCTAACTAAATGAATGACAAAAATGAATGATGTATTAGCTATCTATTGTGGTGAAGCAGTATCACCACAAACATAGTAGCTGAAAACAACACACATTTATCATCTACAGTTTTTGTAGGTCAGAAGTCTGGACACAGTTTAGTTGGGTTCACAGTCTCAAGGACTCACAAGGCTGCAATGAAGGTGCTGGCTAGAGCTGTGGTCTCATCTGAGGCTTGATTGGGGAAGGATACATTTCCAAGCTCGTGTAGTTGTTGGCAGAATTTAGTTCCTTGTGGTTTTAGGACTAAAGGGCTTATTTTGTTGGGGGTGTCAGCTGGAGGCCCTTGCAGGCTGGAGACTGCCCTTACTCCCTAGATGCTGTTCCTAATTCCTTGCTGTGTGGGGTTCCCCAACATAGCTACTCACGTCCTCAAAGCCAGCAAGGGAGAGAGAGACTCCAGGAAGATGGATGATACAGTTTTGTTTTGTTTTGTTTGTTTGTTTGTTTGTTTTTGAGACAGAGTCTCATTCTGCTGCCCAGGCTGGAGTGCAGTGGTGCAGTCTCGTCTCACTACAACCTCTGCCTCCCAGGTTCAAGTGATTCTCCTGCCTCAGCCTCCCGGGTAGCTGGGACTACAGGTGTGTGTCACTGCACCCAGCTAATTTTTGTATTTTTAATACAGACGGGGTTTCACCATGTTGGCCAGGATGGTCTCGATCTCTTGACCTTGTGATCCACACATCTCAGCCCCCCAAAGTGCTTGGATTACAGGTGTGAGCCACCGCACCCAGCCAGATGATGCAGTTGTATGTAATATAATCACCTAATCCCATACACCCTGTCTTTTTGCCATATTCTATTATTTAGCAGCAATTCACAGGTGCTGCTCACACTGAAGAGGAGATCACAGTAGGGTGTGAATACTAGGAGGTGGGGGTCAGGAGGGCCACTTTTAGTCTGTCCATTACAGATGGATATTTAAATATAACATGTTGAGTTTTAACATAAATGACTCTACCCCTTTCCTAAAAGAAATTGGAATGTATGTACCTCAGATGATGCATTCTTGTTTACTGCATAAAGTGGCTAACAGTTTCCTTTTATTAAGACTTTTGTGTTTTGTAATCTACAGATCCCAAACAACATTGGACATGTAGAAATTAGAGACTGATGTTCCCGAACTGCGGTTGGCTTTTTAAGGAATATCTGATTGTCTAACCTGGTGAAGGCCAATTATGGACTATGATATCAGTAGGAGAAGTAGTTGAAGTTTTGGTAATAATGGAAATACATGATAGTAGTTTGTTTGCTGAGTATAATTTTATGTCAGGCATTGTGCCAAGTACATACATGTGCCAGTCAGGATGAATGTTAAAATTCCAGCCACAGTTGAATCCTATGAGATGCTGCACAGAGGCGAGCATGGGTTGGGCATGCCAGTCTACTCCTCAGACACACTTGATAGGCCTGGGGGGGCCCCAAGCCCAAGGGGGCCAGTGTTGAGTCTGCTCACAACAGTGTGGGGCTGGCTGAAAAGGCTGGGCTGATTCCTCAGGTTCTGTCTGGAATTTGCAGTAGCACCAAGAGAATACGGCATTTAACAACGAAAACTGATGCTTAAAATGTACCATGAAAGGATATGACAAGCTGGAGAGGCACGAACTGAAATGAACGATCACAGATGGAATGAGCACTTTGGGAGGCCGAGGTGGTGGATCAGCTGAGGTCAGGAGTACAACACCAGACTGACCAACATGGTGAAACCCTGTCTCTACTAAAAATACAAAATTAGCCAGGCGTGGTGGTGCATGCCTGTAATCCCAGCTACTTGGGAGGCTAACACAGGAGAATCACTCGAACCCAGGAGGTGGAGGTTGCAGTGAGTCGAGATCATGCCACTGAACTCCACCCTGGGCAACAAGAGTGAAACTCCATCTCAAAAAAGAAAAGAAAGAAATGGAATGAACAGAATGATATACCTATTATTTCAACAAATATTAACTGAGTGCTTAAAATGTGCTAGACACTGCACTGGGTGTTAGGGTATAAAGGTAGACAAGGTAAACAGGTTCTAGCCTTCACAGAGATGAATTCCACTAGGGAAGACACAAATCAAAATTAAAACTAAGACTAATGCTATAATCTGTTAAAACATATGTCTGCCCTCAGACCCAGAATTCCCTGTCTGGTATATACCCAACAACAGAGGTGCATTCTATTTTTTTTTTTTTTTTTTTTTTTTTTTTTTTGAGACAGAGTCTTCGCTCTGTCACCCAGGCTGGAGTGCAGTGGCGCAATCTCGGCTCACGGCAAGCTCCTCCTCCTGGGTTCCCGAGCCATTCTCCTGCCTCAGCCTCCCGAGTAGCTGGGACTACAGCCGCCTGCCACCACGCCCGGCTAATTTTTTTATATTTTTAGTAGAGACAGGTGTTTCACCGTGTTAGCTAGGATGGTCTCGATCTCCTGACCTCGTGATCTGCCTGCCTCGGCCTCCCAAAGTGCTGGGATTACAGGCATGAGCCAGAGGTGCATTCTTACGTCCACCAAATGGCTCGTGCAGGATGTCTTTAGCAGTTTCATTTATAATAGCTAAAAATTGAAAACAGTTTAAGTATCAGCAAAAGGATGAATAAATAAGTTATAATCATAGAGCTGAATGTTATACAGTCATAAAAAAGGACAAATTACACATAACTACATGATGAATCTCAAAGCATTCTGCTCAGTAAAAGAAGACACACACAACAGAGTATTTGCTATGTGATTACATTTCTATAAAGTTCAAGAACAAGCACAACTAATCAATGGTGAGAGAAGTCAGAATAGTGCTTATCTCTGGAAATAGGGAAGAAGGCACTCTGAGGACCAACTTGGAAAGGATGTAGGGCAATCTTCTGGGTTTGTAGTCATGTTCCACTTCTTGATCTGGGTGGTGGTTACACGGGTTTAGATATGTCACAATTCATCAAGCTCCACATTAAAATTAAGTCACCTTATTGTATTATGTTATACTGCAATAAAAATAAAATAGACAAAAATACTCATACATTGTGTTTTCTGAAGGATACGATAGTAAGGCTGAATTGGGGACACTGTGGAGCAATGGCCTGCTTTAGGTAGACTGGTCTATGCGGTTCTTTGTGGGGGCGCCGTTTCTGCTGAGACCTAAGGGATTCAAAGGAGTTTGCCTTGGGAAGATCACAGGGAGAGCAGCCCAGTCCAAGGGCACTGCAGGGCAAAGACCCTGAGGTGGGAATGAGCTCTGAGATGAGAAACGTGGCTCCAAATTAATGAGCTAGATGCGGCCTGGCACGGAGCCAGAGAAGTTGGCCGGGATAGGGTCATTCAGGGCCTTGGAAGCTGTAGTAAGAAGTTTAGGGTTTACTCCAAGTGCCTTGAGAAACCACGGGGAGGGCTTTGAGCAGGAAAGTGAAACGAGCTCACTTACAGCTGGAGAAGCAGCCACTCTGTCTGCAGGGTGGAGCATGGATAGCAGACTCTAAGGGTTCAGAGAGAGGAGGGGGCAGGGACAGGGTCCCAGGCAGGGCAGGGGAAGTGACAGATTTGAACTGGAGTCTTCACATGGCATCAACAGCACCTGTTGGTGAATCCAGCAGGTGGTGATGGTCTGGCTGGATTGGCGAGGGCGCCCATTGCCCAATTTTCTAAAATGTGGAAAATCAAGAAGGGATAGAGATGGGGGTTGGGGAAGAAGCAATAAGGCTGCTTTGGACATTTTGACTTTGAGACATCTGTGTTCCAAGTGGAGGAGGAATTGCATGCATTAGCCAGGAGCTTGGCAGAGAAGCATCACCATTAAGATGGCATGTGCATCCGTCGGAATGGAAGTGCTCACCTACAGACGTGCATGGACAGAGGGAGAGAGGAAATGAGGCTAAAGCAGAGGAGGACAAGTGTGGTCATTCCATCGTGGCAGCATGAATCTGTGTCATCTGAAGGGGAACTGGGACAAACCTCCCTGTGCTCCTTCTGGGAGTGTCCTGGGACCTTCCTGGGACCTCCTTATCACTCTGGATGTAGCTCACCACTACCCATCCCTCTAACAATGCTAGTGTGAATGAGTTCCTCATTCCTAAAATAAAAGAGGACAACTTTAAAAAATGGCCACATTGGACGTTTACTCAAGTTTCTGAGGTATTAACATGCCCATTTAAGAAATGTATTTTGTGTCAGTTATTTGATGGCATGGCTACAACTTGCCATCAGGTTAATTCCCAAGGGAGTGCACCGAACCAGAGAAATGAAGGCAGAATTTGCTGACAGTTTTATCACAAGTAAAATAAAAAAGACTATCTCCCACAAATGGGAATACAAAAATACCCCTGCATTGTCATAGCTGGTGAAACAACACCAGCTCCTCAGAGAGGACAGGCAGAGTTTGCTCCAGTCTTTCCGGGGTTAAAATAACTGAAGAGTCTTTGAGCTTGGGAGGAAGCAAAGGCAAGGCCTGGTAACAAATTCCTGACAGGAAGCAGGTCTGTGGGTGCAGGCCAATTGTCCAGTTCAAGGACAAAATGGGAAAAGCAGCAGAGGCCCCAGAAAAGCCTTCACCGAGTGTCCCATGAGCCACCCTGATAAGGCGTCTCTCCCATTCCTTCCTGGGACAAAGTGATGACTCACTTCGGAACCTGCCCCATACCCTTTATAGATCAGTGTATGTAAATCTGTATGGAGAATAATACATGTTTCCTCTTGTGGTATATCCAGTAATAATTATCTAATTCTTCTATGATCATCATACATTTCTGACGTAAAGAACTCTAAGGGTTGTTTTATTAAGACACCAGAATTGGAAGCAACATTGTCAACATGTGAGATCTGAAGTAGAAAAAAATCAGTAAGATATTTCCTAAAACATGTTCTTTTCTTTTCTTTCTTTTTCTTTCTTTCTTTCTCTTTCTTTCTTTTTTTTTTTTAATATAGGCTGCTCTGTCACTCAGGCTGGAGTGCAGTGGTGCAATCCCGGCTCCCTGCAACCTCCTCCTCCGAGGTTCAAGTGATTCTCGTGCCTCAGCCTCCCGAGTAGCTGAGATTACAGGTTCATGCCAGCATGCCCGGCTAATTTTTGTATTTTTTAGTAGAGACAGGGTTTCTCCATGTTGGCTAGGCTGGTCTCAAATTCCTGGCCTCAAATGATCTGCCCACCTCGGCCTCCCAAAGTGCTGAGATTACAGGCGTGAGCCACGCCACCCGGCCAACATGTTCTTTTTTTAATGAGGCTCAATGCTATTGAGTGCACTAAATTTTACACACACACACACACACACACACACACACACACACACACACGTACACATTATGTGATATTCGTTTTAGTAACTATGATAAATGGTTGGTTCTGTTTTGTGAAATCTACCATCCATTTTGATTAAACCTTACACTTAAGTGCAGCAAGACTTGTAGCTGGCTTTCCTTGATTATGTCTGCAATATCCAATTCACATGAATCTTTTTCTGCATACTTACTTTGAATTCTAAGAAAATCAAAACAAGAAAGTAGGTACATCAAAACTTCCTCTTTTTCCAGAACACGTCACC
The DNA here is from genome assembly GCF_000001405.40 of Homo sapiens. Classification (NCBI taxonomy): domain Eukaryota; kingdom Metazoa; phylum Chordata; class Mammalia; order Primates; family Hominidae; genus Homo; species Homo sapiens. Next base: position 35,282,193 of record NC_000021.9, on the reverse strand, counting down.
TCTTTTCCATGTCATTGTTATTCCTCTTCTCGTTTTCTCTAGGACGTGATCATCTTCCCACAGCACCCACCCCTTCCTGTCTAAAGCCCTGGGTGTCAGTTTCCTAGGTCTGCCATAACAGAATACCACAATCTGAGTGGCTTAAAATAACAAAAATGTATTTATTCTCTTGCAGTTCTAGAGACCAGAATTTCTAGATCAAGGTGTCAGCAGGGTCATGCCCCCTCTGAAATTCTGGATAGAATCCTTCCTTTCCTCTTCCAGCTCCTGGCAGGGGTTGTCAATCTCTGGCATTCCTTGACTTGCAGCTGCCTCACCCCACTCTCAGCCTCTACCGTCACGTGGCATTTTTGCATTTTCCTCTTCTTATAAGGACATCAGTCATATTTTGATTAAACTTCAAACACCTCATCTTAACTAGATTACATTTGTGAAGACCCTATTTCCAAATATAATCACATTTTAAGGTACTGGGGGGTTTGTACTTCCACCTATCTTTTTTGTGAACATACAATTCAACCTTTAACGCACTGTGTCGCTTACATTTGGTTGTAGTATAGTTTAAATCTCAAAAGAAACAAGGCTTAAATTTTTTTCATAATCCACATATTAAAAGTTCTATCGCTAAAATTTATCCAAGGGCAGTTAATCACAAAAATTATCTTTTCAAAATAAAGTAATATGTCAGTGCTTTGAGGAAACTTCAGCAGGCACCTGCATGTTTGTATGTGTATACACACATAGAGACACACACACTTTCTCTCTTTCATGTACTACCTTTTTAGGAACTTAAGAATAAATAGGCCGGGCATGATGGCTCACGCCTGTAATCCCAGCACTTTGGGAGGCCGAGGCGGGTGGATCACCTGAGGTCAGGAGTTCAAGACCAGCCTGTTCAACATAGTGAAACCCCATCTCTACTAAAAATAAAAATTAGCTGGGCATGGTGACACACACCTGTAATCCCAGCTACTCGGGAGGCTGAGGCAGGAGAATCTCTTGAACCTGGGGGACGGAGGTTGCAGTGAGCCGAGGTCGCACCATTGCACTCCAGCCTGGGCGACAGAACAAGACTCCATCTCAAAAAACAAACAAACAATAAAAAGAGTGTAGGCTCCAGAGACCAGAGGGGCTTGAAGTTGGCTCTGTTACTGACTCAGGGTGTGTCCTGGGTTCTGCTACTCAGCCTTCCTCAAAAGTTGGTCATGAAACTGGAATGAGATGATGCATGGAAATTGCTTAGCCTAGGGATAGACGCCGAGTCGATGTTCAATAAATACCACCCAGTATTAAGCAGCATGTAAGTAATATACTAATTGACTACTGGTTGTAATTTTTTTACTGCTATCCTTTTTTAAAAAAAAAAAATGTTTTAAATTTTGAATAGTAATAAGGTTGGGGAGCTTATATAAAGGAGTTCCTGAAAATTAGAAAATTCTGTTTTGTTTTGCTTTGCTTTATAAGTTCTCAAAAATTGTAGAGCTTGATTTGGGTGAGATGTTACAGTATATGACCCTTCTTAGTAAGAGTTTATGAAAAGCATCTAGCTTTGATATTAATCTTATTATCAAAAGTCAGTCTTTGCTTAAAAAATGGATTTGAAAGCAGACAGACTTGAATTTACATGTGACATTGGGCAGTCTCTCAATGTTTCTGAGCCTCAGTTTCCTCATCTTGAAACTAGGATTGTTAGGAGCTGAGAAGATGGGAACCTAGATGCTATGACTCAGATCCTAAAAAAAAAAAATTAGAATGTTCCTTATTTTCCATAACTGATCTCATTTTGGAGCTTCTGTGTTCCCCTATAAAAGGGGAAGAAAAGTCAAACTGGTCAGTATGAGTATCTTAGTTTTAACTGGTTTAAAACACTCTTTCAGATTAACTCAGTCACTTTTGCATAAATGGGTAGTCTTTTGAGGATTTGAGTTAAGTCAATTTGGGATTTCTTTCCAGGGGCATCAAAACAAATATAAACAGAATTTATACATCATCCTGGTTTGAAGGTGGAAGTTGTAGGTGCTAGAACCACATTGGGTCTAGGGGCTGTCTCCTGGGTTCATTCTGGCCTGTGAAATAAGCCAGACACAAAAAGCCACTTATTGTATGATTCCATTTATATGAAATGCCCAGGATAGTTGACTCTATGGAAAGGAACTGTATTAATGGTTGCGAGTTGGGTGAGGAGGAAATGAAGTGTGATTGATAATGGATACAGGGTTTCTTTTTGGGGTGATGGAAGTGTCCTGGAATTAGGTAGTGGTAGCAATGGAAAAGTTTATGAATATAATAAAAGCTGCTGAATTGCATACTTTAAAGGGTGAATTTTGGGGGTATGTGAGTTACACTTAAATTGTTGTTGTTGTTGTTGTTGTTGTTGTTGTTGTTTTAGACAGAGCCTCGCTCTGTCACCCAGGCTGGAGTGCAGTGGCACAATCTTGGCTCATTGCAACCACCACCTCCCGGGTTCAAGTGATTCTCCTGCCTCAGCCTCCTGAGTAGCTGGGACTACAGGTGCCTGCCACCATGCCTGGCTAATTTTTTGTATTTTTAGTAGAGATGGGGTTTCACCATGTTAGCCAGGATGGTCTTGATCTCCTGACCTCGTGATCTGCCTGCCTTAGCCTCTCAAAGTGCTGGGATTACAGGCTTGAGCCACCATGCCTGGACTTGTACTTAATTTTTAAAAATCACTCATGGTCAGAATTAAAATTATTGTATTTCACTGTGTTCTTAGTTCTTTTGTGCATACTTTATCACAACTGGAATTTACTTTCTAGGAGAAAAAAAATCAGTTGCACGTATTTGTGTAGGTTTATTTCTAGGCTCTCTGTTCTGTTCCACTGTCTATTCCTCACTGTCTTGATATTACAGCTATATAGAATTAATAACTATTAATAGCAAGTACTAATTATTTGCACTTTATTCATTTTTTGGTCAAGATTGTTTTTGCTATTCTAGGGCTAGTGCCTTTCCATATAAAGTTTGAAATAAGCTTATCTGTGCCTACAGAAATCTTGCTGGGATTTTGATAGAAGTTTTATCTAATCTATAGGCCAAGCTGGAAAGAACTGATGTATTTACTATGTTGACTCTTCCAATCCATGAGCATGGTATGCCTCTCTATTAATTTAAGCATTGTTTGATTTCCTTTATCAGCATCTTGTAATTTTTAGCATATAGATCTTATACATGTTTTGTTAAGTTTATTTAACCAAAATATTTAAATTTCTCTGGCATGATTATAAATAGTACTGTTTTTAAGTTCAGTTTTCACATGTCCATTCTTAGTAGATATAAATACAAGTGATTTTTGTCTATTAATTAGGTATCTGGCAACTTTGTTTAATTCACTTCTAGGAAATTTTTGTTGTTATTTGATAGATTCATTGGGCTTTTCTATTCAGACATTTATGTTATCGGCAAATAGGGACAGTTTTTATTTCTTCCTTTCCAATTTGCATACATTTTATTAATTTTCCTTGCCTTATTGCAGTGCCTAGAACTTTTAGTATTATGTTGAATCAGAGTGGTGAGAGTAGATGTCCTTTCCTTGTTTCCAATCTTAGAAGAAAATAATTCAGTCTTTCACTATTAAGTATGGTGTCATGTACCGGTCATTTTCAGTCTGCATCTTGGGAAGCACCATGTGGGACCCATGCCATACTGAATATCAGGCTATTCTCAGGAGGTGAATGTTCCTCTGGGCTATACCCTGGGAAGTGAGAAACAAACCTTCCTTGGGGAACTTTTCTCAAATCTTTTCTTATTTTTTTTACACAAAAGATAAGTCAACCCAGCCTGGAGTGCAGTGGCATGATAATAGCTCACAGCAGTCTCAAACTCCTGGGCTCAAGCAACCGTCTCACCTTAGCCTCCCAAGTAGCTGGAACTACAAGTGTATGCCATGACACCATGCTAATTTTTATTTTTATTTGTCGTAGAAATGGGTGTCTCACTATGTTACCCAGCTGATCTCAAACTCCTGGGCTCAAGCAATCCTCCCACTTCAGCCTCCCAAAGTGCTGGGATTACTGGCATGATCCACTGCACCCAGCCATGCCCTCAAATCTTTCTGGTTGTTTCAAACTCCATGCCTCTGCCCATGTCTCCACCCTGCCAGTTATATCCTCTCCACTTTTCATTCCATGCTTAAGGGACCAGAAGCTTCCCTTCTTCCTGAAACCTTTAAGAAATGGGGCTTCCTTTATATCACATCCTCTATGATTAGTCTAGTGCAGGAGTCTTTAAAGTGTGACATGTCAACTGCTGGGCATCCCCGAGACCCTAGCAGGGGTGTCTATGAGGCACAAAATGATTTTGATAAATACAAAGACATTATTTGCTTTTAAAAAATGTGTCGACATTCTTCATTGATGTTGTAAAAATATTGGTGTGTAAAATTATGAGCACCATAGCAACAATCAAGACAGTGGTATGAGGCCAGGCTCAGTGACTCACGCCTGTAATCCCAGTACTTTGGGAGGCCGAGGCGGGCAGATCACTTGGGTCAGGAATTCAAGACCAGCCTGGCCAACATGGCGAAACCCCGTCTCTACTAAAAATACAAAAATTAGCCGGGCGTGATGGTGCATGTCTGTAGTCCCAGCTACTCAGGAGTCTGAGGCATGAGAATCACTTGAATCCGGGAGGCGGATGTTGCAGTGAGCTGAGGTTGCACCACTACACTTCAACCTAGGTGACAGAGGGAGACTCTGTCTCAAAAAAAAAAAAAAAAAAAAGACAGTGCTGTTAAACACAACTAGTAGTCACTGCATTTTTTCCGCCATCCATGTACAGTTAAAAAAAATCAGTTTCATTAAATTATGTCCTCCATGAAGCAATAAAAAAATTAATGCTATTAAATCTCATCCCTTGAGTACACATCTTTTTAATATTTTATATAACCAGACAGGAAGTATGCATAAACCACCTCTGCTACATACTGGACCACAGTGGTTGTCTGAAGAAGCAGAAGCAAGTTGTGAGTATTCTGAACTAGCCTCTTTTTCATAAAACACCACTCTTATTTGAAAAATAACTGACGTACAAACTATAGTTATTCAAACGTAGGTGTTATGGAGATATTTTCTTGAAAATGATTAAAGCAAGCCTGTCACTTCAAGAAAAACAGCTGAGAACATTTGTTGCTAATGATAAAATTTGAATTTTCAACAAAAATAAGAATTTTAGAAATTTGTTTCCACCCCTGTGAACTTACTTCCAAGTGCTTACAGACATTTCTGATGACATGGATAGTGATATTAACAAATGTGATTTTTTAAAATATTGAGTAATGAAATGTGTCAACATTTGAAAGATCTACATAACTTAGTGAACTGATAGTTTCCAAGTGGCCAATACATAATGTTACAAAAACATACATGAGTAAAAGATCTATTCAAAGCATGAGATGGATAAATTAAGTTTAATATATCAAAGTATGAAAATTCATTGCTATAGTTTGAAATTCCATATGGCAACTAAACATTAAGAAGTAGGATTTTTTTCAAAGAATAATTCCACAATAATCTGAAATGGCGATTAATATACCTTGCATTTTTGAACTATTAATAAATATGTGTGTGAAGCTGGATTTTCTTCATGTACTTCAACCAAAACAGCAGATTGAAACAGACTGAATGCAGATGCAGATATAAAAATTTAACTTTCTATCAAACTAGACATTGAAGAGATTTCCAAAAAATATTTTTTTTAAAAAGTCACTCCTTACATATTGTTTTGGACAATGTAATTATTTCCCAGAAATGTATCCCTTAAGTTAACATGTAATGGATTTAACATTGATCTTATAAGAATGAATTAATAAATATTTTTACATGTCTCAATTTTAATTTATAAATATAGTAACTACTGATAAATATATAACCCCTGTAAACCAACAAAAGTTATCTGGGGCCTTAATAATTCTTAATATTGCAAAGGTGTCCTGAAATAAAAAAAAGTTTGACAACTTACTCGTCACTCCCACAAGTTTTCTCATTTATGATTAAAGGGAAGCTTTGAGTATTTATCAAATTCTTTTCTCTCTCCACAAGCTTAGCTTTCAAGACTGTTGTCTCGTCTGAGCTTAACAAATCTAGTCTGCTCCTCAAAGCTGAACAAAGTTGTCTTTGTTTTAGGCAGTATCTGCCTTCCCCTGAAGCAATAAATGCCTCTGATTCAATCTGTGGGGAGCCACAGGGCAAAATGATTTGCAAGGAATAAAAAAACTACATTGGTTTACCATATGAAAAATATTATCGTCATTACATGGTATTAAATGGGATTTGTATCTTTAGTAACTGGCAGAGTACCTTGCAGAGAATAGCTACTCAATTCTTGTGGTTCCATTCCCCAAATAAGATACCGATCTAAATCTAACCAAGTAAAATAGTATTGAGGTTTTTTTTCCCAGTGCACAAACTATTCTATGCATTAAAAGTGGTCATTTTTAAAAACAACCAATCAAGAAGTATTTGAAATGTACAAGGCACTTAGCTAGCAAGGTGCTAGCTGGGAACGCAAATCCAATTAGAAACAAATACTGTTTTATATGCTCGAGAGCAATAGGTCTCAACCTTGGTTATACATTGGAAACATCTAGGGAGTTTTTTAAAAGTACCAACACCTGGGCTTCAGTCCAATAGATTTTGATTTAAATGGTTTAGGGTGTGTTCTGAACATCAGTATTCTTTAAAATTCCTCAGTGGATCTTAATGGACAACCAAGGTAGAGAACAGTGGATTAAAACTGTAGAGTTTCAAATAAACTCCATTATATTCATTCATTCGCTTGTTCATTTATTTTATAGGTATTTATTGAGCACCTACTATGTTCCAGGAACTCTCATGCTGGGGATATGGCAGTAAACCAAACAAGGCATCTGCTCTCATGAGGCTAACGTTCTAGCAGAGACAGACAGAAACCACAGACATAAGCACATAAATACATGTTATGTCATTGGTGATAAGAACTCTGAAGAGGAAGAAAGCATGTTCGGGGATAGGTGGGTTAAGGTGCTTTTCAAGGGGCCATTCAGAGAGTCTCCTGTCAAAGTGGGCTGAAAACACAGAGAGTGGTGCTGAAAGGAAATCGAGCAGCTACTCGGGGAGGTTCATGCCAGGCCAAGCAAAAGTAAGTCAGAACTCGGCCCTTCTGATGTTCCAGATGCAAGAGGAGGCAATCGCTAGAGTGGTGGTTGAGAGGGAGAGCAGAAGGAGGTGGGCTGAGAGGCACCCTGTCAGGACTTTGCACTTTATCCCGAGCTAGACCATAGGGTGCTAGAGAGTTCTGAGCAGAGCAGTGATATTCTGACACTGGCTTTGAAACATCACATGAAAGAGATTGCAGAGAGCACCACTCAAGGGTAGAAGCAGGAAGATGAGTTAGGAGGGTATTTCAACAATCCAATTGAGAAGGGATAGGGTGAGGGCCAGGGGGTAAATTGAAGGTGGCGAGAAGTGGTTTCAGCCAAGATAGGCTATGGTGGAAGAGCCAGCAGAATTCACTGATGATTTGGATTTGAGAGTAGAAGATAGTGGAGAGCCAAAGCAACTCCAAGGTTTTCTGCCTGAGCAACACGTCTGCTCCTTGCAGCAATGCAGTCAGGTAGTCGGAAAAGGCATTTTCTCCAATTTATGAATGAGACACTGAGGCCAAGAGAAGGGTAAGTGGCAAATGCAGGACCATACAGCTGATAAATCGCTAGAACTATTTACTGCCTGCCAACTCTTCAGATTCCAGGTCTAGGGATTCTTTCCTTTGTCAAAGTTTGAAACCACAATAACATAGGAGCAAACTCCACTTCCTTGAAGTTTGTTTTCTAGCTGTGAACTTAGGAGCTAGAGATAAACACCAAGTCTTAAATTAGTGCTAAACTCTGTGTACTAGTGCCACATGGGTGGGAGAGGCTATAGGCGTTTTCAAGATCCTATGGCCTTGGCAGAGTGAGCAAGAGCAGAGTGAACAAGGCAGGCTGGAGGAGCTGGGTAGGAAGAGGACAGAGAAAGGAAGGGAGAGGCCATTGCTTGCAGGGTAAAGGAAAGAGGCTGATATATGTACATATCGTGTGTTCAGACATCAAAGTATAAAGCTCTGTATTTGGTTGGACAAGAAGATGCAAGTGCATTGAGGAGGAGGGGGGACCAGGTGGGCGGAGGTGGGGGAATCAGGGAGTTGAAATGAATTTGATAATTTAGGGCCAGATTATAGTAGACATTAAATGCCTATCTAATAGCGAGTGAGCCCATGGACTCCTAATAGAGATAATAAAGATTAGAGAAATATTGATGTGATTTCAAGGTGATAGTTAAGCTTATTAGGAAAGCAGTAATAAAACCTCCATTAAAACAGGTCAAGAATATAGTTCTAATTTAATAACAAGTTGGATTAATCGGCTAGTCTTTAGAAGAAGTTTCATAATCACAGAAACCTTTGAACTTGATGGGGGAGTTAACAGTAATTATTGTCAATAAGAACAGAGATCCCTTTGAAATAATAAGGCATTAAAATAAGGTGTAAAAGCAGTTGAGTGGCTTCCATTTGTACAAAACAGCAAAACAGCTTCAGGCCAAATGTATGCCTGGCCTGGGAGAGGCTGGAAGCTGAGCTCTATTTGCCCACCGGCTGGCTCTAGAGTGAGCAGTTGCATTTGTTTTGTGGGTGTGGCTAAGACAGGACAACTGGGAAGGCGTTTGAATGGCAAAACTCTTTCAATAAGGCCTAACTGGTTTGGGGAGTTCGGAGGGTGTGTACTTAAGGTAAGTTGGGGGTATTTAGTTAGGCCTACAATCCCTCATAATACTAGGTGGGGTATTGTGCAAAGAGAGGGCAGGAAAAATGTTCTAGATATGTTAGTGTGGTTTTTTGTTTTTCTCAAGAGGGAAAAATGTTCTTAAATCAAACTGTGGTCTACTTGAGAAACCCATGGCCATATGGAGTATATTTTAAAAAGGAGCAATTTTTGAACCAATACTCTTTGGCCTTTAAAATATATGAATCTACTTGATATCACTTCTGTTGCTTTAGTGGAACAGTCAACGTGAATTTAGAGTTGCAAGTGTCTTCTGCAGTTTAGAAGTGCTCAGAGACAAAGAAGGTGAAGTTCAATAGGGTAAAGAGTAGGTGTCAAATGAAAAAGAGCTGGTCCAACAATTTCAACACTTGCTTTTTCCAATACACTTGTGCAATATTATTGCATGTTAAATATGAATACATCAATTATCCAAAGAGAGTCTTGAAATTTTGAAACAACGTCATCATTAACAACAAAAATACAACACTCCTTAAATGCTATAAATATTAATTTTCAGCCATTATATTTACACCAAATAATTACGTCTGGAGAGTTTCACCATAAGTCATATAGGCAAGGCATGGAAACATCAGGCAAACAGAACCAAGCAAAAGAAAAAAGAGAATGAAAAATTATCATCAGACTAAATAAACATGAGATGCCACAGAAATATGTAGATGTTAGTGTGTGAGACAAAGCGAGGGACCATCGTGGATTACACATTTCTTGTGAATCCAGGAAGGATTTTAGGTGAAAGGAAAGGAGGCACAGAAGTGCCTGGACCCATGCAGGATGAAGGAATCGGAGAGAACTGCTTTGCTTTTCACCTCAGTGCAATCCAGCACAGCCTTTCCAGATGGCTTTGAGAAATGGCAGCTGATTGAATGATGTGTTTCTTTCCTGCAAACCCATTGCATCTGGGGGTGGTCAGGCGAAAATGAACTATGTTGCAGCCTCAATGGAGGAGGAGGTGTGAATAAGAAAAGAGGGTGCAGTCCCACCCCACTCCTCTTGTGGCTGCTGTGAAATCTGGACCAAAGATTGCTCAAGATGGAAGAGGATCTGTTTTCAAACCCAGTTCTGCCACGTATTTGTGATGTGATCGTGGGCAAATTACTAAATCTTCCTCTTTAAAAATTTTTATTTATTTATTTTTTATTATACTTTAAGTTCTAGGGTACATGTGCACAACGTGCAGGTTTGTTACATATGTATACATGTGCCATGTTGGTGTGCTGCACCCATTAACTCGTCACTTACATGAGGTATCTCTCCTAATGCTATCCATCCCCCCTCCCCCCACCCCATGACAGGCCCCCGTGTGTGATATTCCCCTTCCTGTGTCCAGGTGTTCTCATTGTTCAATTCCTACCTATGAGTGAGAACATGCAGTGTTTGGTTTTTTGTCCTTGCGATAGTTTGCTGAGAATGATGGTTTCCAGCTTCATCCATGTCCCTACAAAGGACATGAACTCATCCTTTTTTATGGCTGCATAGTATTCCATGGTGTATATGTGCCACATTTTCTTAATCCAGTCTATCATTGCTGGACATTTAGGTTGGTTCCAAGTCTTTGCTATTGTGAATAGTGCTGCAGTAAACATACATGTGCATGTGTCTTTATAGCAAGCAGCATGATTTATAATCCTTTGGGTATATACCCTGTAATGGGATGGCTGGGTCAAATGGTATTTCTAGTTCTAGATCCTTGAGGAATTGCCACACTGTCTTCCACAATGGTTTAACTAGTTTACAGTCCCACCAACAGTGTAAAAGTGTTCCTGTTTCTCCACATCCTCTCCACACCTGTTGTTACCTGACTTTTTAATGATCGCCCTTCTAACTGGTGTGAGATGGTATCTCATTGTGGTTTTGATTTGCATTTCTCTGATGGCCAGTGATGATGAGCATTTTTACATGTGTCTGTTGGCTGCATAAATGTCTTCTTTTGAGAAGTATCTGTTCATATCCTTCGCCCACTTGTTGATGGGGTTTTTTTTTTTTTTCTTGTAAATTTGTTTGAGTTCTTTGTAGATTCTGGATATTAGCCCTTTGTCAGATGAGTAGATTGCAAAACATTTTCCCATTCGGTAGGTTGCTTGATCACTCTGATGGTACTTTCTTTTGCTGTGCAGAAGCTCTTTAGTTTAATTAGATCCCATTTGTCAATTTTGGCTTTTGTTGCCCTTGCTTTTGGTGTTTTAGACATGAAGTCCTTGCCCATGCCTATGTCCTGAATGACATTGCCTAGGTTTTCTTCTAGGTTTTAGGTCTGACATTTAAGTCTTTAATCCGTCTTGAATTAATTTTTGTGTAAGGTGTAAGGAAGGAATCCAGTTTCAGCTTTCTACATATGGCTAGCCAGTTTTCCCAGCACCATTTATTAAATAGGAAATCCTTTCCCCATTTCTTGTTTTTGTCAGGTTTGTCAAAGATCAGTTGGTTGTAGATGTGTGGTATTATTTCTGAGGGCTCTGTTCTGTTCCATTGGTCTATATCTCTGTTTTGGTACCAGTACCATGCTGTTTTGGTTACTGTAGCCTTGTAGTATAGTTTGAAGTCAGATAGCGTGATGCCTCCAGCTTTGTTCTTTTGGCTTAGGATTGACTTGGCAATGTGGGCTCTTTTTTCATTCCGTATGAACTTTAAAGTAGTTTCTTTCCAATTCTGTGAAGAAAGTCATTGGCAGGTTGATGGGGATGGCATTGAATCTATAAATTACCTTGGGCAGTATGGCCATTTTCACGATATTGATTTTTCCTATCCATGAGCATGGAATGTTCTTCCATTTGTTAGTATCCTCTTTTATTTCATTGAGCAGTGGTTTGTAGTTCTCCTTGAAGAGGTCCTTCACATCCCTTGTAAGTTGGATTCCTAGGTATTTTATTCTCTTTGAAGCAGTTGTGAATGGGAGTTCACTCATGATTTGGCTCTCTGTTTGTCTGTTATTGGTATATAAGAATGCTTGTGATTTTTGCACATTGATTTTGTATCCTGAGACTTTGCTGAAGTTGCTTATCAGCTTAAGGAGATTTTGGGCTGAGACAATGGGGTTTTCTGAATACACAATCATGTCATCTGCAAACAGGGACAATTTGACTTCCTCTTTTCCTAATTGAATACCCTTTATTTCTTTCTCCTGCCTGATTGCCCTGGCCAGAGCTTCCAACACTATGTTGAATAGGAGTGGTGAGAGAGGGCATCCCTGTCTTGTGCCAGTTTTCAAAGGGAATGCTTCCAGTTTTTGCCCATTCAGTATGACATTGGCTGTGGGTTTGTCATAAATAGCTCTTATTATTTTGAGATATGTCCCATCAACACCTAATTTATTGAGAGTTTTTAGCATGAAGGGCTGTTGAATTTTGTCAAAGGCCTTTTCTGCATCTATTGAGATAATCATGTGGTTTTGGTCTTTGGTTCTGTTTATATGCTGGATTACGTTTATTGATTTGCATATGTTGAACCAGCCTTGCATCCCAGGGATGAAGCCCACTTGATCATGGTGGATAAGCTTTTTGATGTGCTGCTGGATTCGGTTTGCCAGTATTTTATTGAGGATTTTTGCCTCAATGTTCATCAGGGATATTGGTCTAAAATTCTCTTTTAATCCCCTTTTTATTTTAGCCACAGTCCTCATATTTCTAAAATGTGAATGATGACTACCTCATGCTTGGGTATGTTTTGCTTTGTTTGATTGTATAGGTGTATAAGTGTTCAAGAACTTTATGGAAGACAGTGTGAGTTAAGCTTATTGAAAATTGAAGTGCTGTACAGGTGAGAGGTAGGTATGGTTGTATTATTTCTACTGGTGGTGGTTTGCATGGGTACAGTGAGGGCTGACCGTGTGATCTCCAGGACTGGTTTGGCTCTTGCTGCTAGAACTCTCCCCTTTCCTCACATGCACACCCTGACCATGGTTGTGAGAGGGTGGGGAAGTTCTGTCTCTGATATTTATTTCAAAGGTCAAGAGGCTGAAGGATGTCCAATGGAGAAAATGTTCTACATCTAGGCTCAAGCACAAATTGCTGTTTACTTCACATCTTAAAACTTACAGTGTAGTCATGATGTGGAAAAAAAGCATTTTGTTTCCTTTCACTCATAAGAGAATAAAATGATGAATTTACTTAAATTTCCTGTAAGAGATTTTGCTTTGACACAAGGAATAATGAGATGTCCTGGTGTTTTGGTGAAGACGGTACACTGGGTTCCTGAGAAAGGTGGCAGGATGCATTGAAAAACAGGGCAAAGACCTGCCCAACGTCAGGGATAGGTTCCATTTTACTTACATTCGTTTATTATGCTCATTTATTATGCTCGGCTTGTGAATCAGTACAGCTGACATATTTTTTTGACATAAATGATGCATCACTAAGTTGCAACTTGACTAGAACATGACCTGATTCAGACTAAAAGGTATTCTAAGGCCACAGTTCATATACATGGTGTGGTGGAATACACAAGCCATACAAAATGGTCTGAGGTCACCAGCTGTCCATGTACCATGGCTGAAGGAAAAAATCCAGCCTGTACTGCCCTTGCCAGCATTTGCCAAAAAAAAGAATTTGCACAAAGGCATCAAGCAGGCTCATGGTTTCCCTAGAACCCTCTACAGATAGTCACAAATATCTCAAATTTTGTAACATGATGCTTATTCCTTATCAGAACCCACAGTAGTAATGTGAACAACAATTTTGGTTCTAATCCATCTACAGAAAGGCATCACCTGATGTATATTCTGAAGAAGTAATTGGTTACAAGTAATAGCAACTTACTAAAAAAATTGAAATTATTTTCTTGGCCTCATTAAGCACCAAGCATTTTTAGGATAGTATTTGTGTTAATTTTATGTGTCAACATGGAAGGTGTCTTGGGATGAGATTAACATTTACATTGCTGAACTTTAAGTGAGGCAAATTGCCCTCTGTAATTTGGTGGGCCTCATCCAATCAGTTGAAGGTCTGAATAAAAGAAACAGACCAGCCTCCCTGAGCAACAGGGAATTTTCCTGTAGATGACCTTCAGGCTTCCTCTGTGCAATCGGTTTTCTTGAATCTCCAATGGGCCCATTTTGCAGATTTTGGACTTACCAGCCTCCATAATAATGTGACTCAATTTTTTATAAGAAATCTCTGTCTCTTTCTTTTGGATGAACGTGTGCTAATTATCAAGCTTGTGAAGGGGTGGGGAAATAAAATTTACCAAGCATCCACAATGCAATGTGATGTACATCACATATATTGCTTACTTTGACCTTTAAGACAATCTATCACATGATTATCAAGATCCCCATTTCACATATCGGTGCACAGAGGCAGTGTACCAACCCCTGGGCGAATCGAACCCAAGTCCATCTGATCCCATAGCTAAGACTCACTGCATTGACCCAGCATTGTCAATTTCCTGATTGTACCTCATCACCCAAAATGCCTTGAGCATGTTTTCATTGTTGGGAATATCTCCTGGGGCTTGTAGGCTTGGAGGGGTTATTCTTGCCATGGGACTTTGTTTAATGAAAAGAACAGTAGACAGGGAATCCTTACCATGGGGCATAAACCCCTGTTGCCTCTAACCCCCTTAGGACAAGTCCATCTCTCAGCACCTGAAATCTCTATTGACTATACAGTGGTTTACTTCTTTAGGTACCTATTGCAAAGATTTGCTTTAAGAAACAAACAAAATAATGCATGGGTTAACAAAAAAAATAAATAAATTAACAGATAAAAAGAGCATATGGAGAAAAGGATAAAGGAGTTCTAATGAGAACTTCACAAATTCATGTAAGTTCAAAGATCTTGAAGACACATAGGCCGGGCGTGGTGGCTCATGCCTGTAATCCCAGCACTTTGGGAGGCCAAGGTGGGCAGATCACCTGAGGTAAGGAGTTTGAAACCAGCCCGGCCAACATGGTGAAACCCTGTGTCTACTAAAAATACAAAATTAGCCAGCTGTGGTGGTGAGTGCCTGCAATCCCAGCTACTCAGGAGGCTGAGGCAGGAGAATCACTTGAACCCGGGAGGCGGAGGTTGCAGTGAGCCAAGATGGCGCCATTGCACTCCAGCCTGGGCAAAAAGAGCAAAACTCCACTCAAAAAATAAAAATAAAAAATGACACCTAAGTGTAGCTTGAATATTTTAGTGTCTAATTCCATGCATCATTGTGCAAAACAGAATTTGAATGGGAATTTTAAAATATTGACTGGTTTAACCCAGTAAATAGTTATTGTGTGGCTCCCATATACTCAGCATCATGCTACAGCCTGAGCGGCTATAGAGAGACAGATAAGGCAGTAACTGCTACCAAAAAAATTCTTATCTAGATAGGAAAGAAGATAAAAAAAATTAAGTTGCTATGTAGCAGTCACTTTGTAAGCACTTTACACGCATATTTTCTTTTAATTATTGCAACAATGCTTGTTAGGCAGTAGGTACCATCATTACCCCAATTTACAGAGTTTCTAAAAAGAGAGAAAGAGCCTTCGAGGAATTAGTACTAAGCCCCTCATGCTGTTAGGGGTGATCCAGGCTGGGCATGGAGGCTCCTGAACTCTGACTCACAACCACGCTGCCTCAACAGTCGGCAATGTCATTCATACTAACTCTCAGCAGAATGTGAAAGAGTCTGGGATTTTGCTGGAAGCAAAGTACCATGGAAGCCCCAAGATGCAAGAGATTCCTTATAAGAAGAAACACTGCTGCCTCAGGGGAAGGCTACATTTGAGCTGGCACTTGCAAAACAAGTCATGTCTTGGCAGATGGATGTAGGGAGGCTTTATAGGCAGAGAGCAAAGGCAAGAAGGTGAGGAGGTGCTGGGTGTGTCTGGGGTGAACAGGTGGTTTTTCAAAGATGGTATAGCAGAGAATGGAAGCTGGGGTGGAGGAGGCAAGGCAGGAAAGGAGAGAGGCTGATGGCAAGTAATTCTCATGTTGTCTTCAGGGTTTGGACTTTATTTCATATACAATGAGATGCCAGTGGAAGCGTTTGGGTAGGAGCATGACCTAATGGAGATGTCACTTGCCTTTTTTTTTTTTTTTCTGGTGGTAACATGGAGAACAGTTTGGAAGCTCTCCCAGTTAAGATTGTAATATCTGCATCCAACAGAACACCACTAAAGCCAAATAGTTTATTTTTCAAATGAAACAAGAAGTCAAGGTTGGCATTCTAGGATGGGCACAACAGTCAGAGAAAATATCAAGGACTTGAGTCCACCTTGTTCACTTAGTGGATGCTTCAGTCCTCAGGTTTCGAGAGGGCTGCTCTACCTCCCAACAGCGCATCAGAGTTTCAGGCAAGAAGGGGGAAGGGCAAAGTTCAAACTCGTATGTTAATGGAATATCACACTTGTTATGAGAAAAGCAATAGTTTTAACAGACATGCCTTCCCCCAGATGCCTGCTTAAAATCATTGGCTAGACTGGATGAGAATGCAAGGAATTGTGGGGAAGTGTTTATTTATTTATTTATGTTTGAGATAGAGTCTGACTGTGTCTCCCAGGCTGGAGTGCAGTGGCGCGATCTCAGCTCACTGCAACCACTGCCTCCCAGGTTCAAGCAATTCTCCCGCCTCAGCCTCCTGAGTAGCTGGGATCACAGGCACGCACCACCATGCCCAGCTAATTTTTGTAGTTTTAGTAGAGACGTGGTTTCACTACGTTGACCAGGCTTGTCTTGAACTCCTGACCTCAGGTGACTCACCCACCTCACCCTGCCAAAGTGCTGGGATTACAGGAGTGAGCCACCATGCTCGGCTTGTTTATTTTTAATGAGACATTTGCTACTGCAAAAGTTGTTTCAGTTAGGAAGAATGGAGGAATGGACACTGCATAGCTGACTACAGTGCTGTTGAAGAGGCAATTATAAAGGAAGAGACACCTATTTAGAAGTGTCTTAGTCTTCTCAGGCTGCCATAACAGTATACCACTGACAAAGTGGCTTAAACAGCAGACATTTGTTTCTCACAATTTTGGAGGCTGGAAATCCAAGATCAGGGTGGCAGCATGGGCAGGATCTGGTGGGGGCTCTCTTCCTGGTTATCAGACGGCTGCCTTCTCATTGGTGCTCACTTGGCTTTTCCTCAGTGCATGCATGCAGAGAGAGATCATCTCTGGCATCTCTTCCTTTTCTTGTAATGACGCTATTGGATTATTGCTCATCCTTATGACCTCCTTTAACCTTAATTACTTCCTTAAAAACCTCATCCCAACTGGGCACGGTGGCTCATGCCTGTAATCCCAGTACTTTGGGAGGCCGAGGCAGGCAGATCACCAGGTCAGGAGATCGAGACCATCCTGGTTAACATGGTAAAACCCCATCTCTACTAAAAATACAAAAAAAAAAAAAAATTAGCTGGGCATGGTGGCGGGCGCCTGTAGTCCCAGCTACTCGGGAGGTTGAGGCAGGAGAATGGCATGAACCCGGGAGGCAGAGCTTGCAGTGAGCTGATATAGTGCCACTGCAGTCCGGCCTGGGCGGAATAGCGAGACTCTGTCTCAAAAAAAAAAAAAAAAACAAAAACTCATCTCCAAATAGTCACATTGAGAGTTAGAGAGCTCCAACATAGGAATTTTATGGGGACACAGCAGTCAGTCCATAACAACAAGTGATTAAAAATTGTCTGTTATAGAAGGAAAGATGATCTGAACCAGGCTACTGGCTGGAGTAAAGAAAAGGAAAATTGAGGGTGGGATACTTGAGCGGTAATTAGTTACCACCTGTTGAGTAGTATGTGCTAGATGTTCTTCTGTGCTTTAATTCTCACAGTAACCTCATGTTATTGTTGTTATTAAACTGAAGAGAAAACAGAAGCTCAGGAAGGTTAAGAAACTTTCCTGAAATCACACTCTTGGTCATGGCCAGAGCAAAGACAATATCCCTGTGAGAGAAGAGGAAGAGAGAAATTCTGCAAATAACCTCAGATTTTGAATCAAGGAATTTGATGGTACCTTTAGCAGAGGTATAGATCCCAAGATCTGCGAGAAACAATGAGTTAAATTGTGGAGAAAATGACTTTTGGGGAAGGCTGACAGAACGGAGGAAGTAACACAATCAAGAGGTGGAAATATAGCTCTTGCACTTGAGATCTAGAGCAAGTTAAATGTTGGAGTACCAACACATGGAGAATAGTTGAGCTCTGGGAATGAGTGGGATTTCCAAGCCCAAGTAGAAATGAACAGTGGAAGAAGAAGGCTGAAGAGGGAAGCTAGGGCACTGGGTGCTTTCAAAAAGCAGGACAGTCTCTCCCTGGTCACAATAAGGACATCTGGACAATCTTCCTGGTCACAATGAGGACATCTGGACAATCTTCCTGGTCACAGAAGGGACATCTGGACACTCAATGCTGTGTCAACCCCAATGCCCATGGTATCAGCAGTATCTGATACCACTCCATCAGGTGACCCATTCACCTTTCTTGGGTTTGTCACCTATGGAATGGGATAAATAGCACACACCTGCCATCTCAGTGATGAGCCATGAGCATTAACAAGGCAATGCTTGTAAAATACTTTGAAGATGAGAAGTGTTGTGCACACGCTGTTTTATTGTCATGTCTTACATTTGATCATATTCTTCCTAAAACATCTCTACAGAAATTGACGCACCTTTTGTGGGTTCAGTGGCTTATTTCTGTGGTAGATTTTATATCTCAATAAAAAAACACAATATAATATTTTAAATAGTTTGAGATGCTTTTCTTAGACATCAAAGACATAATTTCTAAAACCTCTAAACTGGCTTCTGTTGATTTCTCTTACAACATGTTAATGTCAACAGCCCAAGTTAAGAATGTAAAGAAGGAAGGAGCAATAGCAGCCCATTTAAAAATCTTCTATATAGGCCAGAGAAACCACCCCTAACTCAGGGAAGCTATACATTAACTCTCAGAGCTTCTTGGACCAACTGAAGGCAAAAGATGCCTGGCTTTTCACACTACTGCATGAGATATTCCCTGATTCAAGGCATTCAGTCCATGTTTTCTGCTGTCCTTGGCTCTTAAACTATGAAGACTTTCTTAAACTATGAAGACTTTCTTCCTCATTCCAGAATCAGAGGTGTAGCTGAGAAGCAAGTAACTACCCATTGTAAAAGGGCATAGATCCAAGATCTTTACGCATATATGCCAAAAGTATTCATTTTTCTGAATATAGTTTAACAATCTAAATATGTACGTGGCAACTTTTGTTTCCCAAATGCACATTAATTCTTGCCTTTCTTTCAAAAGGTGCCAGTAAAAAGAAGGGAAAGCTAAATGAATGAGCTCCTTTATGATGAAGAAGATGGGAGGGGTATGAAAACATTTGCAAACTGTTCCCAGATTCTCACATTCCCAGGGGCAAGAATCAATGAAACTTTGGATCAGACAGTCCGATGCAGGCCGCCCAATTCTGAACACTAACCAGAGCCCAACCCATATCTCAAACCTTTCCCTCATGTTCTGCCTATTATTCTTTTCGTGACACTATCAATTCATGTTCTTCATGTTCCCGACATTAGAAAATTTGTCAAAAGACAGAAGTACTAGGGTCAACAAGAAGGCATTAATAGAAATATCAATCATAAAGTCATGTTCTCTGAACACTGATCTGGCTTCAGGTGAAGACAGAATGTCATCTGAGAGGACTTATTCCTAGGCTGAATTATTTTAAGATAATACTGATTAGGCATCACCTTCTCTGTCACCAAAGACTGGTTCCATTTAAATTGGAAAATGTAGAATGCATAATGTCAGATGTCTGAATGACATAGAATCAAGAAGGAAAGACACTGCGGTAAGTGACTGAATGGGGATTCCAAAATATCTCAGTTGTCCATGATGAAGAGCTGAAAACAGTGAAATGAAATCTACTAGGGATAACTAGGTAAGTCTGCATTGAGATTCAGAAAATCATCCAGCTATAAAATGGAAAGACCTATATAAATTGAACTTCCCTTATGAAAAGGGATCTTGTTGACTTCAAACTCAGTTCAGGTCAGCATGACTGGGTTGATAAAAAGCTAATGCATACACAGATTACATTACAAGTTGTGTAGTGTTCATAACAGGAGATGTAATCATAGAATTCATTCACTTAAGTTGTTATCAGCACTCATCACTGAGTAAAGTGAACAGATGTCATACATAAGGAGTGATAGAGATTATAGGATCAGTAAGTTCTCAGACTAAAGAGTAGGGTCATACTTAGCTTCAACGAATGGTGCTGTTGCAGGAATTCAGGATTTGTATTTCAGATCTTCACTTTTTTTCCAAGAGATTTTGGAAAAATACATTTCAATATAAAAAATATCTGATTTTCTAAAAACCCTAATTTTGTTTAAAAGGCCATATCTAGCCATGGGCCTCCCATTTTTACCTCTGTGTTAGGTATATTATCTGGATCTTAGGAGAGAGATGTGGGTTATAGATAGATTTGGGGGCTTATGAGTCATAAAATTCCTGTTGGACGTCTCTGTCAATGTGACCTATAAAAAGGTCATCTTACAGGTGGTGGTTGAATCAAGGGTAGTAAATAAAATCATCAGGGAATATATAGAGACTAGGAAGGTGGAGCTTTAGTCCTGCTTTATTTGGGGCTAACTGTATAGATTTTTAAAACTGATTTTATTTAAAGGCTTTTTAGCTATACTTCTTTGCATTATAATTTTAGTTATTGCTCTAAGGACTACTATAAACATTCTTACATTTTCACAGTCTACTTAGAATTAATAGTGTGCCACTTCATGTATGATATACAAATGTCGTAATTAATTAAATCTGTTTACTGATTCCGTCATCCTTTCTGCTCTAGTTGTCATATGTGTCATTATCTACATGCTTCATAAATCATAATACAAAGTTTTTTTTTAATTTAAGCAGTCTTTTGCCCACATATTTACCATTTCTGGTGTAAATGAGTTGAATTTATTTTGAAGATTCCATTTGCATCTAGTACAAATTCCTATCAGTCTGAAAAACTTCCTTTAGTGTATATTGCAGTGTGGACATACTGCCAATAAATTATCTTAGTTTGTATTTATTTGCAAATTTCTTTATTTTACCTTGAAGATTATTTCCATCTTTCTTGAAGGTTATTTTCACTGGATATAAAAGGATAACTTGAAAGTTTTGCTTTCTTTTATCACATTAATGACATTGATCCACTGTAGTCTAGCTTTCATAGTTACTGATAAGAAGTTAGCAATTGTTTGTATTGTTTTTATTCTATACCTATTATATGATGTGTTACATTGTTTCTGGCTGCTTTAAGAATTTTTTGTTTTCTGGTTTTCTTTCTTTCTTTTTTGAGACAGGGTCTCACTCTGTCACCCAGGCTGGAATGTGATACCACAATCATGGTCACTGCAGCCTCAACCTCCCAGACTCAAGTGGTCCTCCTGCCACAGCCTCTTGAGTAGCTGGGACTACAGGCATGCGCCACCACACTTGGCTAATTTTTTTAGAGACATGGCTTTGCCATGTTGCCCAGGCTGGCCTTGAACTCCTAGGCTCAAGCAATCTGCCTGCCTCAGTCTTCCACAGTGCTGGGATTACAGGTGTGGACCACCACACCCAGCCATCTGGTTTACTTTCAATAATCATAATGGCTCTTAGTATGGTTTTCTTTGATTGAATTTTCCAACCTTTATGTTTTTCACCAAATGTGGAGAATTTTAGGCATTGCTACTTCAAAAAAATTTTCCCTGTTTTCCTTTTGAAATCTTTTCACAAGCCAATCTGTTTTTTCTTTCTGTTTTTAAGATTTTATGACTGTATTGATCTATTTTCTACTTCACTGACTTTTTCTTGTGTCATCTCCTAGTTATTAAGCCCATCCAGTTAATTTCTTATTTCAGGCGTTGTATTTTTCAGTTCTAGGTTCTCATTTGGTTATTATTTATGGTTTCTATTTTTTTACTGAGACTTAGCATTTTTATTTATGAAATACATATTTCTCTTATTTTAGATCATGTTTAAAATATCTGCTTTAAAATCCTTGTCTGCTAATATCTGGGTTATTTCAGGATCGGATTTTATTAAGTCTTTTCTCTTGGTTTTGTGTTATATTTTCTTTATTCTTCGTATATCTAGTAAACTTGCTTTGTATATCTAGTAATCCTGGACATGGCGAGTAATACATTTTGGAGACCCTGAATTCAGAAAATTCAACCAAATCACAAAGGGTGTTGATTATTTTGTTTTAAGCAGACAGTTAACTTGATTAGAACTGAAATCCAAAATTTTTCATTCTTGTGGTGGGCAGCAGCTGAAATCTGCGTTCTGTTCTTTTAGCCTAGGCATCACTGCTTAGAGTCTACCCTGTGCATGCACAGTTCAAGGTACATCAGAGATTTGGGCAGAATTTATACATGAAATTTTGGATATCATTCTCTGGCTATCTTCTGTCTGGTTTGGTCTCCTGAAATTGTTTTTCTGGTTCTTCAAGCTTGTAAGACTGTTGCTTGTGATCCAAGTTTTCATTTCCTAGTGTAGCCCTAACTTGGACCTGCTCTCTGGCTAAAGCCTGTAAAAAGCAGAAAACTTATCATTGTTATGTTCTTCTCCTGAGCATTGATTGCCTCTCTGTCTTTGCCTGCCTTTGGTCTCTCTCCAGAGTATTCAGTCATTGGTTTTGAATAATTTGTACAGAGTTCACAGTTGTTACCTGTGATACAGTTTGTCTGACAGGAGCTATTCTGGTATTATCAGAAGCAGAAATTCCAGGCAAGTCGGGTGGGGAGATAGGAGCAACCCCTCAATTCAGGGCCAGTAGGCACATCAATTACAACTGGGTTAACCATTTACAGCGACCCACCTGGGCTAGGATTCCTCCTAGTTAAAGCTCAGATTACCAGATACAGGCCAGCCTGTGTGTAATAATCCTTTCAACTCAACTGATAGGCCACAAGCAACCAGCTTCCTAACTGAGGCCCCTACCTCCCAAGTTGATCACCCAAAATTTGTTCTCTCTACTGCCATGGAAGTGATCTACATAAAAACAGACCATACCATATCCCCTACCTAAGAATCTTTCCATGGCTCCTGACTTATCTTCAGAAGAAAACCCAAACTTCTTAACAGGGCTTAAAAGATCATATGGGACTTGAAACCCAAATATTCTGCCTCCTTTTTTGTCATTTTTCTCACCCCTTTCTCACCCTCACTCCCAGTAAGCATATTGTGCTGTAAGGACAATCAGATCTTGCTGATTCATGAAAGTCACCTGCATTTTTACACTTCCACATAATTGGAAATAAACTCATCTTGCCTTACATTATTTTTCTTTTTAGCTCTTGTCTCTATTTGACATCATAATACAGAAGTATATTTCATTTATTTTTCATTTATCTATTTACTTACTTTTTCATTCATTAATTTGATTTTACTCTGTGCCTTCCCTGTGGGGATATAGGCATCATGAATTAGGAACTTGGTTTTTTTCAAAATGATATCCCGAGTATTCAAAATGATATCCCCATTATTCAGAATACTACCTGGCACATAATAGACATTTCAATAAATACTTCTTGAATAAATATTGCACTTACTGGTTGAAATTCCCTCTCACTTTTTGCCCAAGGCAGCCTGCTAAAGGCATACTCAGAACCAGCTCAACTGTTTTCTTTGGGAATTCCTCTCAGCATCCTCTCACCTCCATAGAATGAATTATCGTCGTCATTCATTTTCCCATAGAATCTGTTTACCTTATTTATCATTTTTGTTTCACTGCCTGTTTCTGCGTTCATCACCGCACCATGGTATTAAAGCAAGACTGCTCATGAATCAACTTGTAATTTCGACCATGGTATGTATTCCCCACGCAATTCTTACTTCCCTTCAGAGAGGATTCCCTTTCTGACTTGTCTCTCCATTTGGAGAAAAACCCTTTTGTTCCATCAAGCCTGTAGATAAGGTCTAAGGCAGACTTGATTATACCAAAATCTGGTTACATCGCACTCACAACTAAGTGTGATTTTGGTGACTTGGGAAAACCGATGATAGTTTATTAATTATTCAAGCAGCCTTAGATATGAATTGGAAAATTATGCTGAAAACTACTAGTTGGTTTTAGGGCCCCAAATCAAGGCATTTCCTTTGGATCCATTGTTTTCTAATATTTGCAAGCTTTTCAGGATTAAAACCTTGAGATTATTTTTTGTATTATATTTGTGGTCCAATCTCATTTGATGACTTTAAGAGTAACTAAGTCTACTCACATATTCCATAGGAAGCATTATCCAAGCACCGGAGACCATGCTCTCTTCAACTTCAAACTGCAGTCAAGTGGAGTAAATAATGCAGAGAGCTAAATTAACTCAAAGCACCAATGATCATGGAATAACATTCCTCTGTTTACTGTTCAAGAAAAATCTTTACAAATGCTGAAATGCTGTTAGAAAATCTATAGTTATATTATTATCATCATAAAACTAAGAATTAACCTATCTTTATTCTCCTCTGAAATCTCCTTTCAAGAAATAAAAACAGCAGGTAGAAGATACCTTCAAAATGGAAGAAGCCTTATGCTATTTCATCTATTTGTCTTTCTTTGGGTTAAACTCCAGAAACCCGGCTTGGTGCTTGTTCACTGTCCACACAATAGTAAATGATCCCAGGAGAATAAGTACATGATCAATTCCTCAGTGTCTCTGGCAATATAAGAGTTTAAAAACATGTGTACATGTGCCTGTGCATACAACAATACACATATAAATCACGGATTTTTGCTGAAATGAAATACTGAGGCCATGTGAGCATTTTTCAGTCTTCAACTTAGACACTTGGGCTGCATGCCCAGCTATGACACATCGTCCATGTTTATGAAGTCAATTTCACTTCAGTTGTTAGTATCAGTTACCATCATTCTGGATTTAAAGCCACCAGCCCAGAGCCTTTCTCTGAGCTCTCACAGATTCTAGTAGCTGTAGCAGGCATGTGACACTTCTGTGCACACTGTCTCATCTTGTTCCTGGGCCATCTGTTTGAACAAGGCCTTTTCTCTTCATTTTATTATAAATTCTTGAATCCAGGAAGCATGTCTGATATTTCTCAGAATCCTTTTTAATGTCTACCCCAGAAGTCTGTTCTAACAAGTACTCCAAAAATGTTGATTGATTCTAAATGGATTCTCAATATTATGAACAACATTTTTAGAATAAAAGAAATATTCACTTTTGTGTTTGGAAAATTCAGTGGATATGTTAAAAACAAAATATGGAAATGGGGTGAGCTCTTAAGGACTGTGAATTTCCACAGCAGCGTATAATTTCAGTAGAAGATCCCAATCCAACTTCATGAGGAATATATTAAGAGACAAAATAGAGAAACTATGACAAACTGGGTTTAGTATTTCCACCTCATCAACAATTATTTCTACCACAATCAATGAGAAAAAAACAAAGTTGTCAATCTGGATTGAGAGTGGGCATGTGTGTTTTCTCTCCTCCCTTCTGCCTCCCCCTTTTTCTCTTCTGAAACTGAGTCAGACGAGGCCATATTTCCAGTTAGAGGTCGACATTAGAGCCAAGCAGCTGTTCAGAAATGTCCAAGTAGACAGCAAGTGGCACTGATGGAGTTAACGGCAGTGACTCACTTGGGGCATTCACAGCAGGTCAGCTGAAACTCTCCCTTGCTGTATAGAGAATTTAGTCCTGCTGGGCATGCGCCCAAGACTGTGAGCTGAGGTTGATAACAGCAGAGTGCCTCTTAGTTGCCACTGGTTGCTTTGCCGTTCTCAGTTTTCACAGTTTATTTAAAGGTGGATTTTTGTCTAACGCAATCATGAACGGTGATGGGAAGAACAGGCTGAGCAGCTGTTGACTGAAATAACAGAGGGGAGGACGGGTATCTGGAAATGCTCCACACAAGTTGTCCTGCAAGCTTTGATGATGACGTTCGCATAGAAAATTATTGGTCAGAACCAGGAAGTGGAGCAGGCTTCATGCCAGTAAGGCTAGCTTGGCAAAGGTAAGATTTTTAGGATTTCAGAAAGGTTTCATTCATCTAGGAATCCTTTTCTACAAAATGTTATGGTGTTATAAAGTTACTCAATGGAGCAACAATAAAAACAAATCAAAACCATCCAAAGGAAAAAATACATGAGAAGCAGAGCATACTTATATTTTGTGAGCTTATACAAGTTTCTCAATAACACAGAAGGGAATGTATAAAAATACGATGAAAGGCTGTTGTGAGTTTTTTAATTACAAAATATGATTATTTTAGGAGAAAGAAACATAATTACCTGAACTAACTCAACACTGACACAAGACCTATTTTCCTTTTTTTTTCTTCAAATTATTTTTTAAACTTTTTAAAGGCAAGTATCTTAGATTTGTTCCTTACAGGTAGACATTTCAACAAACAAGAAATAATATTTCCTGATATGAATAGTCATTAGGGTTCAAGCTTTATTTCCCTAAAATTCTAGCATGAGATCATGGTTTCCGTAGATAGGAGAGATCTTGTTTCCATTGCATTTATTTGGTAGAAAAATCTGATTTGACGATTTGTGTTTGCTATCATCAAGTTAATTTTGTGATTAGATCCAAAACCTAATTCTGATAGTCAGACCAGGCTGAAAGCCACAATAGAAAAGGAATTAGTTTCCTTTCCCAAGAATAAAATCCTTGCATTAAATAGAGTTTGGTAAATTAAATGGCTATTTTTGACCAGGAGAGTTTGCTAGGTACTTTAATTCATTAAACAATTTTTTAGATCTGAACCTTTGAAAATATATATTCTAGGTTCAAAAGAGAATGATTGTGCCGTCTGCATTCGTATAGAATGATAGAGCACTGTAGTTGTGGCGGTTTCTCAAGGGCAGAGATTGTGATGGCGTTGCCTGCCACTGTCTACCTCATGGTAGGTGCTTAATGAATGTTGGGTGAACGAATTAATTTTGACCACAGGAAGGCAAGGGCTGACAAGAAGTGTCATCTCTTCTTGGCAGAACAGATTAGTCATTAGGATCAAGTAGAAGAGAGGATGGGATTTAGGGCGATTTAAATCAAGAGTACAGAAGCCATTAGAAGACACTGCTGGGGGAGGAGGGTTTGGGAAAGTGGGAGAGAGTTGTAGGAAAACGTTTGCATTGGCCTGGACTGAGTTCGTTTCTTCTCATGGCGTCAGAGGCCAACTGAAATTCTACAACTGGGGAAAATGAAGAGGACATCGGGGTATCAATGGGGTATAAAGAGAAAGGAATGAGAATAGCCCCAGTAACAGAAACAAATGGGTTTTGAGAATGTGTCTGTTTGTTTCTGTTGCTCCTGCCCTGTTATTCCCCATCTTGGTGTCTGCCTTCCTCATCTCTCCTCTGTTTTAATCTAAAATCTAAAGCTGCTAAGTAAAAACGACTGGTGAAATGTTAGAAACACTTCCCAAACCCTTCAGCATTCTCACAGGGTGCTTTTTTTCTCTCCCTGATCCTGCTGATCACTTAGGGCCATTCCTGGCTACCACCCTCACCATCTCATGACTACAGTAGTTAAATGGCGCTACCCTTTCCAAGTGAGAAAGAATTTCTGTGTGTGTTTGTCTACCTCTCTAGAGAGAGAAAGAAATGGAACTGATTTTTCTTAAAAGATGAAATAAACTCCTGAAGTTTTTACTTTATAACAATTCTATTTACAGTTTCATTTCTTTTCTTCAAGTATCTTCTTAAATTGTTACCATTGACTTGGGGTTAGGCATTAATATCAAATGACATCTGTTTTCATTCTGTTAAGAAAAAAAATATCACACAATAATACTTATCATGATGGAGTAACCACTGACGAGACGTTTCCAGTATTGTCAAGCTGTTGAGAAATCCAACTTTTATACTAATGGGTAGAGAGGGATCTCTCTCTCCCTACACACACACAAGCACACACACGCACACACACACACACACCCCGTAAAAAATGACTCCACTGCAGGGGTAGTGATTCATAGGATATCAGTATGGCTATGTTGTTTTTTTTAAAAAAGCTAAAATTGGAGTCCTATAGCTCCTTTTGTCTTATTACCTTATTTTCACATAAAATGAGACAGGATTCCCTGCATAAAAATCAGCTTGGTATTTGTCACGTCTGTAGCAAGCGTCTGAACTCATTTTTATGAGCAGCCTGCTTCCCCATTGCACCTCCTGTGTTTAGTAATGCAAACAGGCAGAACATTGTGTCATTGTGAGGGTGACACTCCTTACGAAAGGCAGGGAGTACCGAAAGCTAGAACCAGAGTTAATGGGACTTACTAATAAAAGAAAAAAAATGTTTTGCTCCCACTCCCTGATCAGGAGGCCCTGCTAATTTCAAGGTATGAGGTAATTCAGACTCCGTGGCCGGCAGCTCCCTCCAGGCATTTGCCATTTCAAGATTGTCCTGCGTTTGATGTCACATCTTGTGTAAAGTCCACAATCGGAATATTAAGCTATTGTGATGAAGTGATTTGTGAGATGGTTGAAATTTGCTGAAAGTGTTCTCCTTTCTCATGCAAGAAGCCAGTGGATTCATAACACTTATAAAATGAAAAGAGATCATCGAATCCAATTTCAAGTCGTTATTCCCAAACTTGTTCTTAGTCCCAAAGTGTAGCTTTGCAGCTGCATTGTGTATTTTCAAGACCTTAAAATGAGTTTGGAGGGAAAAAGTCAAATCAAAGAGATTAAGCCACGGCTTAAGGTGACATAGGGTGTTGTTTGTGAGTGGATGCAGTATTTTCTACATTTCTGGTATGCACGAAGTCTTTCCAGCTAATGTGGTTAGCTTCAGAATCTAGAGTCCTCACTCACACCAAATACAAGCTTCATCTTTCAACATCGTGCCATTGTACCATGGCAGCATTTAAAATGAGGTTCTGGCTGCCATTGTGAAATGCTCCTACAGGTTTGTCTTATAAGAAAGAGTCAATTTTTTTATGAAGATTATCTGACCTATTGATTATTTTTTTTTTACCAGGTGGATTTGGAATTAAAATCTGCTAAATGGCTTTCCTTAAAGCTAGTAAAAATTACCTAAGGTCATACAGCTCAGATATGGAGCTCACCAGGGTTTGGACACCCACACTGAGAATGCAGTGGTGCAAGACAAACCAATAGGGACAGCTGAGCAGAGGTTCTTGACCCCAAGGGTTGCTTGATCAATGAGAGTCATAAAATTAAGTCCCAATGGGGATTAAGGCTTCAATAACCTAGTTAGACTGTCTATGTCTACACCGCTTAAATCAGAGAGGGTAAACTAGCAATTGGTTCCCTGACTTGAATCTCAGCAATGTCATTTACCAGCTGTGTGATTTGGGCAATGATGCTATATTTAGCAGTAAATAAAATGCATCATTTTCTAACCGGATGCCCTAGGACTGTAGTTCTTAAACTGGATGACTAAAGGTATCAAAATCACCAGAGGGACTTATTAAAATAAGGATTTGGGGCCTCTAACCACAGAGTTTCTGATTCACTAGGTCTGAAGTGGGCCCAGTAATTTGCATTTTCAGTAATGCTGATGCTGCCGGAGGGATCACACTTTGAGAACCACCAACCTAGGACAAGTGACTCAATCTTTTTATTTTTGAGGGTTTTTTTTTCTCTGTAACATGAAAATTATAATAACAGTATCTACCTCACAGACTACTTTTGAGATTAAATACAATAATACAGGAAAAGGTCTTGGGATCCTATGTGGCATATTGTGTTTAGTAAGCAGTAGTCATTGTCATTGGTAATAGCAATGATTGGAAATTCTGCCTCTCAGACTATTTTATGTATGTAGACATAAACTAGCTGTGCATTGGCAAAGCCAGATGCAGAAATACTATTAAATAAAACTATTCATCAGTAATGAATATGTAGGCTTAGGAAAAAAAAATTGTGCCTTTTAGGATCTTTAATAAAAGCACTTTGCTATTGTAAAAATATTTGGGAGTCAGAGTCCCTTTGAGAGCTATGGAAATACAATACGCTTAAGAATGCACTGAATCTTCTTCCTGCAAAAGCCACTCACACATGCATGCCCAGGAGTGTGCACGTGCTCAGTGGCTGCTCTGGACACCCAGGTGAGGGACCACTGATGTAGGTAGGAGCTGCCTACGTCAGAGGGGAGGTGGGCCATGCTAGCAGCATGCAGCTAAGCCGTCTCTGCACTATCCTTTATTATTTAAATTAAGCAAAATGATTTCTATTCTGTCTCATGATTTACCTCCACGTGGGACAAAATGGAAAAGAGACCTGCTCTGGGGTCAATCACCCTGTGTTACAGGCCCAGGTCAGGACCATTTAGGCAGCCACTAGGACCTGTAACAAGTCGCTGACCCTCTCCAAGGCTTAGATTCTTCAGGTGAATGCAAGGATCACAGTAGATAATGTCCAATCCACTTCTAGAATGGATGGTGACAATTAGGAGAGAAACACATCTCATGGTCTTAACAGCAGGGCTTTCTTTTTCTCCCATTTCCTGTAATGAGCTCTCACGTCATCGTTCCAACTGCATGCACTTTTCGCGTTTAAATTCCAGTGAATTCAGGTTCTGTACACTCAACGTGCTCTCTTTTCCATAGATCCCCTAACGTGTTCATTTCGACACTTTGCCATTCCTACCTGAGCCAGTTGGGGACATCTCATGTTCATTCTCACCTGGATCACCAGCCCATTCTGGTTCACCTCCAGGCCTTGCACATCCTCTTCCTCCAACCTGGGACACTCTTTCCTTCCTGTATTGCCTCCTCTCTAGTGCCCCTCTCCCTCCCTCAGTGCCCTTCTCTGACCTTTCCAGCTTGGCTTCATCTTATCCTCCTGGTTACAGCTAAGATTCGCTTCCTCTGGAAAGCCAGGATTAGGCTGATGTTCCTGACCCTATGCAGCTCCACAGCACTCACCCCCTGTATTACAATTCTATTGATGCGTTGACTTTGGAATCTGCATTTGCATCTTAGTTCTGTTACTTACTGACTGTATGGTCTTGAGCAAGTTTTTTCTCTGACCCTAAGTTCTTAAGCCATAGAATGAGGATGGTAAATAGCTGCCTTGCTAGGCTGCTGGAGGATTAAACAAGAAAATGTACAATGCCCCGTTCAGTGGTTGTAAATGGTGGCTTCTATCATGACCAATTTATCATCATTATTACCCAGTCTTTATTAAATGTAAGATATCTAAAGTAAACTCTTGGGAAGTCATGGATCAGAGGCAAATCATGGTTTAAGCCATGGGCAAATGTTGACCAAAACAAGAGCTCCATATGCTTTATGTCAGTAGTTCTCAGCCCTCTCATGCTTCAGAATCACATGGAGAGTTCAATCCTGCCCTCTCCTCCAACCCCTATGTGTCAGACTCAACTGGCCAGAGGAAGGTGGAGGCTTTGATGTTCTACAGTTGCTCCCAGAGGAGTTTAAGAAGCAGCAAGATTGAGAACCACTGCCTAAGATAAGGCCCCAGCAGGTAGAACAAAGGCCATTCTTTGGTGAAAGCCTAATTTGCATCTTAGAAAGTGAACCTTTTCCCGTTAATTCAGAAGTGGGCAGTCTTGGTCTGATCAGCCTGCTGTAAAAGAATTCTGGGTAGCTTAGAAACAACACAAGATTATTTCTCACAGTTCTAGAGGCTGGGAAGTTCATGGTCAAGGCACTGGCAGATTTGATGTTGGGTGGGGCCTGGTTCCTCATCTTTTCAACGTAACCCCACATTGAAAGGGGTAGAAAGGGGGCAAGGGAGCTTTCTTGGGCAGCTTTTATAAGGGCACTAATTCCATTCATGAGGTCTCTTCCTCATGATCTAATGCCCTCCCAAATGCCCCATCTCTTAATACCATCACATTGAAGGTTAGAATTTCAATAGATGAATTTGGGGGCAGGCAGCACAAACATTGTATTAGTCCATTCTCATGCTGCTGATAAAGACATACCCAAGACTGGGTAATTTATAAAGAAAAAGAGGTTTAATGAACTTACAGTTCCACGTAACTGGGGAGGCCTCACAATCGTGATGGAAGGTGAAAGGCACATTTTACATGGTGGCAGACGAGAGAACTTGTGCAGGGAAACTCCCCTTTATAAAACCATCAGATCTTGTGAGACTTATTCACTATCTCGAGAACAGCACAGGAAAGATCCACCCCCATGATTCAATTACCTCCCACTGGGTCCCTCCCACTACACATGAGAATTACGGGAGCTACAATTAAAGATGAGATTTGGGTGGGGACACAGACAAACCCTATCAGCCATGAACCATGAAGCCTGGTGGCACTTTGAGAGAAGCTGGGATGTGGGAAATGGGAAGGGACTACAATCTTTAAATACACTCTCATACATGTACATAACTGTGGCCTCCACCTTATATATTATGGAGAAGGTGAACTTCGTCTGAAAGTTTTTAATGGCAAGAATTTCCAAGTGGCCATGTTAGCCATGGAAGTGTGCCAATATGAGGCCGATTATGCCTCTGGAGAGAAATCAGCTATGAATTCTATGCTCACATAGCCAAGTGATTTGACTGACTAGGAAAAGTCAGTTTGCAGTTTCCATTAAATGTTGAAAATTTTTTACCAGGTACAATGACTTTCTGTTTTGGCATGACTGATGCAGAACTGTTTTTTCTGGACATAGTCACCCAACAGGTTTGGCTACTCCTTAAGCATGGCTCTGGCTCCTAATACTAAAGCTGAGGCTTCAATTAACTGGAGATGTGTCTTCCTGCTGGTTATGGTATCTATCAGCTGCATCAGATTAGTTAAATATATTTTATTTGCCTAGGGCCCAGGACTTGATATTGGAACTTAATCTGTCAAAAGACAGCTCTGATCCACTGTGAATTTAGCAGTAGTATTAAAATATAGAGTTTAGGGTGACATCAGAAGACTGGGATGGTTATCAGATTTATATAAAATAATTCACTGAGTGCCCAGAGCTAACAGGAGGTGATTAATATTTATAAGAAGTCAACCATCATACTCTAATTTGTTACAGCAGCCAAGAGGTAACTAACACATAGAGTAATTATTACCTTCTTAGTGCTATAAAACTTGCTTCTTCTTCATGTTTATTGTACATTGCTGGTCTCTCCTCCGTAAAATGAAAGCTCTGTGAGGCAGATATTTCTGTTCATTTAGTCCCTGATGAATCTCAAGTGCCTGGAACAGTATCTGCATATAATGGGTACTAAAATCTTCATTGGATGAGGGATGAATGAGGTGCCTCCACCTGCCTGCAATCCCCACAAGCCTGTTTTCTCCTAAGTTGCCTATTTTGTTAACGTTATCTCCATCTTTTCATGCTCCTCAAATCTCCCCTCTCTCTTACCGTTTACATCCAGCCAGTGGCCACACCCTGTCCATACTACCTCTTAACTGTCTCTCGATTCTTCTCTCTTCTAATCATCTCAGCCTTGGTTCAGTCACTTATTTCTCTCTTGGACTGCATCAGATCCTTCATAGTTCACTGTGATCTGCACCTTCAGGTCTTGTTGCCAGGAACCACATTTTGACTTCTGTTCACCCCCAAGCCTCGTGAGTCTCCATATCATGTGGCTGTGTTTCTGTGAGACAGAGGCAGTGGAGAATCCCTGTGGCCCCACTCTGCCTGTGAGCTGTGTGCACACAGGATGCTGCCCTTACAGGCTCTGGCATCAAGGGGCTCCTGGTGCTGGTTCTAGCTCCACTGTTTACTCAGCTAGCAAGTGAGTACCGTCAGCTCTCTGAGGGCTGTTTTTTAAAAGAGATGTGAGCATCCACAGATTTGGGTTTCTGAGAGGGATCCTGGAAGCAATTACCCCACGGATACCAAGGGATGGCTATACGATGATGTTATCTAGATTAGAGGTTTGCTGTGAGGTTAAAATGAACGAATATATGTTGTGGTCAATTGATAACTAAAATGTTCCCGATTCTCTGCGCTTCCCGTGTCCCAGACCCTTTACATTGTGACTTCTTGTCTTTTTCCATCAAAAAGTAGAGCCTACTTTTCCTTGAATCTTTCCCCTTTGATTCCTATTGAATTCCCTGTGTCTTGCATTGCCCAGTAGAACGCAGTAGAAGTAATGCCTGGCCAGTTTGCAATACAAGTCATGTCCGGCCAGTTTGCAGTAGAAGTCATGCCTGGCCAGTTGGCTGCTTCCTAAGGGAAGCCTGCCAGTCTTTGTGAGAAGCCTGGGCTAGCATGCTGGAGGATGAGTGCATGTGAGTGTGACTGAGGCAGCACAACCCATAGCCAGCCAACCCCCAGACATGTGAGGGAGTCCAGGCTCAATTAGCAGAGCTGCCCACCTGAATTGAAATGGACCACAGGTACACAATTGAGCCTAGCCTCTTCCAGGAAATCCATCCCATATCCTCCACTCTAATGAGTATCAATGAGTTCTTATTGTTTCAAGCCATTAAGTTTTGGATTGTTTTGCAACCAGAGGTAACATACGTAGGGAGATTGCAAATGTTAGCTATTATTATTAATATAAGCTAAGATAAAATGTTGCCGAATCAGCAAGCACTTTCCATCCCATTCAAAGGAGACTATCACTTTGATGTTTGCATGGCACCCTGTGCATGATGCCCTCTCTCTCATCTCTATTGTTTTACTGATCAACTTGCCATTGATATTATTTGTTTGTGAGGCTGTATGTTGTAATAGTCAGTGCCACAGGATCTGGAGCCAGGCTGCGTGGGATTATATTCTGACTCCACCATTTATTAGCAAATGACCTTGGCAAGTTTTCATCTATCTGTGTTTCAGTTTTCTCATTTCTAAGACAGGGATAGCGATAATATTACCTACTTCCTGGAATCATTGCAAGAATTGATTAAATTAATGCCTAAGAAATGCCAGGTATATTCATTTAGCCCACTGAATAAGGAAGATGAAGGAGAAGAAAGGAAGAGGAATTTGTCTTGTCCCCTACAGAAAGTTGACTTCACAGGAGGGGACTTCTTTTCATCCCTGTATTCTTAGGTTTCACATAGTGTCTATCACCCGGTAGGTTTTGAAAAAGACAGCAAATATTTTATGTTTTTGGATGAATGATGATATACATTCCAGTCAGGTCCAATTTGTCAATAAAGATGTGAGCTTTTTATTATTATTATTATTATTATTATTATTATTATTACAGTTAGAGAAAACTCACTAAAGAATGGTTACTATCTTGCTAGACATTCTGTATATTTGCTATACGTAATAGATTTTTATTGCTGTTGTAAAAAATTATCACAATATTATTAGCTTAAAACAACTCAAATTTATTATTTTTCATTCTGGAATTAGAAGTCCAACACAAGTCTCACTGGACTGAAACCAAGGTGTCAACAGGACTGCTCCTTCCTGGAGGCTCTAGGGTTACATCTGGCAACTTACCTATTCCAGGTTCTACAAGCTGCCCTCATTCCTTGACTCACGATCCCCCTTCTCCATCTTCAGCCAGCAAAGTCTCGCCTCTCTGACTTTTCTTTCAGGCACATCTTCTTCTCATCACAGTGGGAAAGGTTCTCCCTTTTTAAGGGAGAACTCTGTAATACATGGAAACACTCAGATATGTTACCTACCGTATCCCTAAGATACAACTAGGCCCACCTGGATAATCTAGGATCCTCTCCTCATCTTACGGGTCTTCACTTTATCACCTATGCAAAGTCCCTTTTGCCATGCAAGGCAATATATTCATATATTTACACGTTCTGAGGATTAGGATGTGGAAATCTTTGAGGGGCAATGTATTATTCTGCTTACCACAGGAGATAATAATATTGGTCAGAGTCTCCAAGGGCAACTCTAGAATCACCAGTGAAGCAAGTGGATAAAGTTCTGAAGACTGTTTGTTCAACTACCTTGGGGCATTGTTTACATCCTTGCAGCATAAATGCAGCCCCTGGAATTGTGCAGTCAGCAGAGTTGCCAGAAATAGAAAGAGTAACTCAGAGAGGACTTCTCCAATCTTCCAAACTTCAATTTGTAGTTCTCAAAATCAGCTTTTTTCTTTTTCTTTTCTTTTTTTGTAACTCCAATTAGAATTAAAAGCTCCATTTAGCAAGTCATTCTAAGTCCTGCCTTGCTGGCAGGGAAGATGTTTAATCAGGTGCAGTCGCGAGCACCGGATCTCCATGCTCCAAGAATATTCTTTAGGATTTTCATATTTAATTGAATTTCCATTTAAAAGCATTTCGAACACTTAAAACTCTGTAATAAATGGGAACACTCAGATATGTTACCTACTGAATTTTGCTACACTTGTTATGATTTTAT
The DNA here is from genome assembly GCF_000001405.40 of Homo sapiens. Taxonomy (NCBI): domain Eukaryota; kingdom Metazoa; phylum Chordata; class Mammalia; order Primates; family Hominidae; genus Homo; species Homo sapiens. The sequence goes on along the minus strand of NC_000021.9, from coordinate 35,246,231 downwards.
TCTGTGACATTCATTGGTTTGGAGCTGACCTCAGACTCAGACTGAAGTATTTCCCCTCATCTTGATTTAATGATAAAGGGTCTTGACATTTCAAGGCTGATTTTTTTTAAATGATGAAAAAAATTATCTAAATATGGCTATCTCTGCAGTGACTCAAGAATTGTTTTTTATATTGTGCAACTAAAAAACGTCACCATAAAATGAAATAAATAATAATATTAGCAAGCACACATGAGCTACTTATTACATGCCAGGTACTGTCAAAATGTTGCAAATATTTTCCTCAAGTACTAATATCATTTTGTGTAAACTTCACAGTCATCCTATAAGGAAGGTACCATTTTCCAGATCAGGCAACTGAGGTATGAGGAGGTTAAGTGGTTCCCTGAGGTCAAATTGCTGATAAATGGCAAAGACCATGAAGTTCCACTCTGTGCCTTGAACCACAACGCTGCCAAGGTTTAGTTACAATTCTGATCCCAGGATATCATATCAGCCTGTACCGCTCTCACAAAGTGACCTTGTGATAAGTAAATATTATTGTTTAGGACTGGAGGAAGGTCAGAAAGTATGCTTGTTTACTCTGCCTCATTCAGTGAGAGGCAAGAACAGAAGTCAGACCTATGGAGGTGAAAATGTAGCTTCATTCTTTACTGATGGACAAAAGCGAGATTGGAAGAGGCTGTGGAGGCTTAGATAACAATAATGGTTTCTTAATAACCCCAGAATTAGAATTACCTACTCATCAGAGAAGGCACGGGCAGCCAGGGGCAGGTCTTCCCTGTTGGACTCAGCTGATGAGAAATTAGAGCCTGAAGAATAAAGAAAGGATGAGGCCAGCCATGCCCATTCTCCAACTCTCCCAACTGATCTGGAAGCAGTGAGAAGAGACACTCAGAGCAGAGCCCAAGGGACATCTGGACATCTGTCCATGTTCAAACAAGTGGGGGGGGAAGAAGAGTCCTCCAAGCAACAATAAACTGGAACTTATTAAATACAGTGTGGTCATAAAACACCACATAGGTCTAGTAGATATCAGAGTTCTAGTATATAATATACTTCATCAGCATATGATCTATGGATAGCGTATTCTTACCATCTGCTTAGATCTGGTGTATATCAAAGTTCTAGTAACATTTTTGTTTGAAAGAAAGGAACATGGTTTCATTGCCAAACATGTTTCTTAGCCATTCCTCTGAAAAGATGCAAATAAGTTATCCTTTTTCAACATCCCTTTTCAAAATGTTCAACTTGTTGCCATTTCCAAAGGATCACTTAGAAATTTTGAGACAGGCTTGTTCTGTTCACGAAATATAACTACACTCGTTGATTTAAGGCACACTCTCTAAAGTTTTTCTACCTGTGTGCTTCCAGCCCATAGTATTTTATCTCTGTTCCAGGGCCAAGCAGTAACTGATAAATATTTATGTTCTCAATAAATATTGGAATTACAAATGACTGATGAGGAGGCTTGCCTTGTGCCAGAAAATTACGTAAGACAAAGACTGTGTTTTCCCACTCTTTGAGACTGAGCGACCAGCAGTGGTTGTGAAACTCAGCGGCCTATTAGAGTCACTCAGGCTGCTTTTTAATTAGTGAGGAAGTCTGGGGCCCAGCCCAGACTCACCTCATCCAAATCCCTGGAGGTAGGACCTATGCATCCTTTATTTTACATGCTCCTAAAAAATCACAGGAAATGAAGTAAATAAGGACAGAAGATATTAAGGAAAAATTGTTTTATAAAAAAGTTTCTATATTTAAAAGAAAAATCATCAAAATTAAAACAGTCTAAAGCAGTTATCAAAAAGCCTCTGTGCTCTTGAGGCGACAAAAGGAAACAAAAGTTACGCCCCAGGGGCTGTGCCAGAGACAGAGCCTCCTGGGTTGGTCCAGACTTGTCAGTTCCTGAGAAGGTCCAAGCTTGGGTTGTTTGCCTGCTGGAAGAGGACCCCTGTCAAGTGCAAGTCAGAAAAGGGCATCTGCAGCTGATTCCCCTGCCAGGCCACCCATTGGTGAAGCCCTATGTGAGCCAGTCATCCATGTTCCTCTCTAAAACGCCTGTCACCCACAAGCATCTATCAACAGTTATTGGATACACAGTTTTGTCCGAGGGACGGTGTGAACAAACAGCAACCTCTGTCAGTCACATGTACATCATGAAGAGAGGATTCCAGAGTGCAAGATGCTGAGTAGCAGGGATTCCAAGATGCGGTCCTGCTTCTTCCCTTCCAGAACTCAATATAGTAAATGATTCTATCGAACTGGAGGGAAAAAATATATGGGCTTGAGAAGAGACTACTTACAAAGCATGTAGTGAATTGCTGATATGACATCAAGAGAGAAAGGAATGTTTTATTAATGAAAATTTTTCCATCACTACCGTGTATAAATTACCAATTAGCAGAAAATTAGAATACAATGCAATTATTTGATGGGCATCGTTTAATTTTTTGATGAATCAGAAGGTACATGTGCTTCTAAGCCAACAGTAAGGCAGTCATCAGTGTTGCAGCAGTGAATTTCTGACAAGCTTATTTGTTATTTAGCAGATCAATCTAATTAATCTATTAAGCTAATTAACAGACTGGCAGAGTACACTTTATCAGCATATGATCTGTAGTTTGCATATTCTCACCATGTATTATTGAATATATTGCATAAAATATTTGAAAGCAATGCATCCACTAATAACGCAAGCCCTACCTGCAGTAAAGTATGATAGGGTAAGGAATGATCCTCAAATGAACCGAGCAAATACTGGGAGGAGATGGAGAAGGAAGAGGGAAGTTTACAGATTCACAGGGGAACATTCTCCTGATACTGATCTTATTTTCTATGTCCCAAATGCCAGTCTTTTAATGACTCACTCGTCCCCTGAGCAAACCAAGAACAAGTTTTTTGGGTTAGATGATTGGCACATTGGGGATGAGCCTGCTGACAATATGTAGAAAGACGGAAAGTGTCCTCAGATTTGGGGGACATTATTTGTTACTCACATGAGTGTAAAGGTTTGACACATCTTCCCCCATTCCAAAGTAAAACAGCCAAAACCTTTTGTATCAATGGGGTGGAAATACACCCTGAGTCAGATAATCATGGTGTGTTGTTGTAACAAGTAGCACACCCAGGCTAAACCTGGTAAGATGGGGGTTACCCACAGGTTTTTGCCTGATCTGGGAACTAGAATTGATATTCCTCAAACTGGAAATAACTTTACTGTTTTTTCAGGGAGTAAAAATGATAGTATGACTTATAAAATCCCAAATGATATATAAATATATAGAGAAAAAAATTTCCTGACACATTGTTACTTAGAGATGAGTGCTGTTTAAAATGTGGTAAATATCTGTGCAGACGCTTCTCTGCACATCTGTAATTTTATATAAGTGGACTCATTCGTTTATTAACTCACTCTGTTACTTTAAAATATTATGGTTATGTTTCTATGTCAATGTGTACATGTTTTTGCCATAATTTTTTATAACTTCCTAGGATTTCATTTTCTGGCTATACCAAACTTTTAACTATTCCTCAAATAAGTTTAACACTTATTGTCAATTTCTCAATGTTATTAACAATGTTTCAGTGACCATTCTTATATATATGTTATATCTTTGTGATGTATCAGCTTTTGACTTTAGTATCAATTCTTACAAGTGGAATTGCTGGGCCAAGGCCATATACATTTTTAAGGCTTTGGTTCCTATTGTCACTTGCCCTCCTCCAGAAAGGTCATCCCAATTTACTCTTCCACCAGCTGTATTTGACGAAATCGAAAACATTATTTCTAATAATTAGGCAGAGTCCACCTTACTCGGGTACTATCTTAATAAACTGTGAAGCATTGGTTAATACCAGTCTTTATGAAATAACAAAATGTTTGGTTGAGAATGGCTGAATTTGAACTCTGGGATGAGGTCTGCATATCCCTCAGCATATCTGAGGAGCATAAAGGCCCAGGGGTCAGGTTCCAATGTGTCCTCACTGAGAAGCCGAGCTTCTCTCTATCAGTCTGGCCGAGAGAAGAGCTTCAGGTCACCTTGGATCCCTCTCGTGGTTCCACTTGGTTCTTGCCTTCTCCATCCTGAGGTACCAGTTCTTGACCCTGGTCCGTATTTCTGGTCCCGTGTGGTTCCCATCTTTCTGTGTGAACCACAGGAGAGCCTCTGTATCCCGCATCTCTGTCTCGCTAGGCTGAACTCTCCTTGCTGATCTTTGGCATCTGCTGTCTTTATGAGACAAGATAACTTGGAGAATTTCTAAAGCTGTGTTGATTGAAAAAGATTTGTTGTGAGAAGTTCCATACAGACATAGATCTACCATGTCCTGTAAGTGTCCACCAAGCGTGTAAATTAGGATACCGTTTATGAGACACCCCTCACACCTACATTTCACTCCAGCCGTGCATTGCAACCACCATCTTCCCATCTGTAACCTCATAGCCTCCTGCCTGAGCTGCACTGGCTAGCTTGTGCTTTCTGGATTTCACTCAATAATGTACCTTTGGATGGAAGTTCCATCCTTCCATTTGCCTCTGTCCAGTCTCCCACTCCTGTTCTTTGGGGATATTTTCCCAAAATAAACTATATGCAAGCCCTTGTCTCAAGCTTTACTTTTTGGTAGAACCAAGGCTAAAATACTGCCCAACGTGAAACCTTGCGATAAAAGAAGTGGCTTTCATTAGTAGCAAACACTTTCTTCTGAACTAACTATTCGATGTTAGATGTGCCAAGGAGCTCTTCTTAAAACAAAACGTTAGCATTAACTTGCCATAAAGATGGCAGGTGTTCTAGAGTTAAGATCTTAAGGCTGCTATTGAGAAAGCCAATGGTAAAATTGAACCAATAGTTATAATTCAATTTTGAGAAAATAGAGGGAGAATAATACATCCAAAAATTATTTCAGTGTCCTTATACCAAATAAGTTCCTGTCCTAAAATATTCAATAAAAGCCCTCATCACCTATGCATATATATGGATAATTTTTAAGCAGTTGCCTTGGCTAAATAAATTTGAATCCTTCATTTAAATATAAAAATAAATTTATATTTAATATTCATTAAATATAAATATCATTTCAGAGAGTAAAATTTTATTAAAATATTTTTGTTTATAGTCTTTTTTTAAGACACTTTACAAGAAACAGATTTTTTTAAAGACAAAGATACACAGTTTTGAATTTAAAAGGCTCCACAATAAACACTCATAATGCAAACGAAAATATTTTCCCCAAATATTTTCCCTGTGCTAGTCTAAAAAAATGCTTTCCACAAACTAAACATAGCCTAAGTTTCTATGATGAATTTTACTAATCCTAATATTGAAAGAATAAGAAAAGAGGTAAGCCAATGTACTCGTGACAATCTTTGTTCTGCTCTATGATCAGTTTTTGAAATCCTAATTCAAACTGGAACTCCAGATAATAGTTATGAACTCCAGATTAATTCCACCCCCCCACCACAGTTTTACTGTCACTTTTTTAATACTTGCGAACTCTAATCCATATTAGATACTTATAAACTCTTTAATCAAAAATCTTTCTAGAAATATCCAGAATAAGCAAATCCATAGAGTCAAAAAGTAGACGAATGGTTACCAGTGGCTGGGAGGGGGGAATGGGTGACTGCTAATGGGTCCACGGTTTTGGGGTGATGAAAGCATTCTGAAATTAAACAGTGGTGATGGTTGCACAACTTTGTAAATATGCTAGAACCACTAAATTGTACATTTTATAATGGTGAATTTATTACATATGACTTATATCTCAATTTTTAAAAGCCTTTAAAAAAAAAAAAAAAAAAAACCTTTCTAAAACCACTTAATTTTTTTTCCCCTGGGAAAATATTTATAACCACTTGTGCTCACCCTTTTTCTTTTGCTTTTTCTGCTAGAGAAAGGAAGGACCACCAGGAACCCCCCACCTGACCTCCTGACAGTCTCAGTCAATTCCGGCCCTTTGCCATGTCATATTGCAGGAGGACAGAGCATCCCTTTGGCCCCCAGGCTGAAGTTTAACCCCTATGATCCCACCCAGTTGGACACCTCTATGGTACACTGCACATTTTATCCATTTGACTATCAGGAAGCTTGACCGCATTATTCCCTTGATCAGGACTGTCGATTTCATGCTGTCATCAACGGTAGGGCAGCAAAGAGGACAGCTGTAACAATCACCAGGACCTAATCCCTCCCACGAGCCGCTGAGCACCAGAGGCACACGTTAATATTCAGTAGAAGAGTCATGGAGGCTTGGCTTTTTATTCACAAGGAAAAAAACAATCCCTATTGGCAGCTGAAGAGACAGCCCCTCTGGGGACCAATTATTCTATTTTGTGCTGTACATACTGCAGCAGGCTGCTGCCAGCCCCCCTGGGAGCCGCTCCGCTGGGTTTCCCTAACGGAGGCCAGGCTGGTGCTCTAGACACAAGTTGTTCTTCATGTCAAAACTCCTGCTAATGACACAATTAAGTAACTGGGGACCACGGAGAAGCTCTTAATTAGGTAAATACTGCTCTCTGGGAAATGATTGCCCAGTTTTAGGCAAGTCATTGCTGTCAGATTGCTAGAAGATGCATGCTCTGTGGACAAATGAAGCAGCATTTTAAGATCCCGATTTCTCTCTGATTCTTTCTTTTTATTTCGTAGTGGAGAATACTTACCATTTTTTTAAGAAATAGTGCAGGTTGCTCTATTTTAAGAATTTATGTCCTTTAGGTTTGCAAAAGGAAAGGGATCACATAGGGAGGAAAGGATGGCTAAATATTCTCTCAGGTACAGAACACTTTGATTGCGTATGACCATGTTTTGGAAATCTCTCAACAACTGATGTCATCTTACATTGGCCAAATTAAATTTACACATGCTTGGATTAATTTTTTGTTCAGAACCTCCCTGCCCTTCTTGCATTTCAATATGAATCATACATTTCAATATTGTTTTCCTATTCTTCATTCAGATTATTTTTTAAATCAGGTTATATTTAAGGGCTGTTGGAGATATGCTGCAAACATGATTTCTGCCATCTATGAGCTATGTTTTTATGAGCTCCATTTTAGCCAGGAGGCTGGAAAAGTCACATCCCACTGGCAGATTTGAGCAGGGAGGGGAGGTCATACATGATTTTGCAAAGTAGTTCTTACTTGCATTTCTTTTAGTTCACATTGTTTGGGTTTGGGTGTTTTTTAAATATATTTTTAATATGGAAACCATTTGTCTCAGTTTAGGGAACTGAGTACATGCTTTCTGAGAACTCCTCTGCTTGTCAATGATGTTTCCTTTGATAAAGAAACTTGGAAGTTTCGTTAATTCACCTTTTTGTATTACAAAATGACAAGCTGAAGAAGTTTCTCCCAATTACATATTGATCTAATTATTTATTATGAATATCTATTGTGGCATAATAATATTTATAGGAACAGCAGGCATGTCCATTGTTATCATTCTTTATATTTTTGATTTATGCTTATGTAAGATTAGCTGAATCTATGCTAAAATTGAAATTCATTTGATCATATCAATCATGGGAAAAAGTCAGCACAATTCGATTGCTTGTGGATTGGGAAATTCAGTGGTGAAGACCACATTCAGTGGTGAAGACATCTGATTGGCCACTTCACCATGGTTCTCATTGTGTAGTTTTCAATTGCATGCAGTTACTCATTCTTAGTACTCATTCTTTGCTACTTTTATTAACCTGAGTTGCTACCTATTCAGTTAAGATCACTGGTGGGAGACAGAAAGAGGAGTCTGCCTTCTCTTTGCTTTGCACTGGTCTATGCACCTTGCTCCATTTCCTTTCTTATTGTCCCTGCTCTCTGGCCACTTCCTACGACCATCTGCCCCATCATCTCTGCTCCTCTTCTCTACTTCTTCTGATGGTCTCTACTCTCTCATCTTTTCTACTTCCCTTCTGACTCAACTGATACCCATCTACTTTCACAGGTAGTCCACCAGCTCCCCTCCACCCCTGCTGTTCATGCCCTTTGTCTCCAATGAGGCCTTCAAAATCTTCCCCCTTCCTGCTTCACTTCGTTTTCCCACTTGATACTCCTAAGCCCTGCCCAGCTGAAATTCCTTGGTCAAACATTTCAGCTGTGCTCTCCCACTCACTGGGGACCCTCAAGGCCCCTATGACCTACTCTTAGGCCTGCTGAGCCAACCACAACCCCAGATTACTCTCAAAGTCTGCTTTTCGGTTCTTGATTTTAGACTTTGGAGAGTCACTGAAGAAAGTCTTGGACATGGGCAGACCTGATCCATGTGTGGAGCAACTTCAGTTTTAATCCATAAATCTTTCATTCCTTTAGGCTGTAGAGCCTAAAACACTCCCTACAGAAGTTGTATAATGCCTTCTCCCTCCTGAAATATACAATCTTAATACTGCCTCTTGACTTTTGTTTAGCAACTGTTTTTTGATCATCTCCTTCCTACTCTGAATGGTAGCTAAATGCTGAAGATGTAAGGGTAAAGAAAGCAGGTGCTGCACCTCCCTGCAAAGAGTTTATCACCTATTGGTTATTGTTAGAAGGTTGGGTGGAGGACAGATAAGTAAATAGAAGATCATGAAACAGTGCCATGAAAGAGCACAAAGAAGGAGAAGAAACATGAAACTTTGGGCCAGGAAAAGCTTTGGCAGGTCATTCACCTTCTTCATTTGCTGAAATCAACGACATTCAGTATGAACTTCTTTAGCTAACTTCCTCTGAACATGCAAGAATTTTGGTCTCTTTGATTCTGTCTTTAATCTCATTTCAGCCTCAGAGGAAATGCTGTCATTCTCCACCAGAAGTCTACTCTTCCATCTGCTCTGTTGATGCCATTCTCTCCAGCCTAGTCAGAAACACCATCACCTAATTCAGTGGTCCCCAACCTTTTTGGCACCAGGGACCAGTTTTGTGGAAGACAATTTTTCCGTGGACCAGGGGGGTTGGGGGAGATAGTTTCAGAGGCATTAGATTCTCATACGGAGTGCACAACCTGGATCCCTCACATGCACAATTCACAATAGGATTCGCGATCCTATGAGAATTGAATGCTGCCATTGATCTGACAGAAGGCAGAATTCAGGCAGTAATGCTCGCTTGTCCCCTGCTCACCTCCTGCAGTATGGCCTGGTTCTGGTCCATGGCCCAGGGGTTGGGGACCCTTGACCTAAATCATCACTCTTTATAGAATGTTACATCTCTCTTTTCCCAGGGGCATCTTTCCCTTTGCCTTCAAAACTGCACACCTTCATCTGAATAATGATTAAACTCTGCTGCTCACCATTAAAATGGGCTGATTGCTCCAAGCAGTATCTAGAAAGAAACTGTTTCTAGTTCTTCACCCCTAATCATTTTTCTAGATTTTTGCAAAGAATAATCATTAAATATTTCATATGTATAAAAAAATAAAGAATAGTTTATATAGTATACTTTATGTCAGAGTTTGTTTCCTGTTGTTATAATAGAACACCTGGGCTGGGTGTGGTGGCTCACACCCGTAATCCCAACACTTTGGGAGCCCGAGGCAGGCAGATCACCTGAGGTCAGGAGTTTGAGACCAGCCTGGCCAACATGGTGGAACCCTGCCTCTACTAAAAATACAAAAAAAAAAAAAACACACACACACACACACACAGAAAAACAATTAGCCAGGTGTGGAGACGGGCACCTGTAATCCCGTCAGAGGCTGAGGCAGGAGAATTGCTTGAACCTGGGAGGCAGAGGTTGCATTCAACAGAGATTGTGCCATTGCACTCCAGCCTGGGCAACAAGAGCAAGACTCTGTCTCAAGAAACAAAACAAAACAAAACAAAACAAAAACACTTGACACTGGGTAGTTTATAAAGAAGATAGGTTTATTTGGCTCATGATTCTGGAGGCTGAGAAGTCCAAGAAGCATAGCACTGACATCTGCTTGGCTTTGGTGAGGACCTCAAGCTGAATCAAAACATAACAGAGAAGAGGAAGGGGAAGTGGGAGCATGCAAAGGGCATGAGAGGCAGCCTCACTTTGTAGCAACCTGTTCTCAGGCAACTAGTCCATTCTCAAGAAAACTAACCCAGTCTCTTGAGAAAGACAGTCTATCTTTTCGACCTAATCACCTCTTAAAGGTACCACCTTCCAACACTGTTACATTGGCAATTAAATTTCCACATGAGTTTTGTGAAGGATAAACTACATCTAAGCCATAGCACTCTGTTAATTGATTAACTGAATTCATTCACTCACTCATTCATTCATTCAAAGGTGTAATAAAGATTCTTGTGCTTACTACTCAATAAAGTATTAGAAATCAAACATTATTCGATCAATTGTGGCTCTCAATATCATTCTCCTCCTTGCCACATGGAAAGAACAACTCTCTTGATTTGGTGTTTCTCATTCCTATGCATTGCCTTATACATTTGCTACATACTTATTCTAAAACACAACTTATTATGAAACTTCAAATAAATGGGACTATGCCTATATAGCCTTCTGCAAATTATTTTTATGTAATATTTTGTATCTTGAGATATACCCATGTCGATAGGTATATTTTTCTCCTGAATTGCATTCCATTGTTTTTTGTGTATCTACTCATGCACACAAACACATACATACATACAAGGGTCCCATTTATAATCCATTCTCCTGGGGTTATAAATTTAGATATTGTAAAACAATGTGTGCAGTTTCTTTTTTCCATGAATATTCTTGTTTGTTCTTTCTTATGAACACATGTGAGAGCTACTTCAGGGTAGAGATATGGAGTGGAATTGCTGGGTCGCTTGAACAAATAAATGTGAACAACACTGTGATTGCCACCTTGGTCTACAGAACCGCCTTGGAAATACAGAGCCCACTTGGTGGCTGTAAAATAAAAAATAAAGCGGGAGGAGATAATATGTCATGATGGTATAATTATGGTGGGAAACAAAACACAAATCTTAATTTCAAATCTGTGTAGTAATCGTTATACCCAGCTTCCATTGGCATATTGAAAGACATTGAAATCCAAAAGCTAGATTTCAAGATTTGGCTTCCAACTAAGGTATTTTAAATTAGAAAACATGGTTTGTGCATCAGATTTTTTTAAGTACCTTTGCCCATCTCTCTGTTCTTTTTATTTTAAAAACCAGTGAACTCTTTTCTTGTTAACCTACCCAGCACAAGCTTGGCAAAATAATTCCAGAGGACATGTGTTACTCTCATGATTGGGGTCCAAATTAGTCTAAATTAACCTGCCGTGGCAGTCTGCAAATTCCTTTCCCTACCCTGAGCAGTTTTTTTCCTCTGCTCAACTATGGTAACTAACAACTGTGCAATGGTTCTGAAACCAAAACCACAATTGCAGTACTTATATTTAGACCATTGCCTTGTGTTGCCAATTTAGAAAAGATGTGGTTAAACCAACAGTCGCTTCGACTGCTGGCATTTCTCATGTTTTAAATTAAAAATAAGTCGATTCTTCTTCTATAACAAAATTAATTTGCCATTGACACACGAGTTAAATGACACATTCATCAAGATACTTCTCACCAATATAACAAACTGAGCATCTTACCCTAAAAGCCTCATGGGAGAGTAATTTGCCAATATTTAGTACTTATTCTGTTTCAGTGATTCCAGCAAATATAAAAAAAACTATTTTAAAGTTTTACAAAAATTTGCTGATGGTGAGATTAATTATATAACTGGCATTAATATTTGACAGTTTTCATATGTTCTGAAGACACTCTAACCAAAGGAGAAAAGTCAAAACACGTTGAGATGCCTAGTGGAAATGAGATTTCCTGTGAAAAATAAATAGCACTGATTTATTTTTGTCTTGCCTATCAGTATGTATTAATGGACACAGGAAGGTATCGGGGGAAATGTTGAGACATCCATAAACAAAGATGTGAAGACTTTTCTATCTAGAACCTTCTGAAGAATGGATAGATGTGTTGCTGTTATTCCCACCACAGTACACAAAAACGTTGGAAATGTACCTTTTCCTTAGAATTGTTCTGGATAAATTTTTCAGAAGAAGCCTACAATCTGTGGAGACACACAATCTCTCGCATGTCATAAGCCATATTATAAGTTTAATGTCCTATGGATTTAATAGAGACAATCTATGTATTAGCCAGTTGGTGACAGAAAATAATAGCAATTGATTTGCAGCAAGAAGAAGGAGGTATTTTTAGAAGAAACTTTTCTCTGTGTTAAGAAATACAGCCAAGCAGTTGAGAAAAGATTTTTAATAAAGATCTGTTGAAGTCACTTTGCGTGTGAGTGGCCTCTTGATTCTTATCTGATTATTAGGGCTAAATGCACAGTCCCTCATGTCAATGCAGGCAATTATGAAACAAAACCAAAGTTTCATTCATCAGCATTGCGTTCTGGCCACCAATGTCATTTCTTCTTTTTGTGACATGGAAGTCATACATTAATTTTATGCCCTCTTTAGCTGGTTTTCGTTCTTTCCATGGTGGTAGATGATATAACTAGTTACATGTCTTGAATAATTAGGAGCAGGTATAACATAATCTACTGAAGACCTTTTCCACATCCTATATTATCAATAAAAATGATTAAATTGGGCCTATAAAATGATAGGGTATATATCCACATTACTTTGTTTTTTGTTTGCTTGTTTTACTTATAAAAGGTAGGTGACACCGAAGTCAGATATTTGTATGTATTCTCAGCAGCAAATTTTCCTCCAAAGCTTTAGATAATAGGAATGTATTTTGAAAAAGGCTGCAACTGAATGATTGAAAATAAGAAAGGATAAATAAATTGGACAAAAAAATAAATCTGGTTAAATAATACTTTAGTTTCAGTGGAAGACAAAAGCAATAAGGGATTGAATTTACAGGATATAAACTAATTAGGAGAGGTTTTGCTTGTAGATGGAATTATTGAAAAAGACTTAGCTTCCTTTAATGAAAATCATCATCATCATTTTTAAGAGATTACAGGCTATGGAAAGATTGACAGTTAAACAAAGTGTATTAATGTGAATAAATAGGTCACTCACTGACCATCACTGAGCCACTCTGAGCAGCAATACTTTATAAACCAATATCTTAAATAGACCTGTATTGGTTAAAAAAAGTATTTAGTTAGAATGATTAACAACCAGATATTAATGATTCAATAGATGTCATTCTTATTATTGCCAGAGAAGGGTCTAAGCTCTATCTTAGGAATCAACAACCTTTGAAGTGGTCTTTTTCTTCCAGGCTTAAAACCATTGCCTTGACCTGGTTGGGCCATTGGCGAGAATGCCATGAAAACCTTAGATGTGCCGGATCCCTGACACCAATGTCCTGACCACTTCCTAACTCAGAAAATTACATTCTGATTATCGATGCTCTCTTCTCGTGGCTGTATTTTTACAAGATTAATGACGCTGGTTGGAATCTCATTTCCCCTTAGAATTAATGCTGCAAAATTAATGAGCCACCTGGTCACGTTTCAAAGGGTAAATAAATGACCATTCTTCTTATGGGTCAGGGTCAGGGATGACTCCTCTGTGACTCACAAGCCAGGAATGAACACAAGTGATTAGACTCGTGGGCCGAGAAGCCAACGGCAGTCATGAGGGTGCCCGGCAAGAGTAGTTGAAGAAGGAGCTTATCATCGTTCTCCAATCTAGTCAATAGTCTGGGTTTTCCAGGACTCTTTAGAGTTAAAGTTGCTAAGAAAAGGCAGCACACATAGCTCTGTGAGCCTCCTTGCTTTCTCAGGGTGTATGCTCTTGTGTGCATGTACACACATAAATACACACACACACACACACACATACACACACACACACAATATACATTCCATTCATGCAGGAGGTGTATTTTCCAAACTTAGCATAAGACCTAGCACCTGCTATGTGTTCAATATATGTTTGAGGAAAGAGTGGAAAAGGGAAGGAGAGAAGGAAGGGGGGAGGTAAGAACAGAGAAAGAGGAAAAAAAGGACAATTTTCTCACTGAAAAGCTTGTGAGGACTTGACCTTAAAAATCAAAACAAGGATGCAAGGTTTTCAAATCCTAATACTGTTGCAGGTTATTGTTCTCAACCCCGGGATCATCCAAAAGTGACAAAATTCCTAAGAGACGTTTTGGTGCCCTGAATGAAGTTCCCTGAGAGATTGCATCCAGAAATCTATATTTTTATGAAGTTCTCAGGTGAATGTAGCATTTCTCTTTGGGAACTGTGGGAACCTTTTGCTGAATTCATACCTGACTTAACCTATATTGTTGGTGCCCCATTTTTAATTTGCTCTTCAATTGGGACAGAGATTTCAAAAGGTAGAAAATGCCACAGAGACTATTGTTATACAGCTTTGCAAATGGAAGTCTAGAGATGCAAAAGCAATGTGATAAACCTCAAACAACACGGTCTAGCCTAGGACCCTTGCTTTCCCATAGTGGTCCTGAGATTTGTCAACAATGCTATATCATGTGCCCAAGCATATTTTCCAGGCTCAAGGTTGCATTCAGAACAGTTCAGTTTCTCTTAACTTGTCGGGAGACAACAGTGCCTCGTACTTAAAGGTGATGGCCCCAGAGTCAGCTGGCCCATGTTTGAATCCTGCCTCCACATTTAAATCCAATAGCTATTAACGTCTTGAGCAAATGCTTAACCCTGTGCCTGGGTTTTCTCACTTGTAAAATGGGCTACAAGTGTGATACTTGTACAATGAGAGAGAAGGAGGTAGAATCTGTCTCACAATACAGATTCATCAGTTACTATATTAAGTAAGTACTTAGTAGAGTCTTCAAAATGGAGCTATTCTTATATATCTAATTTCTTATATATTTTACTATGTATAGAATATCTTATATTTGTATATTTCTTAAATTCGGTATTTCTTAGCAACTTCAGCACAAAACTTGCAGACTGTGATGACTCATTTGGCACTGAGATGAATACAGGTCACACCTGGACAGCAGAGCTGCAGATGGAGCTGGCTGGCTGTCTATAGCCTTCTTCTCAGTCCTTAAACTTCCTGGTGAACAAGAATCACCCAGAGAGCTTGTTAAATATGCACACCGCTAGGCCTCATTCTCTGGAGCATCTCATTCAATGTATCTAGGGTGGGGCCCATCATCTGCTTTTTGAAGCAGGGCCCTGATTACACACACCATGGGCCAGGCTTTGAGACATGGCTTTATCCCACATAGAACCAAGTCTGCGTCCTTTCATCATGCTGCCTTCATCTCTCTGACAGCATGTGGGTGGAACATCAGGGACCAAGTCAGAGGTCTCTTGCAAGATTTGCAGGTCCTAAAGGCAACCACACCTGCCTCTGACCTTCCAGTGCAGAGCCTGACTTGTCTGCACAGGGCCCCTTCTTGATTGACCTGGAGGCATGTTCTCTTGTGGCAGAGTCTAGACTGAGAAGGCCGCTATCCTCATACCATTAATATATCTCTCTGGATTGAAAGCAAATGATCAGGGGAGATTGGAAAGCCTTTCCTTCTGATTTTCCCCCTCCCTTCCCCCTGGTGCAATCCCGACAATTATCTGGAGTCTCATGCACAGGCTTGGAGTTGAAGAACCCACACCAAGTTCTCCATATGTTTCGCATGGGGAGAAGGGAGGTTGCTCTTTGTGCACGTTCATCCTGGCTGGTGCACAAGCATACACACACACTCGCATCCTCATGGGCATCACGGCAGTTCTCAGGAGCATTTCCTCCCAACAGGAAGCACACTGACTGACTTCCTCCATGTGGAAGGACTGTCCTCCTCTGAAACCTCTGTGACACTCTGTCATGGCACATTTCTCATGACACTTGGCCCTTATTCCTCATGCAGTCATTCTTTAAGGATCATTTACATTTGGAGGTATAATGCAGTTGACACTCCCTCTTCTATGTGACAAATTACTTTTTTTTTTTTTTTTGAGACAGAGTCTCACTCTGTCGCCAAGGCTGGAGTGCAGTGGCACCTTGTTGGCTCACTGCAACCTTTGTCTCCTGGGTTCAAGCAATTCTCCTGCCTCAGCCTCCCGAGTAGCTGGGATTACAGGTGCCCACCACCTTGCCCAGCTAGTTTTTATATTTTTAGTAGAGACGAGGTTTCACCATGTTGGCCAGGCTGGTCTCAAACCCCTGACCTCAGGTGATCCACCCACCTCTGCCTCCCAAAGTGCTGGGATTATAGGTGTGAGCCACCATGCCTGGCCACAAATTACTTTTAGCAGTACTCATATAATAATTGTGATCTACAACATTAATTTCAATTTTTAAAATACCACTTAAATTCTGTACCTACACCATGTGGGAACTAATATTTGCGCCTACCAAGCAAAATTATCACGCCTTGTAGTTTACACTCGGTTTCATTATTTTAAGTTTTCAGTTTCATTGTTTTAACTTTTAAACATTAAAAATCCAAAGGGACACATAGAACAAAAAAATATGTAATTCAAGCTCGATTTTTTGGACTTTATAATCAGAGTGTTATCATCAACTATTTTGAATCCGCCCTTTAAATCCAAGAATGTTATATGGGTTGGAGATAAGAATAGACCTCAATTAGTGACAAACTTAGACTCTCAAAACAAATACATGCAGCTGAGTCCTTAGGGAACACTATATAACTGGAGTTCTGGAATTAACTTCCCTGTAGAACCAAATGTTTATTAAAGGACAGCTAATAAAGATGTGCTAATTGAAGTTGACATAGATATTATTATCGAAACTCAACAGTAATTGCAGCAGTTATTTATAACTCAGACCAGAGGTCAGCAAACATTTTCTGTTAAGGACTAGATAGTAAATAGTTTATTCTCTGTGGCCATCTGGCCTCTGTCACGACTACTCAACTTTGCCGTTGTAGCATGAAAGAAAGCTGCCATAGATAATAAATATGTAAATGAATAAGAGTGACTGGTTCCAATAAAACTTTATCACAGAAACAGACAGCCAGCTGCACTGAGCCAAGCCCTAACTTTTTTGGAGAAGCATTTTATCACAGATATTGTTTAGAATTACTGGCTTTTTGTCAGTTTTGTTATTGTTTTTAAATTCTCTACAGAAAACGCACCTCCTACTGCCAAAGCTGGAATGTCACCCACTGTCTGCTCTTGATACTCTATTATCTACTTCTCACTGTGGCATGGGCTCCTGAAGGCAGGCTTGATGTCCAATGCATCTTGGTGGCCCCAGGTCCTACCAGAGGCCCTTGAACATTGGGTGTGCTTAATGGACATTTCTGAAATACATGAACCCAAATGTACCTTAGATTTAAATCAAGTTTTGCATTTGCTAATTACTTTCATATAACTTACTCAATGTACTGCTAGCAGGCTTCTAAAAAAATAATGTATTATGTATACAGTAAACATATCATCTTCACACCACTAAACAACCATCTCCTAATTTCTCAAAGAAAACATATTTATATAAGTAAATGGTATGTAAATTATCATTTATTTGTATAAATAGTATTTGTTGTATACTCTTTATTTATATTTAGTGTTTAATAATAAATGTTACTTAGTAATTAGTATTATTATTATTTAGTAATAAATATCAAATATAAATAAATAGTATATAACAAATACTACTTACATAAGTAGTAATTAAATAAATACATATTTTAAACAACTACTTATATATTTTTAAATAATTAAATATTTATATAAATACTTAGTATTGAAATAATATATAAGATATATATTTTTATTTAGTAACTAAATATTTACATATTTTAAGTAACTAAATGCTTATATAAATACTTAGTATTTATTTAATATATATTTATATACTATATATTATGCCTTTTTCTTTTCTTTTTTTTTTTTTGAGATGGAGTTTCTCTCTTATTGCCCAGGCTGGAGTGCAATGGTGTGATCTCAGCTCACCACAACCTCTGCCTCCTGGGTTCAAGCGATTCTCCTGCCTCAGCCTCCCGAGTAGCTGCGATTACAGGCATATGCCACCATGCCTGGCTAATTTTGTGTTTTTAGTAGAGATGGGGTTTCTCCATGTTGGCCAGGCTGGTCTTGAACTCCTGATCTTAGGTGATCTGCCCCCCTCATCCTCCTAAAGTGCTGGGATTACAGGTGTGAGCCACCACGCCCGGCCTCTTTCTTGTTTCTTTTGCAAATTTAAGGGCGTCAGCACTTCTTCCTCCGACAAATGTTTTATGCCTGATCAGAATTCTTTGTTCTGTCTTCTTTATCCGCTTCACAGACCAGTTTTCTGAAGCCAGGGCTGCCCATCCTCCTGTCTTGTAATTTCAGCCAACTGTGAAGAAGCCTTTGGCCATGTCACATTAAGAGAACAGGTGCTGCTGCGTCACCCTCTCCTCAGCCACCACGTTCCCCACACTGGCAGGTGCTCCCTCTCCTAAAACAGACACCTGTTGGCATTTGCCATCAATTTGCTTTGTGCAGTGTTCCAGAAGACATCTGCCCTTTGTCTGAAATCTCCCATTTTCTGAAGTCTATTAATTCCTTCTCCTGGGATATGTTTCCTCTTGGCCATCAGTTTTTTTGCAGGATGTGTGCAGACATCTGTTTGCATTTGCTTTCCTGAGACCTAGCAGAGTGTAGGTTAGAAGCAGACCGTCCAGAGCCAGCACAGTGGAGTCGAAGGCTAACTTCTGCTTTTTAGCTGGGTGCCCTTGAGAAAATGCCCTCTTTAAGTCTCAGTTTAGTTTGTCTTTAAAATGAGGACACTAGTCCCTGTTTCGTAGAGTCAATATGGAGATTCAATGAAATCGCATATGCAAAACACCTGATCTAGCACCTGCACTTAAAAGGAGCTCGGCACGTGATATGTTAATGTTATTCTCAGGGCTGCCATATCTGGCTGTGCGGTTTGTGTACTGCACAAAAGCACCTATCCAAAGGAAGTGGGCAGAGGGTGAAAGCGTTGGTTTCTGTCATTAATCTGCCTAGAGGATTCTCCTTTTTAAGTTTGTCTTCCTGGATGGTTATCTTTTGTTTAATTAATCTGCCAGGAAGGATGGCCTTTGTGACTATAGGGAGGTGCTCCCTATAAGCCTTTTATTTCTCCTCTCACTCCCAGGCCCCTCCTTTCATTCTCTCTAGGATCTCTTTCAAAAGCTTTACCCTCACCGGTGAAAGACAAACCCTACATGAAACCCAGACATGGTGGTTAGCCCCTGTTCTTCCTCAGGCGGAGAGGGGCTGTCTACAGTTCAGGTAGGTCACAGCTATCAACCGTGCCACCCTGTGCCGGGGAGGAGTCCCAATGTCTTTCTCTAGCTCGTGGTTGGGTGGAAGAGTGAGATGTGAAAAGAAACAACATCCTTGAAGTGGGGAGTTTAAGGAGGACTTGGGGGGGTCACACACAATGCTCTCAGAGCCAGCAGAGGGGCCCCTGCTAGGCCGGGATGTGGATTTACCTTCAGGGAGGAAGCCACACTTGTTTTGAATCTTAGCCCATGGGGAAGAAATGCCCAGGTATAGTTAGATTGAAGAAAGCACTCCAGGCAGAGGGAATTTGGGATATTTTTAAAAAGTCTAGATCAGCAGGGTTATGCACCTGGCTAAGGAAGAGGTCCCATACATAGTTTTACCAGAACTTTTGAATTCTCAAGCCTCCCTTGTTTTTACACTGTTCCCTGAAGTGGGCAGGACTGGTGTTGCCGAAGCCCCTCACTCTGAGAGGTGAGCAGAGTGGGCTCTGGGACCTGCCTCTTCGGCTGAGGGCTTTGGGGTGAGTCAGTTCCCGAACAGTTCTCAGGCCTTGCTTGACCCCAGGCCTGGACTTTACTCCAGCTCAGCACTGCTGTAACCCGATCTCTGTGGCCACTTGCAGAAGGGCCAAAACCCTGTTCCCAGAAGAGATGCCAGTGCCCAGAGGGCAGCTTCTCTCTGGTCAGTACCTTTACCCCAGTTCACGTAGGAAAACAGCACTTCTGAGTTCAGCAGAAGCTGTCTCTCGGCTTTCTCCAGGAACTGGGGTCAGGAAGTCATTATTTTGTACGGATTACTTTTCCCCCTAAGTGAAAGTCCAGAGAGACTCAGGGGAACCTTTTTCTTAGTTTTCTCATCGCTGAATTGCAGGCCCATGCAAAGAATCACCCCCAGAGCAGCAGCTGGGGACAAAATCCACTCAGCATAGTGTAATACCATGTCACTTAGAAAGAGCTCCAGCCCCTCCTCACTGGAGCAAATCCCATCTGCTGGCCCCACACTCAGAATCTTTAATGGCCCCTCATAGATGGCTGGGTGCAGGCCACCGCCTTGAAGAGCAGCAGAGCCAGGGGTTAAGTGCATGAGTCCTCTTCTCCGGAGACCATTCTGCCTTCACTAGCTGTGTAACCTGGGGCAAGTTATTTAGTCTTTCTGATTCTTACTTTTCTCTTTTGTAAGATGGGCTGATACTACCACCTGCCCCTCAGAGCCACTGTGAGTAACCTGTGAGATCATGCATGTAAGATATTTAGCATTCTGCGTCGCATACAGCAAGCCCAACATACATGTTGGCTATTTCTTCCTTAAATATGTATTGATATTTCAAGTGATGAAAGTAGTACTTGCGCAATACAAAACAACTGAAAAATACTAGACTGCGTATAAGAGGAAAAAAGACAAACATGTCCTCTTCCCATTCTCTCCCCAAAGAGCTGACAAGTGTTCAAAACTTCATATATCTCCTTCTAGTCCATTATCCATGCACGTGAAGTCTTAAAGGTGTATGCACGTTTTTCTCTTTTCCACAAAATAAAAATATAACATACAAGTTATCCTGTAATTTGCTCTTTCTGCCTTACGTATGGTAGAGACAACTTCATAGTAGTACTAGAAGTTCTATCTCTTTTTCTTTATTAACCAAAAAATATTCTACTACGTAACTGGACAGCAATTTATCCATCCCATTGCCCACTGATTGACATACAAGTTGTTACTTGAATATTAATTGTTGACTGTTATAAACGCTACTAAAATAAGCATCCTTGAGTGGACCTCTCTGTGCTTATAAATTCTTAAAGAAGGAATTCCTGGCTCAAAAGATAGGCATATTTAAGGTTTTATGGAAATTGCTTAATTTTGCCTTCCAATATATTTAATTGTTTGCACACCAAACAATAATATACGAGAGAACATTTTCCCAAGACTGACATGAAATGAGGCATCAGAATTTTATAATACTTCAGAACCATCGCACAGATAGACTGCATTTAAAGGGCGTTTACTTACTGATCCTTAATTTTAGAAGCATAAACTTCCATAGCCATCACCACCCAGGTGTGCTCGTCTTTCAGACTCCCCTAAATGGCAATGAGCTGGTCCAATCAGACAAGCTCTCATTTTCATGGAGGGTACATAAAGGAGGGCGAATGTGACTTCCTGGGCTTGTAGATTATGTATTTCTTTTGTGAAAACATCACACCTGAGCCCCAGGCCAGAACTTTCCTTTTTTTTCTTTCTTTTTTTTTTTTTTTTTTTTTTTTTTTTAGAGACAGAGTCTCGCTCTGTCTCCCAGGCTGGAGTGCAGTGGCTCAATCCCAGTTCACTGCAACCTCCACCTCCCGGGTTCAAGTGATTCTCCTGCCTCAGCCTCCTGAGTAGCTGAGATTATAGGTGCACACCACCATGCCTGGCTGATTTTTGTATTTTTAGTAGAGACAGGGTTTTGCCATGTTGGTCAGGCTGGTCTTGAACTTCTCACCTTGTGATCCGCCCCCCCCCCCGCCCTTAGTTTCCTAAAGTGCTGGGATTACAGGCGTGAGCCACTGTGCCCAGCCCAGAACTTCTTTAATAAATAAAGCCAACGAGTTCTTGGAAGCATTTGGCTTCCAAAAGGACCCAGCCTACATCACATTCGCAAGAAGGGGTGACAGGACTCACGGTTTCTGGGTCACAGTTCCATGTCCACCTTTGAGTAGAGTCTTTCATAAGTTTGGACAATGTACCACCCTCTCTAGAACTTGATTTGCTTCTCTAATGGATGGACTGGCCCTAAAGAAAGCAGAGACTTGAACCGACTGTCCCAGAGAGTATGACAAAAACAGATCTCTTTCTACAGCATTTCCCGAGAATTATCCAGAAGACGTATTTTTTTTTTAACAATCCAGAATTTCTGATATTTTCAACTTTCGGGGATATTGACTCATTTAAATACTGGTCAACTGTATTGAGAAGGGAATTGTATTGGGAAGAGAGCCCTTCAGGAAAAATTGTCAATGAGGAAATTATTTGTTTTCTTGTAACCGTATCATAGTTAAATCTCCATCAGTAGTGGATGGACAGAACCAAACTGCTAGTGTAAAAAGAAGATCTGAATACTTGTCCTGATTCTTTCACTTAGTAGCTGTGTGACCTGGAGCAAATTACTTAACCTCTCTGATTTGCAGTTTAGTTATGTGAAAAATGAGCATAAGTCCCTGCATAATTCATACGGAGGTAGTGAGGATAAATGTAATAATAGATGTAAAAATGTTGCAGTCCACTGGGAAACAGTAATACATGAAAGGTATGCTTAATATTTGGTTGTAAAATATAGCCTTTATTCTATGATGTCCGATTTTCTTGGCATTCACAACACTTAGAACCCACTAATAAAGCCATGCTAGCAAGAGTACAATTAAGGACAAGTTGGAAAACTGCCCAGTTCCCATGCATTTGATCTTAGTGAAGCACAGCACATTTGAAAGGACTGTGGATGCAGGAGCTGCATTTATGGGGAAGTCCCTCCATGAGGCCCTCTC
Organism: Homo sapiens; assembly: GCF_000001405.40. Lineage (NCBI taxonomy): Eukaryota > Metazoa > Chordata > Mammalia > Primates > Hominidae > Homo > Homo sapiens. The sequence goes on along the minus strand of NC_000021.9, from coordinate 35,223,584 downwards.
CATCTACCCACCTGACCTCTTATCCTTCTACCCACTCCCGAACAATTTGCTCGGCTCAGCCCCCTCCGATCCAAAGCCTCTGTGATTCTAAGACCCAGGTGTGTTCTGGAGAAGATTAATCACAGGCAGACACAACTTTGCATTTCTTCCTTTCCCACCCACCTAACTTATTTCCACCAAAAAAAAAAAAAAAAAAAAAAAAGCCTTGAAGCAGGCTGGCAGAAGATAAAAGGGTCTCCAGTTTAGGTAGATATGCAAGAAAGGGAGAGCTGTTTGTAGAAACATCAGATCTTTCTTGGCCATGACTGGGCATCACTTTGCCCCATCTCCCATCTTTCCATAGCTAGAAGGAAGGATTCTCCTGGATACCTTCAAGGTTCATTTAAGTAGGACACAGAACTCATTGGCTCCCTTGTTCCTGGACTTCCCCTGCTAGTGGTGTGGTCTTTTCCTGACTAATCAAATCCCAGGAAACTTAGGAAACAAACTACAGAACAAGATATAATTTTGCAGGTGATTCAGCAGCTCTCAGATTTCTGTTCAGCTAGAAGGCAAATTTATCCTTCAAACCAGTATACCCATTTCTTCACATCTCCTGTGTCCCAGCAGTTGGATAAACTCTCCAGGTAATGGTGAATCAAGAAAAGGTCATCTGACAAGCTCAGTGAGTGAAAATGGCCCATCCCACTTTGCTGAAGTCACATCACGGGCTTGCTGTCACTGAAGGTCATTGCCATACCACTTCCTACAGGTCTTTGACCTCAAGGGCCGGAGGAACACTTTTCTCAGGCTCCTTTCTCCCCATTGCTGTGGTCCACAAATGTATTCACTGAAACAAGTAATTCTGCTTAGTTCCGAAATAAAGAAACTTAGGTCAGAGTTCTAACCAGAAACAGGAAATGCAGCCAGGGGAGGACAGAGTCAGAGGAAATTAGGCAGGGTGACTAGAAGAAAGAGGTTTTCAGAAATGCTTTCTGAACCTACTCCAGCACTCTGCCTCCCTGGAAGGCTGTAAAATCCATGCAGTTTATCCCAAATTTCCCACGTACAACACCAGACTCCTTCCTGGCATTAACATTGCTTTCCCTTCAGCACAACCTCTGCTCTCTGTTGCTAATTCAGTTTCAGTGTCTCCTTTCTCATGAACTCATACTCTCATGACCTGTAGCATGTGCAAAAGTAATTTAACGTATTTCACCTGATATTCTCTTTGGAATTCTCAGATGGTGGCATGAAAGTATAATGTAACTTCTGCATGTAAATGATGGATGTGTGAGTTTGTACGTGTGTGTGTGTGTGGGGTGCACACATGTTTGTGTTCACTCACCTGCCTGCGAGCCCATGTGCTCTAGCAATAGGATAGGAAGAGAGCTGTCCATGGTATGTCATTCATTCATTTGATATGTATTTATAGATCTACCACACACCATGCACCACTGTGCCTGCATGACCAGCTACAGGATGAAGAACAATTGCAATGAGGCCCTTGTCTTCAAGGAGCTTACAGTCCAGTGGGAGGGAAAAGCCATGGCAGTAAAGCTCAGGACATGCTGATAGCCTAAATACAGATAACTGTACCCATCCTTTACTTTAATATCCCTTTCAGGCTTACCCTCCACCCGAGTGCCAGACTCCCTTCCATACCCAAACATACCAGCCTCAAATATGTCTCAGCCTTGGAGTGCCATAGGGAGCCATCAGGAGAGGGAATCAATGCTAAGCCCCACCATGAAGAAAGCCAGAGCAGCTGAACACACAGCTTTGAGCTTCCTGTAGGTCACTGCAAAGAAGGAAAGAAAAAAAAAAGACCACATGACCAAAGACCACATGACCAAACTTTCTCATGAAATAATGTGGCAGATTACACCCTCAAATGGTACAAAATTTCCCCATGTAGTTTATCTATTATCTAACTGTTGATTTCAAGGGATGCCAGATAGGGAAAAGTCTTCTCTAAATTGACATGTTTTATCCTTTTCCACTTCCATTCTTACCTTCCCAGCTTTTTGCAGGGACAAATACATATTAGACTGAGGCACATTTTGAAATTTCTGTTCAAAATATATTATTATCCGCAACTCTCAAGGTGGATTCTGAAAGATTATTTAAATATTTTATGCTATTAAATGTTTCAAATACACCAAACAATATGTGTGCCTATGATTTATATGCAAGATATACAGAATATAAAATAAGCACTCCTCTACTCATTCATTCATTCATCTGATACATATGGTATGTTTGGGTATTGAAGGGAGTCTGGCACTCAGGTTGAGGGTCAACCAGAAAGGGATATCAAAGTAAAGTATGGGTGGATTTGTGTGCATTTATGCTATCAGCATGTCCTGAGCTATAGAGTCATGGCTTTCCTCTCCCACTAGACTGTAGTAAGCTCCTTGAAGACAAGCACCTCATTGCAATTGTTCTTGTCCTATAGCCAGTCATACAGGCACAGTGGTTCTTGGTCCATGGTAGATCTATGAGTATGCTCCAGAAGAACATAAAAATGCAGTGACACTCTCTGCTTTCTCCTTCAACAGGTGAACATGATCTGAAATTCGTGTATTTATTGCCTGGTTTTCCTTATAGGTTTCCTCCTATGTATGTGCCCCCAGTCAAGATATGTTTGAGTATTTGAACTTTTTATACGTGGTTCTCTGATGAACGAATAATCTGTCAGTGCCATTTTTGCTTCACATTATATTTGTGAGATCCACGTGTTTTCTTTGCTCATCAATCCTTTATCTGTATCTGGATTCTGGGGCCATCTTCCTTTCCTTTGAACATACATCCTAAAGAAGTTCTATTAGTGAGGACCTGCTGGTAATAGATTCTCTTGCTGTTGCTTGTGTGAAAATATGTTTATTTTGCTGAAAGACATTTCCACAATGCTATAAAATGAAAGTTATTCAACAAATACCTCTTGAATGAACAATTTGCCTTTATTCATTATTACAGAACCAAAATGTATCTGCAAATATCAGTGTTCTGGATAATTCAAAATGTGTTGAGGCAGAGTCTGTCATCCCTACAGAAACACATGTCTCTTAGATTAGAGCTGGGACATTCCAATCTACCCCATGCTGTTTTTGAACACATTTCTCTTCCTTGAGTCAGTTTGCAGTTTGATGGCAACTTTCTCTCAGCCCTCTGAAGATGTGATTGTACTGCATTTTTTTTTATTATTTTACTTTAAGTTCTGGGATACATGTGCAGAAAGTGCAGGTTTGTTACATAGGTATACATGTGCCATAGTGGTTTGCTGCCCCTATCAACCCGTCATCTAGACTTTAGGCCCCTCATGCATTAGGTATTTGTCCTAATGCTCTCCCTCCCCTTGCCCCCACCCTGCCTCCCAACAGGCCCCAGTGTGTGTTGTTCCCCTCCCTGTGTCCATGTCTTCTCATTGTTCAACTCCCACTTAATGAGTGAGAACATGCAGTGTTTGGTTTTCTGTTCCTGTGTTAGTTTGCTGAGGATGATGGCTTCCAGCTTAATCCATGCCCCTGCAAAGGGCATGATTTCATTCTTTTGTATGGCTTGATTGCACTGCATTTTAGCTCCTGCTGCCCCTGTGAAGGCATCAATTGCCTGCTGAACTGTGGCTCCTTTTAGGCTATATAGCTTTTCTCTCTGGCTACTTTTCAGATGGTCATGTTTATCTTTGGTGGTCAGCTGTTTTGAAAAATCTAGGGTAGATTTCTAGATTCATTGTGATTCATTGAAGTTCCCAAATCTGAGGATTCGTAGGTTTCATCAACTCAAGAGAATTCTCCACCATCACCTCTTCCGTATTTTTGCTTTCCCTATTCTCTTTATTGTGTCTTTCCAATGATCACTTTCCACAAGTCTGACTGAATGTGTGTTATACCTTTTCACTGTATGTACATTTTCAACCTTCCTTTTATTGTTTCCTCTTTTGTCACTCTGTACTGCATTCAGGATCATTTCATAAGGTTAGCTTGCATTTCATGATTTCCCTTCCAGTTGCGTCTAATCTGTCTTTAATATCTGCACTGAATTTCAAATTGTATATATTATAGATTTATTCCTAGAGGATAAATATATTGCTTTTTCAAATCTGACTCATCATTTTTACACTCTCTTTTTCCTTTCTCATGTTTTCAAGTCAACCCTTTCATCTTCTTTTTAAAAACCTATTAAATACATTTATTGTATATGTTTATCTAATAATTTCAGTATCTGTTATGCTCTGGTTTTGATCTGCTGGGTGTTGTTTCTGCAGACTCTCACTCGTGGTACTTTGTTCACTTATGTATTCTATGATTTTTCTTTAATTCATGAATTTTTGGCCTTTCTTTGAAACCTGAATTGAAGGAGCCTTACTCTTGAGAAGATTTGCATTTACTTCTGCCAGTTACCAGGAACCACCACCAATCTGGCACCAGAATGTGAAATCTTGGCTTGATGTTTTTCAGACCACAATGCATACTGTGAATTGGACTACAAACCTGTGTGAAGGAGGGTAACAAATTCTCAAAGAATACTTCTTTCCCCTTTTCCCAGAATCAAAACTGATACCTGTACTGGATACACTTTCTGGACATTTGTATTTGTGGGAAAATATATTTTGGTTCATCCTTTCCCTAAGGGTGCTGATCTTCGAAGACCCTAGTTTTATGTGAAGTCACCTAACCTGTCGGTTCACCAATAAAATAAATCCAAAGCTCTAGTTTACAACAGTAGCCAGACAGCTTTAGGCTGCTGCCAGATTTACCAGTCACCTATCTGGATTTGTGCTCCTGCTCAGCTTCTTTGTTTCTGACCATTTCCTTAAGCCGTGCTCTTAGAAAGCATTCAACATTTTATCCAGTATTTTTGTATACTTTGAAGGGGGATGGCTTTAGGATTCCTTTGGTACCATATTGCCAGAGAAGTCTAACCATCTTGCACAGAATTTCACAGTTGGCACTGTCAGATCTCCGATTTAAGTAAACTCATTGTATGTGAATCCAGTGGGTTAAAATGTAAGAATAAAGAAAAGAACTAGCATTGACAGAGTGTCTACAATGGGTCAGTCATTCGTAAATGGAACCCTCACCCAACCCTTAGAAGGAAATTATAAAAATATTATTCTGAGGATAAAAACCTCACAACCTGAGCCTCTAGTGGTTAAGAAACCTGCCCACAATAACACAGGGGTGAAGCTAGCATTCAAAACCCTATTTTGCTATTTTATACATTTAGTTCTTGATTGATGGCTCTTCCCTACCCACAGAAAAGTTTTTCTATGGTACATAGAAATTTGTCTAGCGTCTCCTTGAAAAGCAGAGGACTATGACAATTGATGCCAAGAGACCTTAGGCAAGTTCTAGAATTCTAGGCAATTTTTTGAAAATATTCTTACCAATATCTATCTATGTATCTATCCACTGATTATCTTTGAAAATAGAGAGTAGACCTTTTAAGTAACATGAGAGAAGAGACTATGTCCTTGCACATGTTTGTGGCGTTCACAAGTCCCTGAACAATGCTATAAAATGAAAGATATTCAACAAATACCTCTTGAATGACCAATTTGCCTTTATTCATTATTACAGAACCAAAGTGTGTCTGCAAATATCAGTGCTCTGGATAATTCAAAATGTGTTGAGGCAGAGTCTGTCATCCCTACAAAGACACATGTCTCTTAGATTAGGGCTGGGACATTCCAATCTACCCCATGCTGTTTTTGAACACATTTCTCTTCCCTGAGTCAGTTTGCATCAGCTACTTCAAGCCTTGTGACCTGTTTTAGCACCTCGCACCCTCCTCTGGTATGTCAGAGAGTTTGAGTCACAGGTTTCAGTGACTCTGAAAGAAGACCTCACATTCTTTCTCTCAGTTGCCATCATTGGCCCAGGTAAGTAGGTTACTGCCCTGGCATACCTCATCCCACCTGCACTTGTGCCTCAGGGCATTGTTTGCTCTGGACACTCTAGTGTGCAGGGCTATTATTGTGTAAGTCACTGCTATCTTGCAGACCCATAATGCTTACTGATGCATTACTGTATTTGCTATTAGAGGGCTCTGTGTTCATAGGTAGGCCATTTCAATGTGCTCACTTAAGAAGGACAATATTTTACTCCTCCTGAGTCGGTGGAGTCATCCTGTCTCATTCCAAGGATTACCTTACATTAGTGGCTTTGAGAAAGTCAAACTCTATGCCTGGCTAATTCATCTTTGGAAAGAAGTTACTGTTGAACAAGGGAACCCATGAGGGCTCTTGCTGTGCTTGTCTATGCTAAAGGGACAAGAAAGCAAATAACTCTTTCAATCTCACTTTAAATTGAAGCATAGGACTGGCTCTTTGAACTGGAAAATGTTTATTTAAGAATGCACAGCTCCTTGCAGCTTTGCATCAAAAGGCTCTGTGTCCAAGGAAGAAGGTGGAGACAGGTTAATAGCCTTGAGAAGAACAGCTTGTAACATTAGCCTCTTCTATCCGCCTTTCTTCCAGCAGTAAGTGCAAGAGCTTGGCTTAGAACTGCAGGCACTTACTTGAATACTAGGAAGCTTTCATTTGACTGCACATCCATGGTGTAAGGACATTGGTCTCTAAACATTTTGAATGCCAAGAAGCAGCTTTTCATGTAGCCTACACTAGCTCATTAGAGATTTTGCTTAAAAGAAAATGAATGCACTTTTATTTAATTTCCTTCTCTCAAAATTTGCTACTGGCCAGGCATGGTGGCTCACCCCTGTAATTCCAGCGCTTTGGGACGCCAAGGCAAGTGGATCACCTGAGGTCAGGAGTTCAAGACTAGCCTGGGAAAGATGGCGGAACTCCATCTCTACTAAAAAATATAAAAATTAGCAGGGCGTGGTGGTGCACGCCTGTAATCCTAGCTACTCGGGACGCTGAGGCAGGTAAATGGCTTGAACCTGGGAGGCGGAGGTTGCAGTGAGCCGAGATTTCACCATTGCACTCCAGCCTGGGTGACAAGAGCAAAAATCCATCTAAAAAAAAAAAAGTTTGCTACTAACTGTAGTGTCAAGTGCCAACAGATTTAGTACCTCAGAAAAGGAAACATTCTTCAAAAGGTGACTTCAGTAAAATGTTTCTTAATGAGAAAAAAAGTTAAACTTGTATCAATCGAAGCACAAAAGCAATTTAAATTAACTCAGATTATAGAAAATGAAATATTTTTCAAGTTGGTAGCTGAGACAATTAAAAATTATTTGGCTATATAACAATATTTAATGCATACTAGTGTTTTCAATTAAGTGACCAATACCTATGAATGAGCTGTAAATAGATTTATTACGATGAATAAAATCAGCTTTTTATTTTGGGAGAAAGGAAACTTCAAATGTTCCAACTTTCTGTGTGTGATATTAGAAGCCTAGCAGAAAAATGAGACACATTAGGAGGAAATAATTACCTCCTTCAATTCTATGCCTTTTTTCTTGAGGAAAAGGCACCATCATTTGTCCCCCACCCCTTAATCCTAGCCTTTTCACACTATTGTCCTGGCTTGAAATTCTATACATTCTTGCTGGTGAGCTCAAGTCCCATTTCTGAGAATCCTTTTGCTTTCACCCTAGTCCAGGCTGACCTCTCTGTGGCTGCCTAAGGCCATGACCCAGTCCTGGCCCCCCAAGAGAAAGGTGTAATCGAAATACAGGATGAGTGCCACTGTAGGGCAAGTTTAGAGGACACTGGGAACCAGGGACTGAGCATTACCAAGGCTGAGGAAGTAAACACCTAGAAGAGAGACATGGACCTGCAGGACCCTGTAATTCAGCTGCTCTGGGTAGTTGCCTCAAGCTGCCTTGGAACTTAAAGGAATCAACCTATGCATCGTGCCCGTTCCAGTGGCTGGCACTTCTCCACACTCAATGCATCCCTTCTAAGGGGAGATTGTTCTAAGGGCCATCCACATCCAGAAAGCAGAAAAATAGGCTAACAACTTCTCAAACCAAAAGTTTTATAACCATGAAATAGTGTCGTTGACATTAAGTCACTTCTGCTTCAGATTATATTAAAAAGTCAGCATAACACCAAACAACCTAAATGAGAGGAATGTCATTTTTATTTCCACCAATTCAAGAGGTAACATCTGCCGCATCTTTCCAGAGGTGCGCACATTGCTTCAGTTCTATCCATTCAGCTTGTTTTTCAAAGATGTTTGAAACTGAACTGAAACATAAATAGATTTCTCTGTATACAGGCCACCATTCCAATGGGGGGAAGTTATTTTTATATAGACATTTTTGGTTAAGTGATAATGTGGCACCTGGCAGTAAGCTCAACAGACATTTCTGTCAAGCTGGGTATTAAAAATAGTGATCACTTTAGGACATTTATTTGCTCTTTGGAAGCCATCAGCTTATGATTTGGAAGTGTTTAATAGTTTTTACTTGACACAAGACTGTCAAGTGTGCCTTTCAAATCCAGTGGTGACAAACATTTTAGGAGACACAAAGGTGACCCTCCTTACTGGCTATGGTGATTGGTGGGTTCATGGTAGGTAGAAGAAGGGCTGGTCTACAAACTGCCACAACATTCCTACATGCCGAGGTTGGTGGAAGTAGAGTTTTGCCCCTGACACTGCTACCTGGCCTGACCCACTTGTCTGCTTCTCTCTGCTTCTGAGGTCCTACTCATCTTCATTCTCTGGTTATAGCTCAACGAAAAGGTGACCAGGAAACCCAAAGCTTGGATATACAATAAAAATAATTTTAAACTTGATTTTAGGGAATCTTAAAGATTTGATATACCCAGTTGAGTGTTGAATTCTTTAGGTTTTATATATATATATATATATATATTTTAAATAAAACTAGTACTACCATAAATTTACCATCCTTCTTTTTCACCAGACCATTAGCCATTTGCAAAGTTGCAGTTTATCTTCCAAGAATCTGAACCTCCAAGGATTAGGATGCTGGATATATTTTTAAAGTTGCAGCAAAGTCACCAAAGCTAATCAAAGTAAAAGGTCTTCCCTATGCAAAGTAAAAGAGACCAACTTGAAAAAAAAATCCATTGAAACAAAAAACAATTTAAATATACTCATATTTAAACATTTTCCTATTCTTAAACTTGGAAAACCTTTTGCTAAATAATTCCCTTACAGACTCACTGGAGGAACAGATTCATTGAATGAGGAAAACCAAACAAATACTGACATGCAAGCAAATACTTCAAAAATAATGAGGACATTGAAATTCTAGCTCCTGTTATGGATGTAGACTATCCCAGAAGACTAGAAGCCTGCGCTCCCAAATGAAATAACCAATTCCAAGACTGCTTGAAGGACCTCTCTGGACTGTCCACATGTTGATTCCTCAACCTGGAAGACTCGTCCATCCCTTGTCTGTCTGTCTTCATCAAACAGGAATTTATTCTTCAAAACCTAGATCTGTCACTCACTCTTTTATAAACACTTTCTTGAACTAATCACTTCCTCCCTACCTGTCTTTGGAATCTTATAAAAGCATCCCTTCGGGAACATGTGATGTTTCTTATGAATTCTTCTCACATCTGTATTTCATAGTAGAGTGAAGCCACCACATTCTTCTTTCTGTTAACAACACCTCACACGGTAACCAGGGCACAATAGATGCCTCATGGTGTTTCTTACACTGAATTGCACTCACCTTGAACTTACATTACTATAATAGTTCATTCTCCTTCCATAGACACTTTCTTATGTTGACCCCAGTTCTACCTCTCTTTACCTTCCACTCACTGGTCCTATTTTGTCCCTTTGGGACAACACAGAATAAGCCTATTTCCTCTTCAAATAAGGCCCTATGCAAAATGCAGGCACCTTTTATGACATGCATAGTGAAAAAACCTTCAACCTGTTCTCATATGATATGTTTCTGGGACCATTCACCTGTCCATGGGCACACACTCTGGTGCATCACTGGGACCATTCACCTGCTCTACTGCACCACTTCCTCCACAAGTATGGTGGCCAGAACAAGAGCCCATAGGGTAGATGTCAACTGACCATTGAGTAGCACAAGACATCACGCTTCTGTTAGAACAAGCTATGATTATATCGGGGTCTTTTTAGCAAACCATATCACACTACTCACTTCGATCACGTTCAGTTTATCCTAAATCATGGATAGTCATTGTGTTACTATACTGTCTCATAAGTACATGTTAAAAATTTGAGAGATTAAAAAAAAAATTGTCTTACATCATTCTCCAGATATGGCTGAAAGTCATCTGGCTGTGGCAAATAGGGCTACACTGGCAATCTGGTTATTAGTCTTGAAAAGTGTTCTAATCGTGAATTATCACATTCGCAAGGTTGATAATATACTATAAGGAGTAAGGCTGAGGCTGGGGATTCTCCACAGAAACACACTGGGACAGATCTGTCCATGATTAAGAGAAGGAAATATGTCCCAGACCAACTGGCAAATGGTTGCTTCCCTCATCCTCCAAGTCTCTAAACAAAGAGCCTCCAAGAACCTGCTCAGTCTCTACGGCCAGAGTCCATTCTGACTGGACAATAATGCTGGTGCCTTTACAGTTCTTCAGTCTTAGCAGTTGTTAAATATTTTGATCACCCTCTTTTCTTCTGAACCGAGAGGGGATTTTACTAATGGCCTTCAAGTACACAAATGACTGTCTGAGTGAATCATGGCCAATTAATCTCCAAATCCACAGGGAAGAAAACAAAAGGAAATGAGTACAACTGTAGCAAGGACTTAGCATGGACTGACAGGGGTGTGGGAGAGTGACACCGGGTGCTCCTATTCTCCCATTTGGACAGACTTTATAAGCCAGATGGAGCCCCACAGATCTGGTGGCTAAAGCCCAAGCCTGTCTGAGAATGACTTTGCGTGGTTTCTCAGGGTCTGGGATCCTCCAGGCAAAAAGTCAGAGGGAAAGGGCCATGTGTGGGAGGAACCATTATCTAATATTAGTCTTTTGACTCTTGTAAGAACTGAAACAAATGATCATTTACTGGTATCTTGCACCAAATCAGTCTGGAGAAGAGAAACTATCAGATGTTTCAACTCAACAGCTGCACATCAAAAATAGTATTTGAGACACCAGGAGCCCTGTGGCATGAATGCCAGAAGCAAGTCTAGTATGTTGGGGGCTCTGAAGTTTCTTGTTCCTGGAATGAAAGGAGACAGTATTGCTGGCCACAGGCACAGTGTCAATGTACTCCTAGTTGCAGTCACACTACTTTTGTATGTTTTGTTTGTACATGTATATACACACATGTATGCATACAAGCACTCAAACACAAACGATGGTTAAGAAAAATACATGCTAAACAGCCAGTCATCCACCTTCCAAAAATCTCTCCAGCAGGATCCTTTGGGTCTCATTCTTTTCTAAACCAACTCATTAGGAAACTCACACACAAAAAACAAGAACTACTTCTATGAACCTCTAATTTTGCATATGATACAGGCATTTCTATCAGGTGTTATGCCATAAATTAGACAAAATGTGGTTGATAATTTAAGAAACGTGATTTCCGTACACATGCTACTATTGGTATCCCTAGGCTGAAATCATGTTGCCATGAGCCAGGATGGATATACTAGTTGTTCTATAGCCAGCATCTGTTCTGATTGGATGGCATCCAGATTGTGCAGATTGATAAATATTTTGAACATCGTTCCCAGTTATCATGGGCTTGTGGTTGAGAAATACCACCATAAACACAAGAAGAAAGGTCGTTGTGTTCTCTGCCTTGGAAAACACAGTTGCTTTCTGGAGAGACTGGCTGCTCCGTTGATATTATTTTCTTCTGCTCACCAGTGACTGTTGAAAAATATTCTGTGTGATTAGAATCTAGAACGCTATTGATTTTTGTCTGGTCTTTCATGATATTTATAATTTCCTCATTTATGTTTGAGATTAAAAAATCTTTAGCTAACATCAATAAAATACATTATTGCTATTAAAATACTACTGTGAAAATCTTGAAATAAAAATAACTTTGAAACTCTCTTAAGTCCTTTTTTCAAACATACATCATTGTTTTCACAATGCAATTCCTGGTAATTAAGAGGTTTCTTTGAAACTGAACTACAAGTAACAGAGGATAAAAATAATAGTTGGTAAAGCAAATGAAAAGTCAGAGGGTAAGCAGCAAGGGGCTGGTATGGTGGTTATATTTTCCAAAATACTCAGGGATCCAGGCTTCATCCAGCTCTGCCCTTCGCCAGCACTAACATATAACCCCGTTCCTCAACATCCAGTTTGGCAGTCAACGCTCCAGCCTTTACATATTTACTGTAGGCATCAAAGAGAGAGAGAAGAAAAGGATATAAAAAGAGTGCATTCTAGCTGTCATTCAACATAGTGTGCCAGTCTACTACACATCACATATTTAGTAAGTGGTGGGGGCTTATGGCTTTGACTAGGTACTTATAGCCTGGATTTTGAAGAGAATGGATTGAAGAGAGGCAGCATTCAGCCTGCATTTCATTGGTCAGAACTTCTCCAAAATCTGGTCACACCTGCAACGATGTTAGGAAGTGTAGTTTTTTGTTTGTTTGTTTGTTTGTTTGTTTGTTTGTGACTATGGACACAGCTAAAAATTAAGACTTCTATTACTATGAAAGGAGAAGGGAACAGCTGTTAGGGGTCAGCTAGCCATTTTTTTCTGCAAAAGCCATTCTTTTAGAGCAGACCAGATTATATCCTATTCATTTCTGAATCGTATATTCACTTTCTATTTCTATCTTATTGAATTCTATTCCCTTCTGAATTGAGCCACCTAGATTGAGAATTATCAGTAATTTTGAGTTCCCTAAATAGTTTTGTAATTTATTTATCCACTGAATAAGTATTAGTGGAATACCTACTGTGGGATAAGAACTCTGCTAAGGTTTAGGAATAGCAACATGAACAAAACATGGCTCCTGGTTTCATGGAGTCACATGGAGAAGGCCACTACTGGGCAAGTGAGTATAACAGCATAGGCACTCTAGAGAGAATGGGGCAGGGAGACACAGCTTAGCATTGAAGTGGAGGAAGGCACTTAAGCTGATAGGTGAAGGATGAGTGGGAGGTGTTGATAGCATGCTCCAAGGCAAGGCAGCACAGGTTCCAAGGCCTGGGAGTTAGAAGAAATGCTGAATTTCAAGGCACTGAACAATTTACAACATCTCTGGAGTGTTGATTTCAGAGGCGAAAATGTTGCTAGATAAAGCTGGTGAGAGGTAAGACCTATAAGCCATGTTAGACTTCATGCTTTTCTTACAGGGAACTATTGAATACAAGGCTCATTTTGACTGCTTTATAATAACCATACCTATTATCTATTGAGTGTCGACTATATGTTTGACATTGTGGTAAGTATATTACATCACTAAGTGTACTACATGCATTAACAAACTCTAAGGGACAGATTGTCCCTACTCTATAAAAGAGAAATGTGAAGGTCAAGGCATTTTAAAAACCTGCTCAGGGGGTCATTCAGTTAACAAGAGTTTGAGCTAAGATCAACCGAGAAACAGTCCAATGCTGTACTCATTTCATAGCCTAGACCACACGGAGCCTAGATTGAATGGGATCAGGGCTGCAGAAAGCAATCATACGTGGCTAGGTGTATAGATAATTTTTAAAACTTTAACCTTCACTTCTACTGCTGATCATTTAAGATGTCCTGGCTCTGCAACTGCTTCTAACTCTGGTTCTGTGACAGTCTAACTTCTGTAAACCCCACTTGTTCATTTTTGAGTGGAGATTGCTCCCTTTACTCTACTGAGTAAACTCTCTTGTTAGACCCTATAGACCTGACTTGTCTGACCTGTGGGTCACAGAAGTCTCCAATTGATTCCAGGAGCACGCTGGCCCTCTGACACACTGAGCATCCATGATACCCAATTATCCAGAAAAGAGGGGTAAACTGGATTTGGGAAGGGGAAGGTTCTCCAATGCTGATACTTTGGTAAAATCCCTTTTGCTCTTGTTTTAGATTGGTTAGTGTTCATTTGCCTCCCTCAGCACAATTAATGTTACCGACTGCTATGGGTCAAACATGAGTGGGTACTTGAAGCAACATGCACTGGTTTTCTTTGCTGTGGTGGAGATTACAACAGGGCTGGCTCTGGACGCACAGGTTGAGTCTACGCTCCAGGGTCTCCTAATTCTCCCTTCCATGTGCATGCAGCCTCCTCTCCACTGGCTACTGTGCCGTGAGCTTAGCCATTACCAGGCAGCATTGTGTCAAGATGCCAAATCCTGTTGTTACTATTTTTGACAGCAGCTGTAACTTACCACCCAACCTTGGAATTGGAGGTCCAGGAAGGCCCATGTCCTCAGACACATCTGGTGCTGTTGCTAAAACCAGCTCTGTTTTGTCTGTATTGACAGCATACTGAAAATATCCAAGCTTCTCTGAAACAGAAAATCTGACAAGTAAAAATACCTCTGTAATGGTATTGAGTAAAGGAGTTGAGGTAATGGGTTTATTCATTGTAAAAGCAGCTGGTTTTCCTTGCGAATGTTTGTTTGGTTTAAAACAAGGGAAGATCCGAGTTGCCAAAGGAACGAATGGAATACACTGTAGTTTCTTTTCTTTGAGCTTTTTGGGCTTCTAATGGAAGTACAGGATCCTGCCAAAAAGCCCTGAGCCCCTTTGTCTGGATAATTTATTAGATAAGGTTTAAAATTCTAGGATACAATCTTTTCTTTATCACATGCCTCACTTTGTGAGTGAATCATCACTCACACCCACCTTCCCAACATGAATTCTACGACGGGGAAAAAAACCCCAGCTCAGCTTATTCTGGTGGAATACTGTGTTATGTTAAACATTTTCTTCTTACCTGGTGGGATCAGAATATATTTTAAGTTCACTTGATTTTTGCTGAGCCACAAAATATTCTTGGTGAGAGGGGTGTTGACACTTACCTATGCTATAAGATGAAGGGAGTATCGTTTGTGCGGTAGGAAGGAGAAAAGAGAATATCAATTTGGCTTTTTGTTACAAAACTAGTGGGAAATGAGGTCTTTGGTGACTTTTGTCTTTACTTGCCAAGTTTGTATATATGCCACAAAACACAAAACTATTTACCGTGAAAATGCACAGCACGGTTTAAGCTCCAAAGAAGGGTATGCAGATTTAATCAGCCTTCTGGGCTGGTAGTAGTATCATCATTGGTGTTTTCTATTTGGCAATGGGTGTTCTGAGGAAGAAGGTAAAGAGGGATACAGTGACCCCGAGGACGAGGAGGACCTCAAAAACCCGGGAGTAGTGTGGATCCCACGGGACGGAGGGTTCGTGATCACGGAAAGCCTCTCCAAACACAACACAACTTCATTTTTGATCTACGTTTTTCATATTTCCCAGAACCGTGGGCTGTTTACAGAGTCAGGAGAATTTTTGCTTTGACATGAAGTAATCTTGTCCTTTGGGAGCCCCCGAAAGTTAGCCAAGGTTTAAAAGAGTTCCAGAAACCACTTTTCAGCCCACTGTGAATTTGTGGGCTTTACTGTGGTGGGTGCTTGTGTTGGAGGAGCTAAACAACACTGCCAGCATTTTTAAAGCTTTTTTTTCTTCTTATAAAAATCTGTTGTGCTGTGAAAAATCATAAAACTACTTCAAAATGTTCTTCACTGTCGTCGAAATCAGCTTGGCTCAAGATACTATAACATCTAAAGTTAATTATACATCAGTAGTTTATTTTAACATTATCTGGGGCTAAAGGAAATAAATGAGAACAAAAATGGAAATAATTCGATAAAGCAGATTGTTTTTATTAAATATATTCATGTCTATTCAAATTATTTAAGCCCACATAGCACAGCAATTTCTGAGTGCCCCACAGCTAAAGCTGCAGGAACTGAGCAAATCTATTACTAGTTCTGCGTCCGCAGTAGGCTCCAGAGCCTGTACAAGGCTCTAGAAGGTTCCAGAAAGTTCCAGCTCTCAGATGAAGGGGTCATATTAGACAGAAAGGTAGATCTGGTCCTGCCAGGGTGTTAGGGGCATGGTTATCCTTTCCCTGAGATGGAAACTAGTAACAGTTCTCACATGATGATACACCAGGCTCAGGGAACAGGGCAGCCAAAGCCACACCCGGACACCCGCAGGGGTCCTGGAGAGACTCCCGGACTGGCGATCTCAGGGAACAAACCCCGCTTCCTGACAGGAGCACTGTGAGTGGCAGAGCCCGTGGGAGGCTAAATGTGACCCTGTGAGGAGCAACTGAGTTACAGGATGTCCTCTGTGCTGGGTGGAAGATAACCAGGAAGGAGCTGGACACCTACCCAGCCCCGGGGTCGTCTCCTCCCAGGTCTCTCCTGGCACGTCCTTAACACAGAGTGGTGCCTGGGAGGTTCCCAGCACAAATGCTGGTGCTGGGCACACAGGGGCCAAGGAGACAGGCCAACCCTCCCCTCAGCACTCAGGGTCTGCAGGGAGACCGACTGGAAACAGCTCCTCCCCAGGCCTGGGTGCTGCCCAGAGAGCCCGGGCCCCAGGGTCCTCTCCCCCGAGGCTTTAAGATCCCAGTTTCTACATTTCCCTCTTTATTCCAGAATGTGTGATTTTCCCGGTGTGATTCCCTTTTGTCTCTTTCAGTTGCAGAGCCACACAAGGGTATGCACTATTTCACTCTGATAGGGAAGAAAAAGTGTTTTCACAAATTGAAGTGTGTTGTGGTGGTGTGGGCACCCGCATGGTGAAATGGCAGAGGCATCCCTTGTGAGTGGTTTCTGTCCCTGGGAAGGTTTTGGAAGGCACAGATTCCTTTGGTATAGTTGGAACCTAATGTGGAGACTGCTGGTGGCAGGCATTTCCTAAACATGTGTGGAAGGAAGGAAGGAAAGAAGGACAGAAGGAAGGAAGGGAGGGAAGGAGGAAGGGAGGGGAAGGAAGGAAGGAAGGAGGGAGGGAGAAAGGGAAAGAGGGAAGGAAGGAAGGAGGAGGAGGGAGGAAGGAAGGAAAGAAAGGAAGGAAGGAAGGAGACAGAGGGAGGGGAGGGGAGAGAAGAGAGTCAGAGACACAGAGAGAGGAGGGGGAGGAGGGCTGAAGAACACAGGCGTTCAGACCTCTTCAGGCCTTGGTCAGTCTGAACATTCGTCCACAATCTCATGGTCACCTCCACCCCGACCTTCCTTCTTCCCACTTGTCCGGACATGCGAAAGTCTCCTAGCCCAGGCAGTTAAGAGAGGAGAAGTCATCATTCATGTGCTGCCAACACCTTTGAGTTAGACACGGCCGAGCTTTCTGTAGGTCTGCCTCTTCCAGCGGACACCAGCTCTCCCCACCGGCAGGCAGCAGGGCCCTCCCACTCTTGGGCTCCACCTCCTCACTGTCCCCAAGGCAAATGGAAAGCCAGGTGTGTGTATGAATTCCAGCAAGGCAAAAGAAGCAAGAAAGAGAGCAACTGAGATGTGGAGATTAAAAATAGGATAAACAGGAACTGAGAAGTCTGGGTTTCTATTTTTCTGGTTCACTTTGTTTTCATGCTTCCCTCAGTGAACTCTTGTAATTGTAGTCTCTCCCAATTAAGCAGTCATTTGTAGCTCAGGATAAGAAAATAAAGAAAATAAGACTCCTGAGTTCCCTGCGTGTAGAATTCCCCACCCCTCATCCTCAGAATGCATTCATTCCCAGCACACATGAAAACAATTGTCTGTAGGAAAAGAAGAATCAACTTTAGGCTTTGCCCAGAAATGCCAGCACAGTTCCTTCCATGGTGGTCGATGACCTCAAATTGGAAATGTGATAAATATAAGAATATCTATACCACATAAAAAACCAACAAGCTCCACACTTTGATTTTGCCCTATTCAGGGCAAGCTCTGATGTAAGAGGATGTCGGATGAACACGGATGCCCACGTGGCTACCCTAGGCCAGGGTTAAATCTCCTGGTGGTGAAAGCCTCTGTGCTACAGGGGAAAAGGTGTGTAGGCCGTGTGTGTGTGTGTGTGTGTGTGTGTGTGTGTGTGTGTGTGTGTGTATCCAGGAGATCAGCAGCCAGAGCTTCATTTATCACGGCTTTGCTTCCTAAAATGTAACTGGAGGCACAGAGAGCTCTTTATAAATCAAAAGGCCCCTAGCTTCCACTAGCCTGAAACAGTAGAGACGGTGGGAGCTGCCTGTGTTGAGTCTGAATGAAACACCCACTCAGCCCAGCTGCAAGCTATCTAAAGCAAATATCCCGACAATGGCCTCTTGCCCAGAAACGGCCTCAGCAGCCTGCCTCCCTGGACAGGAAGGAAGGCGCTCTGGAACAGAACCACTGCCCACGTGGTGGTGGGGGTGTGGGGAGCTCTCTCCTGGTCCCATCTCGCATTTGCCCCAAATCAAAGTAGAGGCTGCTAAACGGCTGATAGAGAAAGATGGACCGTCTAACTGCTAGTCAATGTTTATTGTATTCTTAGAAGCAGCGACTCTTCTCAACTTCCTGTGATCAAAAACGCTTGTTAATCGTTCTTATTAAAAGCCAGATCTCCCAACGTACAACTTTGTTGCACGTGGACTGAATTAAAAGCAGGAGATTGTTTTCATCTCTAGAATTCAGCGAATGCCAAAACAAATGTACATGAAATTGCCGGCCCTTTTTTTTTTCTTTCTTTCTTTCGTTATCTCTTTTCCCTTATTTCCCCCTACAGGAGGCAGCGAAACCTAGTAAAGAAAAAGAGGAAACTGGAACCTGAAGCTCAAAATTACGGGCAGGGAACTCGGATTCTGTCTGGGTGGAAGTGTTAGGTCACAATAGGATCCACTCAACCATCATGTTGCTTTTACTTTTCTCTCCTGCTGGTTTTCCGGGGGTACAGGTTTACAGTATGTGTCAGTGACTGAGACAAGCCCTTCCAAAGTGGCCGTTTTCTTGCTAATGTTAAATTATTTTTGATGCATTTTCTCTAGATTCCCCAGTTCTTGCAGGAAAACATTCAGAATGTGTTTTGATAAAATAGTAGCTCAGAAAAGCTCGTGCATCTTAGAAGCTTGCCATTTAAAATACAGATGTCCAGTTAAATTGAAATTTCGGAGAAGCAACTAATTTTGTTTAATGTTCAGGTAAACAATGAATGATAAAATATTACATGGAGTACATGTATGCTAAAAATGTATTCATGTTTATCTAAAATTTATATTTAAGTGGGTATCCTGTAGTTTTTAAATCTGATGACCCAGAACAAGTCAGCTCATTTGACCACATGTCTGCTGCACATATAGAGAGTTGAACACGTTCTAGGTAGTAATTATTCCCTGATACAATCATTTCGTCTTTATACCGCTACTCAATACCAGTACCCAGAAATGGTTGAGTCACCTAATGTAATTTTGCCAATCTGTTATGAGGTCATAGAAGACCGTCACTGGTAAGCTGCATAGAGAATCTAGGAATTGTTCTAACCGTGGTTCCTGACAAGCTCAAGCCCTCTAGACTTTACTTTTCCACTCCTCTAGCTTGGCTGGAAGGGCTGTAGCCACTTTCTGACTTTCTAGTCAGAGAGCCTTGAATATGAAGAAGGGTGGCCACGTTTCCATCTGCGAGGCTGACAGTCAAGGGCAGGAGTGTCTACCGTTTGCACAGTAGTCTGACGAAGGATTTCTCCCCAGTTGATTCCAAATTCATAATTTTCTGGAGTATAAAGGGACTGAACAGTATGGAGGTAGTCTAAGACATAAGACCTTCCTTTCAAAACTCAACTGCCAAAGTCAATGGAGCTTGCTACCACTTTAAAAACATTCCCAGGTCCAGCACACACGATCTAAAATTAAACTTAATTATCATCACTTGGAGATGCTCTATTAGAGGAAAGTCTGTGAGTCAATATGAAACGTCCTGCTGATCATCATCTGCAAAGTGGCCGAGCCAAGAACTGCTGGGACGCTCTGGCCACATATGGAACAGGACATGATATACATGATCTGATACTCTCATCTTAGACATACATTTTCTTAAACATCGAAAACAACAGAACGATTCTCCTGAGTGACTGTTGGATATACCTTTTTGTATTTTAAAAATGTGCTTGCTCCACTCACAGGGACCCTGCTGCCTGATCACTCAAATCACCTCATGGGAAACTCTGAGAAATGCTTTATTTAGAAGCAGTTCGGACTGTGAGTCATGCAACATTTTGCTGTGTTTTTCTTCTTCAGTTCTCCTGCTCCCATAAACATTTATAGGAAGACAGGATATTTCACTGCGTTTCAAGAGTCCATCTGCCACAGATGCTTGTTCCCCACCTGAAGTCATCAACTTTCAGGAAAGAAAATATCTGGTTTTCTTTCAAATGCTGATAAAGAAAAAAAAAATTGGCAAGGAAAAAGGATGACCCTTGAGTAGAATTACCTCTTCCCTGAGTGTTTCTCACGATTCTCTGTAAAGCATTGGTAGTTTAATGCTGGAATCCACCCTGTGGTCAGAGGCACAGTTTTATAAGATTAATAGTATTCTAAAGGAACACAACAACAAAAGATTAATAGTATTCTAAGGCAAAGAAGTCGCAAAGGACTTTGTCCCCTTCATGAAGCAGTGGAAAAAATTATTCCTTTTCTTTTCGAGGGGAGGGTGTCTGTGGGGAGTGGGGAGTGGCAGGCAGTGTCAAAAGCTTACTTTGACTTCCTGATCACATTTTCCTTCAAAATTTTTCACATTTCATTTAAGCCTGCAAGTATCCACTTACTGAAAATGACCTTCTTCGGATCTAAGAATTCTGATATAATTTAGTTGATTCCTTCTTGATTCTAGGGTAAGTTTATGGGCTTTCTTGACTTTGGATTAAAAGGCAAATTTCCTTTGAGATACAGAAGATCTCTCCCTTTATGCCAACATCAATCCTCTTTCAGTAGCAGTTTCCCAATATTTTCTTGATCTAAAAAAAACAAACAACAACAACAAAAACTTCTTTATTTTTGTTTTTCTCAAACACCTAGTTATCTACTTTCTTTTTGGATACTTTTCCTTTTATGTTTTTATTACCCTTTGCCTTCAGTATGTTAGAAGGAGGTTGCCAAATTTCCTCTGAATATTAGCTTAGTCACTAAGAGTACTGGATTTAAGAGGTTGCTTTTCTCTACTAAGCAATACAAAGTAGATGTTCTTGATTATGTCTCTTTTTAGTGGTAGAAAACAGTTCATAGTCATCACTGAACATCATTCACTGGGCCTGGAACCTGAGTCTGAAGGGTTGAGGAAGGCAGTGTCATGCAGTCTTGGGGAACAGAGGCTCTCTGGAGCCAAGACACCTGAGTTCAAACCCCAGTTCTGTCACTTGCTAGCTGTGTGAGCTTCAAAAATTGAACTAACTACTTGAAGCCTTGGTTTTTCCCTCTGTAAAATGGAGAAAAAAGTGGTACCTACCTCATTGGGTTGTGAGGATCAAAAAAGTTGATATTTGTACTTATAACAGTACCTGGTACATGGTAAGTGCTATGAAAATATTGCTATTATTGCTATTGAAAGATTGGGCCTATGGAGACACACTTAGGAAGCTAGACATAGAAATTTTGCACATCATTAATAATGAATGAATGAATAGTATTAAAATGTATTTGTTCAATAAATATTTAGGGAGCAATTACTCTGTACTGAACACTGTGCTAGGTGCAAGACACAAAAACTCAAAGCTATAGAATGTACTCTAAGGGAGCTTAGGCTCTGGGGAGAAAGCTATGGGCATTGTGGGCAGACCAAGGCTGTGGTGTCAGATAACTTTCAGCTCAAGCCCAGCCCCATTAGTGGAAAGGGATTGGGTAAGTGAATTTTCTCACTTGTGAAATGGGGATAATTCTACCTTATTAGGTTGTTTCAAAAAGTAATGGAGAATACAGAACATATACACATGTATTTTAAAAATATACTTACCCCAGTAAAAACTCAGTGAATAACATGTGTTATATGTTACATATGGACATGTCTATGTCTGCATATAGGTATTTAGAGAGGGAAAGAGAAGAACTATGATATGAGTTGATAGTCACTCTAGCAGGTTTGTTCCAGGCAAAGTCAAAGCCCAGAGGGAGGGTCTTGAGCCTGCCTAGAGAATCCCAGGAAGAGAAGAGGGGCAGAGACAAAAAAGACAACTAAGAGTCCACCTTTGCAGAGAACAGGCAACCTGGGGCCAATCAACCATGCGTGCAGAGGCCTGGAGGCTGAAGGACTGGTAGGTTTGAGACAGCTAAGAGTTCAATATTGTGAAACAGAATATGCAAGGCAGAGAGGCGGTAAAAAAAGATGTTGCACAAACAAGCAGGGACTAACTCACATCTTTGTCAGAATGTCACTTTCTTACTGATTTCTTCCCTGACTACCCTATGTAAAATGAACCCCTCCTCCAGCATTCCCTAGAATCCTGCCCTGCTTTGTTTTTCTTTGTCACCTTGTACACAAGTCACCTTCTAAAAATAAGTATAAATATACATGTATGTATACAAATGTACA
Source organism: Homo sapiens (assembly GCF_000001405.40). Taxonomy (NCBI): domain Eukaryota; kingdom Metazoa; phylum Chordata; class Mammalia; order Primates; family Hominidae; genus Homo; species Homo sapiens. The sequence continues at coordinate 35,201,230 of NC_000021.9, read as the reverse complement.
TATACATGTGTGTGCATGTCATACAAACACACACACATGCATGAGTTATTTTGTTTATTATCTGTCTCCTCTCAGTAGAATGGAAGCTCTACCAGAACAGGGATTCTGTTCACTGCTATTTCCTTAGCACCTAAATCAATGCCTGGCACACAGTAAGTGCTCAATAAAAACAGGTTGAACTGAATAAATGACTGCATAGCCTCCTCCGGCAGGCAAGAAAGGTGAGCTCATTCTTTGGTCAGAAGAAACTTGAAAAATCCTAAGCAAGGGAAGATGTGATCATATTTTCCTGTTCTAGAGGCATTGTTCACGGTGGACCGTCATGGAGTCCTTTCAATGATTTGAGCTAGCTGCATGAGGGCCAGACCCAGAGAGTGAGAGAACTGGGAACAGCTGGCAGAACTGGATGGCAGATTGGAGGGGACATAGGGAGAGTGGGCAGGTAGGATTCCCTCAGGTGTCTGGCTTGAGCAAACAAGTGTTATTCATGGAGAAAGGATAGGAACATGCGTCAGTGAAGCCAAGAAAACTTTTAAAAAATAATGCTTTTATTCCAAGGAGGGTGAAAGATATCATAGATGCTCAATAGCTAATGACTGATTGATTGAAAATGTAAGGAAAGAAATGGTCTGGTAGAATCCTATTAATTATTAAATCTATAGCTTTCTGAATTACCTGTGGCCTAAGAAAGGTGATGAGACTTGGGAAATGTCTTATGTAAAAGAAATGGGAAGGATTCACTGAAAAAAAAATCTGTGAAGAGCAAATAACTTTTTGAAAGACAGCATTTCACTTCACATTATTGTTATTTGCTTTAACGGGGAATCCTGTGCAAGCGCAAAACTTGTCTTCTCAGCTTTGAGTACTGCATTCTGTCCCTGTGGACTGGCATCCACAGGAGAAGCTAAAGAACCTGTAAAGGGCTGGGTATGGTGGTTCAAATCTGTAATCCCAGCCCTTGGGGAGGCTGAGGCAGGAGGATCGCTTAAACCCAGAAGTTTGAGATGAATCTGGGCAACATAATTAGACCCCACCTCTACAAAAAATATTAAAAATGTTAGAAGGCATGGTGGTGCACAGCTGTAGTCCCAGCTACTCAGAAGCTGAGGCAAAAGGATTGCTTGAGCCCTGGAGGTCAGTGCTGCAGTGAGCTATGATCGTGGCACTGCACTCCAATCTGGGCAACACAGTGAGACCCCATATCTGCAAAAAAATTAAAAAATTATTTTGGCATAGTGGCATGCACCTATAGTCCCAACTACTCAGAAGGTTGAGCCAGGATGATTGCTTGAACCTCGGAAGTTGAGGCTACAGTAAGCTTTGATTTCATCACTGCACTCCAGCCTGGGTGACAGAATGTGCACAGAAGTAAAACTCAGTGAATTTCCATCAGAATTCCTGGAACTCCTTTAGGGGCAGATGTGGCATTGAAGAGTCACCAAACCTGCATTACTACCCAGCTACAATAAATTTGCTGAGCAGCTTTCATAAGTAAACCCATGGACAAGCTATCATCTCCCTGACCTGGTTTGTGTGAAATTGCTGGTTAGGTTGCTGAGTTGCTTCCAGTTTTTGAAGAGGGGTGGTGTCCCTCAAAGTCATGCATTTGGTGTGGCTGGATGAAGCGTCCTCCCAAACACTGAGATCCAATAGCCCTAGACAATGGCAGGCCTGGCAGCCCGCCCTGGACTGGACTGGCAAATGCTGATGGGACGAGCCTTGCATGTGGCATTATCGGTGGATGAGCCTTCTCAGAGCCTGTTGTTTGGAGCAAAAGAGAGTATGGACATTTCAGCCTTTACTGTAACATGAGAATAAGAACACCCATTGTGCACTGCATTTATGAATTAAATGTCATCAGACCGTCTAGTGCTTAGCACAATACTGAATAGGAGGATGCAGTCAATGATTGTTAGTTTCACAGTCCTTGGGGTGTTCGACCCTCTCTCTTCACATCAGGGATGCTGAAATGTGTACATGTGCTAAAAGAGATATGTAGGAATAAGTTCTTAAGTGAAGAAAGTAGAAAAAATGGGAAAGTACCATGCTGAACATGAAGGTCACTGAGTTTCATGAAATGACTTGGTCAATTTTCTACATTTAGGTCTTTAGCTGAAATGTACAAACAACTGTAAACCAATTCAACATTTGTATGATACATATGTGTGTGTGTGTGTGTGTGTGTGTGTGTGTGTGTTCTATGACTGTTGATATTTTGAAAAAAGTGTTTTGTTGTGGGTGGTTCTTTTTCTTTAAGCTGTGCTTTTAGAAGTTTACTATGTTCTTAAATATATCTTTTACATGTAAGTGAAATCTTTGTTTCCTAAAAAAAGAAAAAAACACATCCTTGATTTTGCAATGGAAATCAGTGAAGCAACTGGCTATCAGAAATTCACTTTATAATATTTGAGAAGCTCCAAATTTAGTGGGAAGTACCACTAAACCAAACATATCAATATCTAGTGTCACTTTCACTTTTCTCTCAAGGCAACTTTGGCAAGACTCAATATTTTGAAACAACCCGTACATATGAATCCCCATTTGTAGTTTGTTTGTTTTTTTAAACTATCTTATTTTGAGTTAATTAATTTACCCCTTCCAAAGCCTATCTTCCCTCCCATCAGTTTCTCCAGGTTGTTTTCTTCTATGTTATTTTTCCTTTGTATTATAATTTGCCTTGTATAAGTCAATTCAACATCACACATCAAACACTAGCTATGTGTTTGTGTACTATGTGTTGTCACATCACATAAATTTAGAATCCGCTGAGATCAGAACAACATTTTATTCCTTTCTTTTCTTCCTTCCTCCAATTCCCAAAGTAGAGAATTCAGAAGAGTGGTGCTTGCCAGCAATTTTTGATGAGAGATCAAGCTGTTGGGGAATGTTCTTCTCCTCTTATTTCATTCCATTTGAATCTATGACTGTTGAAGTTTTCCACGTTCTTATACTGACTCAACAAATGTCCCCAGGGGTATTTCCATCTTCTAAGCATTAGTTCACTTTCTTTGCTTATTTACTCCCAGTTGCTTCGTGAACTGAGCCAGGATATCAGTGATTAATGACTCAGTACTATTTCAGGAATCCCCTGCATTTTCCATATGCTGACTCACCTACAGTTTTCTATGTTCACCTGTTGGGAGCATGGCTGTGGCATAGGACATGTGGCTTTGGATGGCCAGAAGGCCCTGAAAACTTATATGCAATTGCAAAACTGCCATCCGAACAAAGCCCTTTTGCCTGTTTTTCTTTGGCACTTTTCTTCCCTTGAGCAAGTTCCTTGAGAATAGAGATGGATTTGTCTTAGTCATCTTTGAATCAGCAATGGCTACCTTAGTACTTAGGGTTGCAATAAAATATCTGTACTCAATAACTATTCATTGAATGATGGAGTAATGTAATCTTGAGGAGTCTCAAAGACAGTTAATTTATGTTTGGTGAATTGTAATGGTTGTAAACGTGGAAGAACCATTTTAAGAAGATAAAGGCTTAGGCCAATATCCAGGAATAACTTAAATGCCTAAAGTCTTGGAGTTACTTAGAAAGAATGGTATGATGAGAAAACCATAAAAGGACCAAAAAAGAGTCAAAGCAGTTGAATGAAACCTGCCAAAGGTTTTATTACCATGCAGCCTTATTGGTGTTGATTCTCTTAAGCTGGTCTTTCCTGCAAAACACATCCCTTGTTTTTGTCTGTCTTTAGCACTAAACCCAACTCTTTTGTTCATACTAACCCCTTTCTTCAAATATATGACATGAATTACACGAAGTAAGTATGCACGATGTGTTAGGGATCCCCACAGCCATTCTCAGATTCAATGACTCACTAGAAAGACTTACAGGACTCAGCATATGGTCATATTCACAGCTACAGTGTATTATAATGAAAAGATACCAAAGGAGATGATCAAAGTGAAAAGGCACATGAGTTCAAGTCCAGAGGAAACAAGAAACCAGCTTCTATGAGTCCTCTCTCCCAGCGCAGTCGTACAGGACATGCTTAATTCCTTTAGCATTGAATTGTGACACATGTTGTCTACCAGGGAAGCTTGTTAGAGATTCAGTATCCAGAGTTTTTATTTGGGGCTTATCACATAGGCACTCTTCCCCTAACACACACCAACATTCCAGACTCTCCAAGAAAAGCAGGTGTTCAGCATAAGTCCCATTGTGTTTATAAACACTTCAGGTATGGTAAACCAACTTTATCAATTAGTTAAAGCTTATCAATTAATTAAGCCACTCTCTAGTGGTGGAAACATTACTGAAATCCCAATTTTCAGATGTGAACCAGGGACCAACCTTGCAAGTAGGTGTTCATCAGGCTAGCAGTCTCAGGACTGCTATATTTACTGTACAGTGTACACCAAGCTCATCATCTTTCCCTATCTTGGAATATTCCACCCTCTCAATCCCAGCTCTGTGCTTTGCTGATTTTATCATTCAAACTTGAACACAAACAGTGTCTCCTAAAGAAGCCCTAGCTGGCCGTACTATTGAATGTAGCTCCTATACCAAGTCACTCTCTACCATTGTCCAGCCCCTTTTGAATTTCATCTGTATGTTCCATGTTGGAAGGGATATTTGTTTTGTTACTTTCTCTACGCTCTGGACCCAGAAGAGTATCTGACCCTTACACAGGAGTTCAATAAATATTTCTAAAATTAATTGAATGACTTAGCCCTGTCAGAAGTCCTTTTGTTCATTTATGTGCTGACTTTTATGTTGTCAGGATACTTGGCACCCTGGAATGTGATCTCTGCTAAGTTGGACTTCTCGTATCTTGTTTTCTGCTGTATCTCTAGCAGCTGGAAGAGCGCTGAGCACATAGAAAGCTCTCCTCGAATACTTACGGAGGCTGCATAATTTATAAGGAAAAGAGGTTTATTTGTTTTACAGTTCTGCAGGCTGTACAAGAAGCATGACACCAACATCTACTTCTGATAAGAGCTTCAGGAATCTTCCACTCACTGGGGAAGGTGAAGAGGAGCAGGCTTGTGCAAGTCACATGGTGAGAGAAGAAGCAAGAGAGAGGGGAGGGAGGTGCCAAGGTCTTTTAACAACCGGCTAGGGGGTGAACTCTTGAGGGAACAAATAGAGTGAACACTCACTCACTACTGCAAGGACAGCACCAAGCCATTCATGAGGGACCCACCTCCATAACCCAAACACCTCCTACTAGACCCCACATCTAACAACAGGGATCAAATTTCAACATGAGGCTTAGAGGGGACAGATATCCAAATTATGCAAGCCAGTTATTATTCCGTACATTCTGATCTGTTTGTGGGAGAGATGGAACTGTATTTCTTCATAATTTCCTTCCAAAAGTATTGATAGAATACAGACTTTGTTTAGTCCATGTACCACAGTAGTCACTGGAGATTCATAGGTGACTGAACAAGTTCATTACTGGATTTAAGTTGTCCGTAGATGAGTAGGGTTAGACAAACTCATGTGAATCATTGTAAAGCAAGTGCAATGACTAGAGAGATAGATGATAGATTAGATAGAGGTATATAGATATACATAAATACATATATGTGCATATACATATATATATGTATATTACACAAAAATGCATGCATTATAAAGTAAATGAAATAATAGGTGCAGGTATAAGGTTTTATTCATATAGAAGGGAGAGGGCTTAGGCTAGCCTAAGGTGTCATAAGAGGAATCAGAAAGAGATAGTCCCTGAGCTGAATCACAGACCCTTCAAGGAGAACTGTGACAAAGTGGGTTTGGAAGCCTTCCAGGCAGGGCATCCTTGAGAACTTTAGGAGTTCCATATTGACAGCATGCATGAGTCAGGAGGAGTGAGAGTATTTCCTGGGGAGGTGACCAAAGTTCTTGCTAAGGCACTTGGGCTTTGCTTTGGAGGTGATAGCAGCCACTGAAGGGTTCATTCAAGGGACGTGCCATGTTTTGGTTTGATTTGGTACCAGATAATTCTGGTGACTCCAGGGAATGGCTTTCAGGAGAACACTGTTGATGGTGGAAAGAATGATTAGAGGCTCTTGCACTTAATCAAGGCAAGAAATGACTAGGGGCCTGCAGAAGCCAGAGTAGAAATGCATGAGAGGTGGAGAGGAGGTGGAGATAGGAAAAATCAAGAAATAACTTGGAATAAAGTAAAAAGAAGTTGTAGTGTGACTGGTTAAGGGCAAAGGCACAATGATGCCTGCAAGTTCCATTTCTCTAAATTATATGAGTGAATTGATAGGGAACAGATAGGAAGACAGAAATTTGTAGGAAAGATTTTGAGTTCTGTGTAGTACAGAGAAAGTATGAAATACCTGTGGGTTGTATGGTGTGCAATAAACAGCTGGATATGTGCATCTGAAGCGTGCTGTGGTGGAGGCCAGCATGAAAGTTGTCCACATTGGAATCTATGCCCTATACCAGGCATTGGAAAGCATGGGCGTGGACAGCATCACCCAGGAAATAACCAGGTGGGGTGAGAAGATAGCAAGCTGAGGATAGACTTCTGAGCAAAAACATTTCACTGATGAGCAGGAGAAAATGTGTCTGAGAAAGAGCTAGGAAGGGTGAAAGGAGAGCCATGAGAGCGCAAAATCACAGAAGCAAAAAAGGTAAAAAGCTTCATGAGAATAAACTTTCAAGATCTCTTCAAAATTTGGCTGGAAAAGTCCAAGC